>NC_000017.11:16854747-17157777 GCF_000001405.40 Homo sapiens | reverse complement strand
CGGCTCACCACAACCTCTGCCTGCTGGGTTCAAGCGATTCTCCTGCCTCAGCCTCCCAAGTAGCTGGGATTACCGGCATGCGCTACCATGCCTGGCTAATTTTGTATTTTTAGTAGAAACGGGGTTTCTCCATGTTGGCCAGGCTGGTCTCAAACTCCTGACCTCAGGTGATCCGCCTGCCTCCCAAAGTGCTGGGATTACAGGCGTGAGCTACTGTGCCCAGCCTGAATCTATGTTTTAAAAGCCCAATCCAGCTGCTGGCATGACAGATGGATCAGTATGAAAGACTGGGACCTCCTAAGGGTGAGGGAAACAGGAGGCCCAGGTGGCCACGAGTTCACACCATGCAGTAGCCAGAGGCTTGGAGAGGAAGGCAGAAGGGGAGAAGGACACTGGGTTACCTGCCACCTTGAGCAGGCAAGCGGCAGCCAGCAACGGGACATGAGCTGCGCAGGTCGTGCTCATGGTGCTGCTACCTGCCCTGCAGTAAGTGGAGTGAAGCCAGGTCTGCCTGAGGAATCCATGTCTAGTCCCCATCTGCTAGAAGCAGAGATTCCTGGGGAGGCCTCGTCTGCAGTAGGGCAGGGACAGGGACATTGCTGATGGCAATTTGTCAAGGAGGCTGGGAGTGTTTGAGGCAAAGGTTTGTAGACTCTAGAGATAGGCCCCACAGACTGCCAGCTGGTCCGAGGCTGACTGAGGGGCCCCTAATCTCACCCAGGCCCTCAGAAGGCAGTTGCAAGCCCACCTGAGGACAGTGAGGGCCCAAGGAGGAGCTCCAGGGAGCACATGTGTTTCAATTAGGGCCAAAAGGAAAGGAGTCTTTAGAGAGAGAACCAAGGAAAAGAGGAAATGGTTGCCGTCACCACCTGGAGCAAGGGTCACCTGTCCAGGCAGCAATCGAGTGAGAGGCAAAGTGCTTCACAGCAACAGGATCTGCAGGTGTCCACTGTAAGAGCACGCTAACATCTGGATGAAAACGACACAGGGCAGATCTTGTGACGTCACTGAACTAAGAGCTCCTGGCCATGGAGAGTGTCAGGATGACACATAGGGCAGGGCATGCATGGAGGCCCCCAGCCTGGCCCTGACAGCCGCCAAAGTCACAGCCACACCAGAACCGGCCGCACTCCCTAGGAGAAACCTCCCCACAAGGCTCCTCTAGTGCCAAAGGCGGGAAGCACCCTGCAACTTCCCCACCCCAGGACTTCAAGATGGCGATGAGAGCAGGACGAGGACAGCAGCTTCTGAGACTGCAGTTTGTTTTCATGCCTCCTTGAGATTTTGCCTGGCAGCACTAAAAAACTCACATTTTTCCTCAAATAATAAAAGCCTACACAGAGGAAGAATAAATGCTGAAAACAAACTGGTGGAGGGTGAGCACTCTACCAGACTATGCAGATATGCTAGGTTATGAAGTAATTCTTAGTCAGGAGGCCAACTGCCAGGTCAACTTTCATGTGAGAGCCAAACCCTTGTCTCCTCATTCATTCCCCTGGGCCCATAGCCCCTGCACGCAGGGAAGCAGGCACTCAAGCGTGGAGGCGCCTCTCCTGAGCTGTGTGCAGGCACAGGCATGTGCACAGGTGCATTCCTGACATCTGCCCTGGGACATCCCAAAGCTGACTTCTTCCAGACAGGATTGCCAATCTACAGCACCGAGCCCAGGCCTGGCTGGGAAGAGGGGCAGGAGAGGACCTCAGGCCAGCTACCCATATGCACTGCCCACCACTCCCCATCCTGGACCCCCGTGATAAGCTCTGTCTGCTGCCAATAGCTTGGGCAAAGAAGCTGAGGCCTTTCTCACTTTGCTCTGGTGGCTTCCTAAAGGTGCTTGGAAAAGAGCACTTAGCTTGTCAAGCTTGGGTGTCTGCTCCTGATGGGAGAGCCATGGAAGCAGTAGCTGAGGCCACCACAGGATGTGGCCCCTGGAGGGTGGGAGAGCTTGCTGCAGCTCTGGGTGCCTCCTGCTGGCTGTGCACAAAGAGGACTTGTCACTAGACAACAAGCCAGCTCTCTGCATAGGATCCTGAGAGACAGAGGGCAACCTGTCCCGGTCACGGCCTCTTGGCCTTACTAGACAGTGTTTGTTTAATAAATGAAGTCATGAACAAATGACAGACACAGAAAAGAGGACTATAAAGAAATCAATTTAGGAGTTCTTTCCTTCTTATGTAAAGAGGTGTGGAGTCCGCAGGAAGAAGGCAAAGGTTTGGATACAGAATGTGCCTTTAGGCCGGCTGTGGTGGCTCATGCCTGCAATTTCAGCACTTTGGGAGGCCAAGGCGAGTGGATCACCTGAGGTCACGAGTTCAAGACCAGCCTGGCCAACAAGGTGAAATCCCGTCTCTACTAAAAATACAAAAATTAGCCGGGTGTGGTGGGTAATCCCAGCTACTTGGGAGGCTGAGGCAGGAGAACTGCTTGAACCCACGAGGTGGAGGTTGCAGCGAGCCGAGATCACGTTATTGCACTCTAGCCTAGGCAACAGAACAAGACTCCATCTCAAAAAAAAAAAAAAGAACACGCTTTTAGGTCAAAGCTTCCATGGACAGCCCCCGCTGTGACATTGCCACACCCAAGCAGCCTAACCCACAGCACAAGAAACACATTCGAGATGTAATCTACATCACATGACCTGAGAAATGGCACCAGAGGTGCTCAGATGCGTGGAGGCTCTGAAGGTGGGGACAGCAGAGTTCTGGCCATCAAAGGACCAGCCCCCACACTGGAATCTTCTCTGCTTTTTTTGTTTTGTTTTGTTTTAGATATGTCTGAGTCTTCTGATTCTCCATCTTTTAAAATGAGAACTAGGTCTTTAACCTTCAGGGCAGGAGGAAAAAAGCCCAAAGCAAAATCTGAGACACATGAACCACAGAATGCAAAAACAGGAGAGGGTTTTTCAAATTGGCTGCACAGAAATCAAACAGACGTAGGAGTGAGGTGAAAAGAAGGCCAAGACAAAGAAGCACTGGGTGGCCTATGGATGCCGCACATGGGGCCACCCTTAGAGCAGCAGAGCCCAAGGCCTGAGAGCACCGACTGCGGGGCTCAGGCTGGTCTGGCCAAGTGCCTGCTGACACAGATGGAAGATTCTCCACCAAAGCCCAGTTCTAATGACCAGCACACATGCTACCTGCAAGATGAAACGCTTGGGCTTACAAGAGAAAAGAACCAGAAATGTTTGTTCTGATTACTTGGGACAGGAACCTGAGCAACAGAAGGACACAGGAAGGAAGGAGCAGCAGACTGGGATGCACTGAGCTCAGGTCTCAGACTTCAGACCTGAGTCTGACACTGCCCTGGCGGGAGTGGCACCCACAAGAGGCACAAAGGGCTCCCTGGTGTCTTCACCATCCTACCTGGTCACATCCGGGGCAGTGGTCGGGTGCACGTGCTTCATGATGGTCTGGATCCAGTTCCGCCGAATCCCAGATGTCATGGCCGACAGGGTAAACTCGCCCTCCTTTGTCTACAGAGAAAAGATGAGGCACCATCAGTGACTGTCCCCTAGGGTGCCTGCTGCCCTCCATCTCCAAAGAAGCTCCCTGCACTGGGTAAAGTCCCACAGGGAGAAAGGCTGTGACTGGGTGACCCTTCTAGGAGTGCCACATGTGCCCACTACTGGGACATGAGGGAGCTGGAGAGCAGGAGACGTCAAAGCTGTGGGAGGGACGTGTATTTGTGGCAATGGTAAATCCGGTATCTTCTCTCAGTAACAAGCTCACAGTTACTGAGCACCCACTACGCACCAGCAGCCTGTCCACTCAGACAGAGGAGGATGCTGCACCCCTCTTTAAGGAGTTCCCAGCCTCGGGGGAAGGGCAGAATCAGCATGTGCTGAGCAGTGGTGGAGGTGGGGAATCCGGAAGGGCGTGTGTGTTGGGCGTGGGGAGTGGCACCTGCAGTCTGCACTCACACAGGCACATGGCATGATGGGCCCAGGGAGTGGTTAAGAACAAGGGGTATCAGGGTCTTGTTGGTGGCACTGAGAAAAGGCAGGGAGACCTGCTGGGTGGTTACTGCAGCTGTCCAAGTGATGAGAATTAAGGTGATGGCAGGGGACAGGGCAGCTCAGAAGTAACAAAAGGGGTATGAACAGCGTCTGGCTGGTTGGGTTGGGGAGCACCTAGACAAGCCCTAGACTCCTGCTTGGATGAGGTGGAGTCTAGGGCTTGTCCTCGGTGCTTGTGCAAGGTAGCAGGGGAGGAGCCTGTTTTGGGCGAGGAACGGGGCAGCAGGTAGGACAAAGCAGCAAAGAGCACATGGCTCTGGGACATGACCACTGCGCCCCTGAGCAGACCTGCCTGGGTACCAGGCAGGGGAGGGCCAGTGGCCTGCATGGAGCTGGAGGCCTGCTTCTGCACCTACAGGCACCTGCCCAACAGAAGCGAGGGCTGCAGCCTTGAACCGAGAGCTGCTCACAAGCAGACTCAGCAGCCAGGTCAGTAGGGAAGCTGACGGCAGGATGCAATCATGAGGATGGTTTTCGGATGGGTGCTAGTGGCCTGGCCAGAAGCCAAAACAGGAGATCACGCACCGGCCTGACGTGCCACAAAGCACAGCTGGGAGGGACCTGACCTGCCCCTCCACATGCCCGATCAAGACACCACCACTGCCCAGCTCGGTCCTCCTTCATCAGTTCTCATATCCATGTGAGCTGAGTTGGGGGGGTACCACCTTCTCCTGGGTCCATCCTTCTCCACCCCCAGGTGTGGGCGTTGCTGGAGTTTGGCCTCAGCACTCCACATACAGCTGTTTTCTCCAGCTGAATTTTCTTTCCCAGCGGCTGCCTAATGTTCTCTGAGAGCCCATCATGCCTCAAATGGATCACAGCCGGAATTCCAGGGGATCCCCCTGCTTCTGTGAAGTCAGCTCTTCTGCTGGCTTCTCAGTGGGCGGGGCCTTCTTGCCAGGTCCTGGCCCTGCCCTCACCTCTTCCTCCCAGGTGCTGCTCCTTCCTTTCTTGCCCAGCTTTACCGTGCCAGCCTGGTTCCTTTCTAATGGACCTGCATGTCCCGCCAGACATGTATCATGAACGCACAACTGACTGGCATCTTCTAACACCCTTCAGTGCTCTCCACAAAGGCTGGACCAGCGCCAACCTGACTCTCCACCCAGCACTCTAGCCCCAGACTGGCTCTGTGCTCTCTGTGCCACCAGGTCTGGAGTCCAGTCTGGGACATGCTTTCACACTCATCCCTCCTGCTGAGCCTTGAGGGATCCTTCTCCAGGAAGCCTCCCCCAGGAAGCCTTCTCCACACTGGAAGCATCTCCTCATTCCTTAGAACTCTCAGTAGTTGGGGATCACCGAAAGTCATCAGGATAAGCCCTACCAGGGTGAAGTGAGGAGGGGTTGATCAGTGGGTGAGAGTGGCTGATGCCCTCATTTGTCACTAGGAGAGCGGGGTGAGTTCTCAGACTTCAGGTGTGCCCTGCCTGGAGAAAGCTGCTCATGAAGATGGGAGGTGGACGGCAGGAGAGGAGGCTCACCGGGCACTATGCCCGCCTACCCCTCCCACAGCGGATGAGGACAGAGGAGCCTTGAAACTTGGGCAGTGCAGGCCACTAAGAGCAGACAACTCACACCCGGCCCTGGTGCCAGGCTGTCAGTGTAGCCTCCAACTGTGACTCAGCTCCTCTCGCAGATGCCTGCACGCAGGAAGCCACAGCCAGCAGCCCAGTGGGCTGGCGGCCAGGATTTTCTTAGTAAATGAACACACTGGCCTTTGGGTCTATACTTCAGTCTCCTCTAAGTTGGGCCAAACTGAGTGAGCCCCAAATACTGGATCAACTCTCAACACAGCAATAAAATTGAGTTTCTGGGCCCCAAAATTTGAAGGTATGACCCTGCTACAGGTGAGCCCACCAGAGTCTAGCCTTGTGTGAGAACCAAGTCCCAGGGCCAGGGCCCAGCCCCATGGGGGCAGCTCTCTACTCATCACACTCTCCACCCATCTTAAAGCCCTTGCGAGTGACGAACTAACTTTACCCAAAGAGAGGCCTGGCCTCTGTCCTAGCTCCTGGGAGGTAACTTCCAAACCTTGGAATTTCCTGAATGACTAGAGTCTTTGTTACTCATGGTGGTACCCTGGGACCCCACCTAACACTTCATGCTGACAAGACAACTCAGGGTAGAGGCTGGCCTGGCCAGAAGCAGGAAATTAGAGGAAACCCATTAAATCAGAGGGTTGGGGTTTGGGCCATGTGAAAGTAGCCAACCATGGCGGGAAGGGCTTTAGGTGGAGTTCAACTATGAGGACAACAACTCCATCAACCACAGCAGCTACAGAGCCTCCTAAAACTCAACACCGGGGCTCAGGTGGGCTTCCGGGCAATGCTCTGCGCACTGCCCCACATCAGGGCTAAGAGGACACCGTGTCCCCAAGGATGCAGAAACTTTTGGCATCTGTGACTCCCCCAGTCCCAGATTCTACTCCACATGGCTCTCCCTTGGCTGGTTCTGACTTACATACTTTCTCTATAATAAAACTCATTGTAAAGACAGTACTTTCCTGAATCCTGTGAGTCATTCTAGTGAATTTTTGAAACTGAAGGTGGTTTTGGAAACCTCCGGACTCACAACTGGTGTCAGAAGTGGGGGCAGGACTGGGCACAGTGATTCATGCCTATAATCCCAGCACTTTGGGAAGCCAAGGCAAGTGGATCGCTGGAGCCCAGGGGTTCAAAACCCTCCTGGGCAACATGGTGAAACCCTGTCTCTCTAAATAATGATAATAATAATAATAATAATAATAATAATAATAAGCTGGGCATGGTGGCATGCACCTGTAGTCCCAGTTACTCTGGAGGCTGAGGTAGAAGGATCGTTAGAGTCTAGGATTTCGAGCCTGCAGTGAGCCATGATTGTGCCACTACACTCAAGCCTGGACAGAGAGTGAGACCCTGTCTTGGGGGAAAAAAAAAGAAATGGAGGCAGATGTGGCAGTCAGGAGGACTGTGCTCTTAACCTGGAGTCTGGCTGACTGCAGGCAGTCCTTGATCCACACAGTTTTGAAGAAACAGCCAATAAGAACCATTTTGTCCTACCAATAAGATTTTTTTTTTTTTTTTTTTTTTGAGAACAGTGCAATGCCTTGCTCATCTGAGTACCTCACAAGATTTTGGGAAAAAATAGCCTTGTAAGTAAATGAATGAACAAACACATGAATAAGTGAGTAAAAAGCGGATGTAAATAATTGACTAACACTTTCATTCTTATTCCCCATACCCCACATCCTTCCAATTGCCCCAACTCCAGCATTACAAAAAACAAAAGAAAAAAGGAACCTTCAGAAACAAAAAAGCTTTAAGCAGTCTTCAGAAAAAAGATACTAACGTCTAATGTACTGTTCACATCACAAATTGGGGAATAGGGTCAGGTGCCACAGGACAGAGGTGTCAAGGGTAGTGGGAAAGACTAAGTGCTGACCATACACGCTGCATCAGGCCTGTCCAGAAGTGCCCCCAGCCCAGACATTAGGCACTCTGACATGCATCCCTGCCTGTCAAGCCTGTGGCCCCACTTCCATCCCTGGACTCACATGTATCTGGAAGCCATAGTTTCTCTGAACTGGATACTCTGTGACATCGTAACATGCGGACAAGTCAATTTCTCCATCCAAGTCGGCTGCCTGCCGAGGGAAGTGAGAATGTCTTGAGATTTTTAGGAAGTAGAACCAATGCCTAGATGAGCAAATTTCCGTAAGTGATTTTCTGCACTGACTTTACTTTTAATAGTATACACACTGACAAGTGAGGACACCGTCTATCCTACTACTGCATGACCCAGGCCCCTCACTGGGTGCAATCACACCACCATCTGTCCCTGTATCCAGCCAAAGATAGTCCACGCCAGTGGTCCTCAAACATGCTGCTGTTGAAATCCCTTCACACTCTTAAAAACTGGTGGCCCTAGAAGAGCTTCTGTTAGGTGGATTTCATCTATTGATGGTATTTACTATGTTAGAAATTAAAATGTAAATATTTTAAAAATTTTAATTTAAAAATATTTAAATATATTTTAAAATATATTATAAAATATATTTTATACATTTAAATATATATGAAAATATATATTAATATAAATGTAAAATTTAAATATATTTGTTCATTTGAGAATAAAATAAATTCATTTTAAAATAAAAATCTGATTTAACAATCAGTGATAAGAGTCACATTGCTTTGAATTTTTGCAAATCTCTCTAACATCTGTCTTCAGAAAGGACAGCTGGATTCTTGTTTCTGCATTCCATCTGTTCAATACGGAAGTTTTTTTTTTTTTTGAGATGGGGTCTTGCTCTGTCACTCAGGCTGAAGTGCAGTGACACGATTTCAGCTCACTGCAACCTCTGCCTCCCGGGTTCAAGTGATTCTCTTGCCTCAGTCTCCCGAGTAGCTGGGACTACAGATGACCACCACCAAGCCCAGCTAATTTTTGTATTTTTAGTAGAGACAGGGTTTCACCATGTTGGCTAGGCTGGTCTCAAACTCCTGACCTCAGGTGATCCGCCTGCCTTGGCCTCCAAAGTGCTGGGATTACAGGCATGAGCCACCGCCCCCGGACAACAAAGGAAGTATTTTTAATAGCTTTTTCAGGTAGTTGTGGCTGTTCTTTGACAAGCAGTAGGCTCTTAAAGGTTAACTGCAATGTGGTATCTGAAATCATGCCCATGAACTCTCTGTACTGTGTTACATTAAAACCCAGGCATGCTTTTGTAACATTAGGTACTGGTCACATGGAAAATATTGTTATGCACAGCTTCCAATTGTCTACACATTTCATTATGTAATATTAAAATATCGCCTTTGCTAATACCACCACCTATTTCATCAGGAGAGTGTAAGTAAAGGGAAGTTCATGATGGTGAATACAAATTTTCCCAAGTTCTAATTTTTGCTTGGAAGCTCAAATTATATCACTGGCAACAAATTCTGTCAGTTGTTTTCCTTAGAGGAATGAGCCAACTTGGTTCATTTTCATGAAAATATATGCCAAACACCCAAAATTAATGACCACAGTTTTGCCTATCAGTTGTTTTTCAAGTAAACGTGGTGCTCCAAAAGAAGCTGCTAGTTCAGCTGGCAACTCAATCACACAAGTCCTTTCCATGAGAAAGCCTGCACACTCTAGTATGCAGCCAGGCGATGCTTACTTCCCATTTCAAATCACAGAATATTAAAAAGATGGGCATTTAAAGATTGAGGCTTCATAAAATTAGTAACTTCTGCTGCTCTTTCAAGGACCTTATTTATTTTAAAACGATTAATTATTTAAAATGTATGGCAGTGAAGAATCCAGTGACCACTGGTCCAGCCTGTTGCTACAGATGGGGCTGTGCCAAGTGCTAGTGGCTTTACCTCCCATTGCTTTTGCACCATCAGTGCAGATGGTCACACGCAAAAAAAAGTCAATGACATCTTAATATTACAAATTATTTTAACCACCACTGCTCTCCTGAAAGGGCCTCAGGGACCCCCAGAGGTCTACAGACCACACTCGGAAGTGCTCTTCTATGCACATGCAACCAAACACTTACATAGGCTCCTTACTTCCCCAACGCTGGACACCACCAGAGGCCCACCGCCCACACTCTCCTACCCCTACTTCTTATCACTACCACCTTTTCTCCTTCAGTCTGTAAAGACTGGCTCAGAGTATTTAATACATATCCCGGCCCTTAATGATGGGTATTTAGGCTCTTTCCAATCATCTGGCTGTTACAAACGTGTGGGAATGACTAACCTGAAACAGACGTTTTTCCACATGTGGGAGTTATCTGAGGGATTCCTGGAGTGAAACTACTGGGGAAAAGGCAAAGGAGACTTGCCAAACTGTTTAGAAGAGGTTATTTTATTTGTAGGTGAAGAAAAAAAGAACCCCTTCTATTTGGTCCTTGACCACAGAATCAGGACTGTCCAGGGGCCCAAAAAAGCTCATCTATCCTATCCTGTCCTTGTCCAGAAGGCAGGGCACAAGATGTAGTTCAATTCTTCCAACTCCATTTACCATGAAATCTCTTTGTGGAAAAAACAAAATTGTTCATCCTGAGTTTTCAAATTTCAGTGTTTTTCAAAGAACAGAGAAAAGAAAAGCTGCCCAAACCCACTGCACTGGGCACTTAATTCAAGGCCTTGACGAAGCCCAGCATCACAGCCAGGAAAATGATCACAAGGACAAAGGCTGGTCTTGTGCTCACCTTCCCACCAGGTCGGGACTGGGAAACCCAAGAGGGCAACATGGACATACCTTCGGCAAGGTAACACCACCGAAGGGCGCTGTCCTCAGAAGTGGGGACATTAGCCCAGGGGGAAGCAGATCTACTAGCCCCAGATGCCGCCTGGACCCCTCCAGCTGTCTCCACAGCAGAGGCAAAGCCCAGACACTCACCTCCTCAGCCACTGAATCCCTGTAGTATCTCAGGCTTTGATCGGCGAGGACAAACCAGTGTTTCTTCCACTAAAGGGGAAGAAAAGAAAAATGACTCGACTACCAACTCCTATACAGCATGCCTGCCACGCCACGGCGGTGCGCAGCCAGAGCCTGTGGGGCCCTCCCAGAGCACAGGGAAAGCAGGGGACAGGCTGGCCCCTCCCTTGACAGCATACAGAGGACTCTGCTCGGACTGCAGGCAGCCATGCGCTCACACCCTCAGGACGCTCACTAAGCTGTGACCCTCCAGTGAAGAGGCAGCACAGACAGCTGAGCAGGCCTTGGCTGTGGGCTCTATGACCAATGGTGTGGCTGGTGGCCAGGCCGTGCGGTCCTCAGTAACTACAGAGGCTGCAGACAACAGGCTGGGCCCATCAGAACGGAAAGGTGGCTGTGAAATGGCATCTCCACCTGCAGGTGGCAGCCCGCAAGCCATGGCCATGTGGCCTCCTAACCAGCAGGGGTAACTAACCAGCTAGAGACCAAGTCTTCACTGTGAGCAGTAAGGAAGGGAACTTGAGTCTTCATGCCAGGCCAAGGGCATTTGATATGGAGGAGAAATAAAGAGGATGTCTTGGGATAGCAGCTCAGGAAGCAGGAAGGGAGTGAGGATGGGCTAGGCATCAGGGCCTCTTAGGTAAGGACCCAGCAGGCTTTTCTTCATGCCTCCTTGGGAGGCCTGGCCTTCCAGCCCATGGCACAGGGTCAAGGTGGGCTGGCAGGTCCAGCCTCAGATGGCTCTTCCTGCTTGAGTCTGATGGCAAGAATGTACCATGTTTGCTCCTTCCAGGGCTAACACTGCCACTGCAGCTGAGGGGTCTCTGGCATGAGAGTCTTGCAGTGCTAGGCTACTGTCTACTTGGCTGGCTTGCATGGAAACACAAGCCAATCCCACAGCCAGAGAGTTTCTTTGTCCCTGGGGAAGCCAGGCCCCTAAACAACTTTTAGGAAAGATCACCAGGTGGGGGCTAGTGTTACAAGGCATCCCTAAGGCCGGGCCAACACCCGCTTGCCATCAGCAGACAGGCCTACCGAGTGCCCCTCCAGAGCACCCCCCACTGCAGAAATGAAGGCTGTGTGCCTGCACTTCTAGGAGCAGATGGGAGTCTCAGCCACAGCCCTGGTCATGAAGACAAGGGGCATGGAGGAGGAAGGCATGGAGCCAGCACTTGCAGACTGGCTGGGGACAAGGACAGCTCACCCTCACCCTGTCCCCAGATCCCTCAGGGGCCACGGCAACCCTGCACACTCACCTGGCCGTCCTCATACTGCTTAGTCAGCCAGCCTTTCTTGAAATTCAGCAGGTCGGGCTGAGAAAGGGAGAAAAAAGAACAGCTCAGAGGAAACTCTTCTAGTGTCATGAGTGTCTGATGGGGCCAGTATTTCTGTCCAGATGAGGCGGGTACCAGGAAAGGGGTTTCTCCACCTGCCAGACAAGCCTGTGCAGCCCCCTCACCCTGGTGGGTGCTGCCTGCAACCAGCCTTCTGTAGGCACACGCGACCTTGAGGAAGGAGATGCTGGGCTTGGCAGGCTGGCAGGAGAGAAGGTATGGTCTCATTGCCCTGTGAGCAGTGTGGGCTCCGGCCTGTACAGGGCCCACTGCACAGGGCCTATCTGGGAGGCAGAAAACAAGCCCAGATGAAGAGTCACAGAACATTTTATTTGAAGGGAAACATCTGCAGGGAAGGCTGAAAGGAGAATTGATTCAAAAGTTCTTGCAGAAGCCACAGGAAGCCTGGGAAACAGAGACGTGCGGTGTTGAGGAAGCAGCAGCTGCAGCCCCGCTGAGACCCTCAGGCCATTTCTCCACCAGGAATAGGCTTGACCTGTATTCCCCCACAAGAAGCAGGATGGCAGACAGGGGGGCAGCGCCCAGGCACAGCGCTCTTGTCCTTCCTCCACCTGTGCCGCCCAGACACACCTGGGCCCTGAGGAACAGCCTGAGACAGCACTGCCATCTACAGCCCACCTGGCTGGCCCCACAGAGACATGGGTCACCTTATCTCTGGTCCGAGGTGCTCTCTTTTCTACAGCCATCTGAGCAGAAGCTAGCTTTGATGTCTGTTTGTATTATTCCAAGGAGTGAGAGTGAGAACAGGCAAGAATTGTCAGGATAACTACCAGAACAAAGCGCTCTGGGAGCCTCTGCTCAGAACCCTGTCTCTGAGGAGTGAGGAAGGAACCACAGTCCGCTGCTGCCTAGGTCTGGCCAAGACTGACCCAGATAGATAAGAAGTCCCTCTACAGAGCCCTGTTTCAACCCCAACGTCCTGCCAAGCTGTGCAACTGTCCTTGCCGCCAGAGTTATTTGAAGCACCCAATCAAAAGCAACACTGTGAAATTAGGACACCCTACCCCAAGTAGCCCTTAAATAGGGAGGTCCTCTCCTGCAAGCTTGTAGTTGCCATTGCGGCACAGGACCTGAGACGTGGGACTGCCACCTGCCCCCTCTCTGACAGCCTGCTTAGCTTGCAGATCTTTCTTTTTTTTGAGACGGAGTCTCGCTCTGTCGCCAGGCCGGAGTGCAGTGGCGCGATCTCAGCTCACTGCAACCTCCGCCTCCCGGGTTCAAGCGATTCTCCTGCCTCAGCCTCTCAAATAGCTGGGACTACAGGAGCGCGACACCACACCCAGCTAATTTTTGTATTTTTAGTAGAGTCAGTGTTTCACCATGTTGGTCAGGATGGTCTCGATCTCTTGACCTCGTGATCTGCCCACCTCGGCCTCCCAAAGTGCTTGGATTACAGACGTGAGCCACCGTGCCCGGCCTAGCTTGCAGATCTTTAACAAAAACTCGTAATTTCCATATCATGGTTGTGCCATTGAAGCCAAGCCTGCAATCTGACCCCAATGGCAAGGCCTATGCAGGTGGGTTCCCTGCTGGTGTTCTCTGTTGGGGAAGGCGCTCCCAGCTAAGTTAACAGAGAAACAAGGAGTTTTGTTCAAGACACCTGAAGCAAAACCCAGACTGAAGGAAAAACCCAAACCTTACTCCTCCTCACACTCCATGTTACACATCAATCTGTGGTTGGCAGCCCCCAAGCCCTGGGGCAGGCCGGAGGCCCATGGTGAGCTGCTGTGCAGGCAGCAAGGAGGAGACAAGAGGCAGTGAGCAGGCCCCAGGCTCCCCTGGAGGCTGAAGACAGAGCGGGTAGGAGCTGGGTCAGCATGCTGAGTTGGCCTTGCTCCTGTACCCTGACCACTCCTTCCGCACCTCTGTTGTCATAGCTCTGAGGCCCATGGAGAACCTGGTGCAAGGCCTGCTCTTCCACTTGAGGCATGACACGGAGAACGAGACAAGCTCCAGCAAGACGTGGCCTCTGCCTCCGAAGTGCCACAAAAAGCAATGCCCAAAGCCAGAGGAGCGGAGGGTCCCTGCTGCAGCCCTGCCGCCTAGAGTCGGGAGTCTGCCTAGCCCGAGGTGGCCTCCTCCGCAGGGCCTCCTCCCAGAGCTCAGGATGCCATGGAGCCCTTGGTTCTGCTGGGACCAGAAAAGGGAAGAAACAGAATCTGTGTTCGACGGCCTGTGGGTCGGTGGGTGGGGGTGCTCACGGACACGAGGGCCTGTGCACAGAGGGACAGCTGGCATGGACGCATAGACAGAAACAGACAGCGCCTCAGAGTGACCAGAAGCAGAGGAGCACGGCCTCCGGAGGACGCGGCGCCTGGGCTCACCGTCACGGAGGGCTCCGTGGACCTCCTGTCCAGTGACTTGGCTCTTCGGTGTGGAGACAGGGGGGAAGCCGAGGCGTCTGGGAGAGGAGCTGGGGGGGCTTCATTGGTGAAGTCCTGTGGCAGAGAGCAGCCGCTGGTCAGTGCAGCCCAGGGCAATGTGGGCATGTGAGGGACGAGCTGGTGCTGTCCACCCCTCCAAGAGCCGCCAGGGCCTTGCTCCTGGCGAGGGGCAGTGATCTGCCTAGCCACCATAGCAAGTCTGCAGCAGGGCCAGGACAGGACCCGGGTCCTGAGATGCCCTGGTTGATAGAGCAGCCTTTTCTTTTGGATTCCCAGTCACTGTCACTTTCCTGGCCCCACCCCATCCTCCAGCTTCTCTGGGTCACAGAAGGAAGAGCCCTGGGCTCTGTGGTGGCAGGTGGCAAGCTGTGGGCCAGACAGTAGGCACTAGGCACCTTGTGAACAAGAGAGAAGCCAGGAGAAGATGAGCTTAGACTTGGCCGGCTACAAAAGCAGCAGGCGGGTGCCCAGGAGGATTTCAGAAGCCGAGTCTACCTTGGGCTGAGTGGAGAAACGAGGGGTGTAGTTGTACTGAAAGAAAGAGTTAGGAAGGTGTGACATTCAGCCTTGTTGCTGGGCTGTCTCAGATAGGAAGAGAGTGATCCTAATTAAATCTGGGATCTAAAATGCATGAGAATATCCTTCAGCAGAGACGGAGAAGGCTCTGATATGAAGCTGCAGGAGACAGGCCTGCTCTCAAGAAGTCACTATGCAGAGGAGGTGGTTGGAGAGAAGCCTGGCAGGAGCACATCCCAGGCCTGTGTGGAGGGGACTTGGCGCATGGGGTGCATGCTGACCCGCCCCCGAGCCACCCCTGAGGTGCTGCCCAGCCCCAGGAGCTCACCCGCTTCCTAGGGAACGCCCTCTTCTCGCTGCGGCCCTGGCGTGTGTCGCTGGATGGTGAGGGCCCCACTGCATTGGTCTCCATGTGCTCTGCCTTCTCAATGTCCAAGGCCTCAAACTTTTCAATCACCTGGGACCTCCTGCAAGAGAGGACACGAGGCCCTGAGGTGGCAGTGAGGTGAGCTGTGAGGTGGCAGTGAGCCGACTCCTCCCATGCCCGGCCTGGCCCGGGCCTGATTCCCCTCAGGCTTGCACAGCACCGAGGTTGTCTAGACACGTGCTCAGCTGACCCGAGCTCTGCCTGCACCCCTCCACGGCCCTCCCTCCCATCAGGCCTGCGCTTGCCCCTACCCTCTGCCCCCGCGCTAGAGGCCCTGCAGGCTCTGTGGTGCTGACCCACTCGGCATTCACACAGCTTGGCACCCGGCAGCCTCTCCTGAGCCACAGACATGATCAAAAGGCAACCACCACCACGGAAGGCAGCCTCCATTCTCATTGCATCCCTCATGGATCACAGTGCACCCCCCACCCCAAAATTTAGCAAGGAAGAGGCCCAGGAATTAACATTGTTTCTGCCAACAGTAAAAGGAATCAAAGACCAAATTAAAACAAAAACAAAGCAGGCTGATTTCATGTGAAAGGGCTGGCGGCCTCCTCAGGCTGTCTACGGCCGGAGACGGAGCTTAGATGGGGGCGAAGCGGGTGGAGGAGGCGCAGCGCCACCCAGCGGCACAGCAGGAGAGCGCAGAGGCAAGACCTGAAAGAAAACAAGGCTGGGAAATGAATACATGGAAGAGCGCTGCTTTTTCAAATCAAATAATGGTGAACCAAAATTATCCAAAGAATTAAAGAAGCAAAAACCCAAGGTAATCACTGAAGAGGGAGAGAGACCATGATTGTCCTCCAGCTGCAAGAAGTCACCCTGGTGGGGTCAGAGGTGGGGGACGCACCAGCTGAGGCTCAGCTCACAGGGCCGGGCCTGTTCTCCCAGGGGCACCTAAGTTACCTGGCGGGGAGGGTGTCACTGCTGCTCTGGACAAGAGGATAAGAACCCAGAGGAAGTGGGTGAAGGGCTCCCAAGCCTGGAAGCCTAATTATCTCCACAAGGAAGAGAGGAAACAAGATCAATTCCTGAGACCCCACCTCCCCCAAGAGGCCAGCTGCTTCTCAGGGAGTGCGAGGGAAAACTGGCTGCCTAAGGCGTCTTCACCCCCGGAGAGAGGAGGGCGAGGGCCCCGGGCTCTGCTTCCTCCCTGCGCTTAGACACAAAGTGTCTTCCTCAGCTCAGCTTCCTCCCTGTGCTTAGACACAAAGTGTCTTCCTCAGGAAAGAAGCTTGTGCCGGGCCAGCCTGCTAGAACCAGCAGCGGAGGCAGGCGCTGGGGTAGGGGAGCAGCAGAGGCCGCGGCATTGTGAGAGCAGGAAGCTAAGGAAGCTGCTGGAGTTCCAGGACACCCAGGGAAAGCTTGGTAAGTGCAAGCCAGGCGTCCACCACACTTGAGCGATTGTGGTGGGATCTTGGTGAGATTCAAGGCTCACCAACAGGCCACTTCCAGGATGAGGGCTCCTCTGCCCAACACTGGGGCCTAGAAAGCCCCAGGAAAGCAGTGAGGAACTGCTGGGCTTTAACCTCATGCAAATCGCATGCCGTGGTACTGTGGGGATCCAGACAGAGGAGTCGTGGTGGAGAAGAGGAAAGGCACTTGCTACAGTCACTCTGCATGGGGGCCTGGGGAGATCCTGTAAGACCACAGGCTCGCACACTGGCTGCCCTGATCTACTGGGCGAGGTGGAAAGTTATTACTTGGTGCCCTGGAAGCTGCAGGTGGGACAGCAAGCACCTTACTGGTCAGCACAGAAAACGGGGCCTGCACCCTGCAGCTCCAGGGTTCCCAGGGCACTAACCGCTGTGCTGAGGGCAGGGGGGTTAGGGCTACATGGGGAGCTGTCCTTGCTGCCAGTCACCAGCAGGCCAACCAGGAAAACAACTTCCCCCACTCAGCAGCCAGAGGTGACTCACTATCCAAGAAACACTCTGGAAGTCTGAGGAACGGACACATCGAAGCCCAGAACCGGTCAGGTTCAGATAGGCTTGCCTAGATGACTGTGGCTTGTCAAAAAACCAACCCTGTGGTCCCAGCAGTCTGGCTCCTGGGCACACCTATTGTGGCTGCCATTTCAGGTAGGTGTGGCCAAGAATCTCTTGCCAATTTGGAGATTCTGCTCTAATCAACCAGGGGACAGGAATCCAACCAAGCACAGGGTGGGCTACTAGGGATCCAGTGAGCAGGCCTCAGAAAGCGACAGCAGCCAATCAGATGTCACCAGGGTCAGGAGAAAGGGATGCTGCAGTATTAGTATGCAGAACTGGTGGGGGGTGGGGCCAGCACCAGGTGAAAACCCATCCCCGTGTGGCAGTGCATGCAGAGTACAAAGCCCCAGAGACTGCACCTGTCCCAGGCGACAGGAGACAAGAACGAGTTCAAAAGGAGTCTCTCCGAGAAGAAGCCAAGCCAAGCAGGTGTGCTGAATGCTAATTCTGTGGTCTGGCGCTAAACCAGGACATAGCTGATCCTGCTCTGGAGCCACCACGACACACAGCCTGCTTGCCAGCCAGCATGAAGCCTCCCCTGCCCACCCACTGGCCTCCTCCTCTCTCTAGCAAAACCCTTTACTTATATATTTTCTTAATTGCTTAAAAGAGCATCCTTGGCATCAGTCCTGGATCACAGGATGGGAGCAGGGACTTCCTGGCTAAGGCCCCACTGGGATCTGCACCAGCTATCCATTGTTGAGAAGTCACCTACTCCTGAGCCTCAGTTTTCACATCTATAACTGGGGGCGGTAGTAACAGATCCTCATCAGGCTACTATGAAACATTAAGGCAGCCAAGTGCTTAGCAGAGCACCCTGGGGCACTAGGCAGGGGCTGGGAACCACTTGGCTGCCCTTCCTTTCCCTAGGAAGTCAACGTGTCATTTTCCTCTCACCAGCAGTATCTCTGGGAGATGCTTCCTTATCCTGGAGACTAACCTGCAGGCTCACAGGCCTTTTCATCTGGGACGTTTGGAAGAGTGGGTGGGCTGTCAGCCAATGGTGGGTGCTCAGAAGAAAAGGGGGCAGGATGTAAAGACACTTCCCTCCACCTGCCCTTCGAGGCACGGGAGCCCATGGCTGCCTTCACCTGTCCCTCCTGGTAGCGTCTCTAACTCTGAGCTCCAGGTTGTGGCTGGGGAAGGGAGGACACTCTGAGAAGACTTCCAGAACTATGGTTTGAACCTCTTTTCTGGACAGTGAACCTTGGGAACCTAATGAAAACTATGGGTCTTCTTCCCAGAAGAGTGCCTAACCCTAACTCTCTTCTGGGAAGAATACTGTGAAATTGTTTTATTGAGGGGGCAGGTCATCATGGACCTCCAGAAGTCTGTAAGTCTATCCATAAACCTGGCTGAGGAACCCTGCTGTCAAGGCAAAGCCTCAGTATACAGATGCAGGGGTGCAAGCCTGATTGAAGGCGTGCTTGGGCACTTGCGTCTGGATTTGGGCTTGGAGGCCTCAGAGGACATCCAACTCTTTCTCTAGTTCTCCAGGAAACTCTGGAGAACAAGGGCAGGGCAGGGCATGGGCCCTCATCTTCTTCGGCAGCAGTCAAGTTCTGCACCTGTGCCCCTGGTCCCTGCCCTAGGCCCGGATGTCCAAACTTTCTCTCTCTCCAGCCAGTCAAAGTCTTAGAGGGCAAAAAGCAATGCTCCCCTGGAGGGCAAAAGCAATGCTATTTGGTGCTCAGCTGCTTCACAGGTTGCCTCAGGTTTCCTGGGGCTGTGGCTCCCCAGGGAGCATGTCCTTGAGAGAGGAACCTGTGCTGCCCCCACCTTCCTGGGCATGCCTGTCTGCCTCTGAACCTCTCAGTGCCCTTTGCCCACCCTGGGACTGCCAGGGTGAGGAGCGCCTCTGTCACCACATGTAGCTCTAGGGACTCCCTGCCTCCATGCCACTTCAGAGAATAGAAATGGCCCAGGAGGAAAAGATCCAGCCCCACAAGGACCAGGCAGCTGAGAACCCATCAGGGAACCTTAAGGTCCCAGTCCTAGGAGGCACTGATGTGAAAACTGCTATTCTTGGCGTCGACCTCTGATGCTCAGAAATTCTGCATTCTGGCTACTAGAGCTGAGTTCTGGGCCCAGAGGGAAAATACCCCTATGCTCTGAACAGAAAGCATGCTCCGCCAAGGGAGGCTTGGGGACTGTATGTGAGAGAAACAGAGAGTATGAGTGTATGTGCGTGGGTGGAAGTGCATGTGTGTGGGCCTGGGTGTTCAACCCTCTAACCTGCTCCTTACCTCCGCTCGTTGCCAAACAGACGGGCCACCTCCTCCCTGCCAGGGCTCCGGGCCCGAGTTCTACGCTCCAGCCGCCTTCTCTCCACCTGGAAGGCTTCTCGGTGGCTGATCCTGATGGCCTTAGGGACGTCGGCCAGGGTGGCATATTGCCTGCTGGCTTTAAAGGCAAAGGCGCTCCCCAGTCTCTCTGTCCCCCGCCCCCTAGTGCTGCCAGAGTCCACGTAGGCAGGTGGCTGGCTGGCCACATCCAGGGAGCTGAGGGAGATGCTGCAGACCATTTGGTGGGGGAGTCGAGGACCTGGGGAAGGAAGAGGACCACCGAGCTCCTGGGAGGGCGACTCGGGGCAACTGTACCTGTGGTTGGGGGTGCTGGGGCTGGGAGGGGAGAGCGGCGGGGGCAGCTGCTGTTCTTCAGCCTTCAAGTCCTGTTTGGTCTTCTCCAGAGAGAAGTAGCCGCTCTCCACCCGGACTTTGCGGCCACAGTCCATGCGGTCGCTACTCATGGCGCTCTCCTCTGGAAGAGACAGTGGGAGGGAGGAGACGCACTCAGCCTGCTGGCAGCTTTGCTTTGAGGACTTTTTTTTTTAAAGCCCATGTAGGATCCAAGCAGGGGCCTTCTCCACCTCCCGTCTCTAACATCCAGCACACCCCACTCAAGGGCAGAGTGAGACGGAAAGAACCATGGATGGGAATGAAATATTTCGTGCATGCTTTTTTCTCTCATCCATCTCTCCCCTGCAGCTGGCTGCCTCTCAGCCAGACTGGCAGGCAGGCCCTGCAGTTCTAGTCTGGGGGCTTGGCTGGAAGATCAGATCTGTACCTCAGGACGCAAGACCCCCACCACCAACCGCTTCTCACCAACATCAAGGGGGAAGCTGACAGCCAACAAGCCCTTCAGTATTTTTTTTTTTTTTTTTGAGATGCAATCTCGCTCTGTCGCCAGGCTAGAGTGCAGTGGTGTGATCTCAGCTCACTGCAACCTCTGCCTCCTGGGCTCAAGTGATTCTCCTGCCTCAGCCTCCCAAGTAGCTAGGACTACAGGTGTGCACCCCCACATCTGGCTAATTTTTGTATTTTTAGCAGAGATGGGATTTCACTATGTTGGCCAGGCTGGTCTCAAACTCCTGACCTCAGGTGTTCCACCTGCCTCAGCCTCCCAAAGTGCTGGGATTATAGGCGTGAGCCACCATGCCCGGCCCCTTCAGTCTTTTAATGCATTCTGGTGGTGGGAAGGGGCAGGGGACTTCTACAGAAGTGAGACAGAGTGAATAGATTTTTGAATGGATAGGCCTGAGAGGAAGATTCAGACACCTTCCACCCAGAGTGCATGTAGAAGATGCAGACAGAGCGAGCTGGGCTGGCCCCTGCTGCTCACTTATTTTTAACAATCTAGACAAAATACAGATGGGAAAACCCAGCCTGTGTCTTACAGAGCCCTCTAGAGCCTGGGAACAAGACAGACAAAGATGGAAGACCTGCTCCTGCTCAGGTAATTCCAAAGTGCTAAAAGACAGGGCACGAGGATGCCAACTGCTGCCTCCCCAGCACCCCTTCCCCTCCTTCTGCCAGGGGCCCAGGCAGAATGCGGATGGTGAGAGGGATGAGACTGACTGCAGCTTCTTGGGGCAGGATGCACACAGAAAGAAACACGATGGTGCAGTGACAGAGGCCTTCCCATCCACAGACCCTGCTGCAAAACGTTTTTGATTCTCCTGACAAGCAACTGGGGCTGACAGAACAGGAGCTGTCTTCCTCCTTTAAAGATGGGATTTAAGAGCTAGAAGGGGCAAGGCCAAGACTGGAGCCCGGGAATCTCAGAACATACCAGGCCAGGTGCTACCCCCAGGGCTGATGGACAAAGGGAATCGAGGTCCAGGCTTGCGACTGGGCTCTACAGGCCTTGGCTGAATCCCCAGGGCCAGCTCTGATGGGAGGGAGGGCCATTCCCGTGCATACAAGCCAGCCTGGCCTCCGCTCACCTTCTTTGCTCTCTAGCCCAGGTTCCCGCAGGGAGCTGGCAGCAGGAGGCTGGCTCTGGCTGGGACTCTGAGCTGGACTCAGGCTGCTGCCATCTGGCTGGTCCTTGGTCCTCATTTCTTCCTGCCAGAGTGTGGACTTGGTGGTGGGGACTTTCTCAGCACTGGGGATGCTGCTGCTGCTGCTGCTGCTGCTGCTGCTGCTGGTAACAGCCACCTTGGCAGGCCCAGGCTCCTGGAGGAGGAGAAAGTGGTGTCTGTGAAGGTGCAGGAGCACACAGCTCAGGTTGGGTCACAGGTCCTGGCTGCCTAGCTATAGGGGGCACCCGGGCCAGCTACACAATGTCAGGGGCCTGGAATCTTCAGATACTGCCCCAAAACAGTGAGACCACAGTAGTTGCTTTGGAGTCTGTCATTCCTAGACATCCAAGACTCAAATAAGGTGAGACAGAACAGAGTAAGGAAAGAGAACACACCCTCGAGACAGGTCCAGCATCATCTGTAGCTCCTTACAGTGAATGCAAGAACAAGTTCACAGCGCCCAAGTCTGGGCCAGCCCTGTGGCCTTACCCACCCTCTGCTTTTTGCCCCTAAGAAGCTAAAATGGAGTGCCCAGACGCTATGTGAAGGAAAGAGTCGTCAGATGCAAATTAAATGCTATGGTTTCAATGTCTGTGTCTCCCCACAACTCATGTGTTGAAATCCTAACCCCCAAGGTGATGGTATCAGGAGGTGGGGCCTTTAGGAGGTGATTAGGTCATGAGAGTGGAGCCCTCATGTACAGGATTAGTGCCTTCATAGAAGAGGCCTCAGAGAGCTGCCTTGCCCCTTCTAACATGTGAGGACCAGCAAGGGGGCCCTCACCAGACACCCAAAATACTAGCACTTTAATCTTGGACTAACCAGCCTGCTGTGAGAAAAATTTCTATTATTTATAAGCTGACTAGCCTGTGGTATTTTATTATAGCAGACAGAACACACAAAGACACCAAATACCCCACTTGAATCTGCACACAGGCACACACTCACAAATGCATATACACATTCATGTGCACATGCTTGCTCTCTCACACTCACAAGCTCACACACAAAGCTAGATACAAGCCAGTAGCCCAGATGGAAAAGGTGTCAATCCCCAATCTCTCCATGGTTCTGGAAGTGGTAGCTCCGAGGGAGAAGTGTTTGTGGGGCAGGCATTTAGGCAGATGCAGAGGCAGTCCCTGGGCAGAGAACCCTAACTTGACTCTGCAAACACAGAATCCAGGCAACAGCAGGGCTGTGATCCTCAGCTGCTCCGCAGTGCCAGGTCACATCCTGGGCCCCAACAACCCTGCCCAGAGGGCTGCCAACAGGATGGCTTTGGCCCCTCTCCAAAAGTGAAGCACATCTCAGCTCTCTCGCAAAAGACAAGAGCATGATATACAAGTGCCCACTTCCCACTCCCATCCTGATGGCCAAGCCTCATTTTTAGAAAACCACCTTAGTCTCTCTCTGGCTTGGGCCCTTGGAGAGGCTTGCAGATGACACAGGTTCTTTATATGCATGTATGTGCGCACACTTGCAGATGCAGCATCACCACCAGACTATTTATCAATAGCCTGGCTGGGATCCATACATCCAGTCTCACCCACCCACCTCCCAAGGGAGGCCGCAGGCGCTGACAGAAGAGGCAGCAGGCCCACACGCACACAGCCAGTGAGGGGCAGCATGGGGGTCTGAGTGTTTCCACCACGTGCTCCAGAAGCAGGAAGGCCATGGGGTGGTGGGGCACTGCCTTGGGTGGGGCTCTGGGTCCAAAGCTGTTGGCACTTTTGCAAGGATTCCAGGCCTCACGGACAGGATAAAAGCAGGGAGGCTCTTCCCACAGACCCAGGACGCACACCTGACCACCTACTCAGCTTAGGGCTGCCAGCAGACAGACTCCCAGGCTGAAGGCTCCCCTCAGAAGAAGCCAGCTTCTCGGAAGCAAACAGTGAAGGTTTCTCCTGACAAGTTTCCCAAGGGCTCCAATGACCCAAGGGGATGCCGCCCCAGGACGACCTGTCCCTGCACCAAGCACAGCATCCTGGGCTGCTTACCCATGGGAAACCAGCAGCTGTGCTGCCCTGGGAAGAAGACCCAGGGCAGAACCACCCTAACTGCCCACCCCGGCAGCAGCGCTTCCCCAAAGCACAAGTTGCTCTAGAGCCTTGCTTGCCAAGCAGGGCCTCTCTCTGCAGCAGTTTCAGAAGGCTCCCCACTTCCCTAGCAGGAACACGGAGCATGGCAACCAACGGGAAGGAAGAATTCTAACTTGGAGTGGGGGTGACAGTAGACATCCCAGTAAAAAACAGGATTCTTAAGGAAGGAGACACACATGTGGGCCTGGTGGTGCTGGCTGGGCTCACACTGAACTCAGAAGAAAGCCAGAGAAAAGCAGAAGAACCTGGGGGGCTGGGAGATGGAGGAGCGGGCCTCCTTCAGCTCCACCAGAGGAGTGGAGACCCGGGGCCTGCACACCTGGCTGGAAACACAGCTCTGGGCTTCCCAACCATCTCCATCCTTCCGCCCTTCACACCTACATGGGTCATCGTTTCCTTCTGCTCCAGGCTTTTTCCTTTATTGCCTGGAGCCCACGCCTCTCAGGCCACAGGCTTTGGAAACTCTTGTCAGGGCCAAGCCCTTCTCTTCTCCCAGGCCTAGACTCTATTGAGACTCCCGCCCTCAGCTGAAAGGCTGTCTGCTGCTCCCGCAGTGCGATCCTTGGCCCCAACTTCTGGAAGCAGAACCTTCCAGAAGGTCCCACCTGAGTTCCTTAAGGGGAGAAGCTGATTCTTACTGGGCACAACAGGCAGCCAACGCTTCAAGCTCTCCACTGGTTCAATCTGAAACTCTCCCGGGCCAACACTGGGCCATGGAGAAAGAAATATAGGGTCTTGGGTTCTCGCCTCTCCAGGTGCTCTGAAGGTGTGAGGTTTACCCCCAGCCCCACCCTAGGCCATGAGAATGCCTTTAGCATCAGGCTGCATGCAGAGGGGAGGCCTGACCAAAGATCCCATCTCAACCATGGACCCTGCTGCTCCTCTGCAGTGCCCCCACGTCACCCCACAAGACTGACTTGACAAAGAGATGGCCTCTGATTACAATTCAAAGCTTCTGGAAACAAGCAGCCTCAAATGGGATGCTCTCGGGACCAAAGGGTAGAAAGGAGAGACCCCGCAAGGTTGTCTTAGGAGGGGCCTGAGTGCAGAAGGCTAGGAACCCTGTGCTCCAGACTCTAAGAGACCCTCAGTGAAGTGGGTAACCTACCCACCCTGGGATCATGTGGCTCCTTCTACCAACAAAAAAGTTGAAACTTGGTCATGGGTAGCTGTTTTGGGGAGCTGGGTGTCATGAGGGAGGGAGAGCAAGCAAGTTCCCTGGACTGGGCTGAGAGCGGCTTCTGCACTTGGAGTTACCTTATTAGAGGCAGGAGCTCCGCTTCTGCACTGTTTCCAAGGCATCACCATGGAAACGCAGTGTAACCCTAAACGCTGTTATTCTGCCTGTGATTTTTTTGTTTCTCTCCAACTGGGAAGCTTTGGGGGATTTACGTATTAACTGCTGTTCCCCAGCAGGAAGCTCCATTTTCAGTCCCAGGAACCACTCTGTATTTTTCGCTGACTTCTTGCTAGCGACATCTCCTTTCCAGCGGATGTTGGCTTGGGTGTCCCCCACCTGCCTCCCTGACCCCAGGATGGAGGGTGGATGACCATGGGCTGAGAGTGGCCCAGGCTGACTCCATCAGCAGGAGGGCCAATACAGCAGCCCAGGGCAGGTATATCCAAGGGCAGCCCAAGGGGCTGAGGAGAGAAAGGGACCCAGACCAGTGCATGCTCCCTGACCTCTGTAGCCCGTGGGCTGGCTCTCTTCACTTCTGTGGGCCTCTGGCCTTGTGATGCCCAAGGGACCCCCATCCCCACCCTGCTCCCTCTCGGGTGACTATGAGGCTCAGGACTTGGGAAGAGTAGCGTATGGTACAGAGGGAAAGGAATTACATTTACTGAGAACCTATAATAGGTCCAAAACTTCCTTTCATGCTCACAACAATCTTGGCGATTAGGCAGCAACAGGCCTGCTTTGCAAGTTGATTAACTGAGGCTCAAAAAAGGTTACCTCATTCCCCCATGGCCCCAGGAACGTGGGGAGTGTGGTAAGGCGGTGTAGGACCCTTCTATGCCCTAAGCCTTGCACACTGGCCAGGGAGGGAAGGAGGATCATGGCCTGTGGGGAAGGACTGGGCCTTGAGGGACCACCCCAGTCAGCCACGCCCTGCTCAGGTCACATGGGAGTTGCAGCAAGGGCCCCTGTGAGCTCCTTATGGGCCATACCACTCCAGAATTCTCCTCCCCATCCTACTGCATCCGGCTGCCTGCAGGGCCATCTGTGGGTGCAGAGTCCTTTTGACTGTGGCTGCAGGCTGCCCGTGCTGCCCCTCCCCAGCTGCCAGCAGGATAGCGAGGGGAGGGGTCACAGCTGTGTACTGCTAGCTGGCTGGAAACTTCCCTTGGGCAGCCCCAGAGCACACTAGCAGGCCACCCTGTCCCTGTTGTGGTTCCCCTGTGGCTCAGTGAGGATCTTGCAGATTGCAGCCCAAAGCAAGGATGTGCAGAGTTGGTGACTGCCTCAGCCCTGGCCTGACTGTGTCCTCACCCTCTAACCTCAGGGAGCCCTCACTTCTTCCCAAGCCCTGGCTCCACTGAGGGGATGCCATCTGGCAAACCCACTGCCTACCTGTGGTGTGGGGGGCTCCACTTTCCGTTTCTTCTTCTGATTCTGCTTGTTGGTCCGGGGATAGACCATGAGCATCTCCAGCCACCTGGGAAGAGAAAAGGAGACAAGTACCAGGTAAGACCCTGGCACTCGGGGACTAGGAGCCCTGGCCCTTGCCGGGTGGTCCAGGAGTAGAGCAGGGCATTGTCCCCAGTGACAGACTGCTACGCTGGGGCCAGAAGTGCCACAGAGCAAGCCTGGACAATGACCCTGCCACACCCACAGCAGGCTCAGGACACGACACAGACTCCGTGCTGGCAGAGAGGCCTGGCCTGGCCATGGCCTCAGAGCATAGGATGTGTAACTTCCATTACTGACCCTGTCTCCAGGGCCTGGAATTGCCCTAACACTGCTCTCCCAGAGTGGGCTTGGTGAGAGTACAGACGAGCTGTGCCCATTTAGGGCAACAGAGGCAGGTGCTGGCCCTGAGGCCAGAATCTAGGAGCTGTGCTGGTCAAGTTCCCACAATGGGTACTCTTGAGGGACTAGGGTGTGGGGGGTTGCTGAACTCCCACAGTCCCTGCAGAGGGAGGGTGCTGGGCACCCTGGCTTTGAGGAAGGCTGGGCAGAGCTGCCCAGGGACCCATCAGGGATTGTGTGTGGCAAGTTCACTCTGGATAGACACCAGGGGTGCAGCAAGGGAACACAGCAAAAGCAGGCGCTGCCAGCAGGACGACTCTGGATCTGGTTCTGCCACTATCCCAGCACAATCTTGGGTGGCTCCTGGCCCCTTAGGAGCTTCAATCTTCTCATTTCTGAAATCAGGAGCTAGATCAGATCATGGCACAACTACTTCCACCATATAGAATTTTACAACAGACAAAGGAACCAACAGCAGTTGCCTTGCCAGAGCTGCCTGTCAGTCCTGTGGGGGCTAGACGACGGGGGTGGGAGGAGCGGAGGGCAGTGTAGGTCCTGCCTCTGAAGCCCCAGCTCCAGCCCTGGGCCTGGTTGTGCAAGGGCAGCCCTAGTGTCCTCTCCAGAGTGGAAGGAGCCTCAGAAGACACCGCTCCAGGTCTTCTTTCAGCACCAGGGTCCACGCTGGGCCTGCTGGCAGCCTGGGCCCAGGGTTGGGGATGGGGGGGTCTGTACTGCTGTATCCTGCTAGAGATCACACGGGTGCAGCACCCAGCAGCACACTGAGCCTGGGGCAGGAGAAGGGCTCGAGTCTTCTGTGCCCAGAGGTATTTCTTTAATTTGAGGTGGAGAGGAGAGGAGGGGAGGGGGAAAAGGGATAGAGGAGCGAAGAGAGGAAGAGCATGGGGAGGAGGGAGGGAGGGGAGGAGGACAGGAAGAGAGGGAAGGAGAAAATGAAGAAAGGAGGGAAGGAGGGACAAACAGACAAAGGAAGGGTCAGTCACAATCACTGGCTTCTGAGACAGCCTCAGGATGGGTGTGCTGTTGACAGGTGGTGGCGGCAGAGGCCAGGCTTAATGCACGGAACCACAGCAACAGAGCTGAGGGGCCACCCTCAGCCCAGCTCAGCCCACAGCCAGTGATGCTCGATTTGCTGAGAGAATGAATAAACACCTGCAATGCCAGAGATCCAAGCCACAGGTCCTGTGGGTCATTCCTCCACGGCCCCAAAACAAGAAAGGAGGCTGTGACTATCTGCAAAGCCAGCAGACAGGCAGGCCTTCTGAGGGTCCTGAGCCCCTCTCCTCCCTGGTCACACTTCTCATCAAGGCTGGCTGGGAGCAGAGGTCCCAGGAGAGGGCCTCGCTCATACAACCTGGGATGTTCACAAGCCCTATGGGATTAAAGAGGTTTGCCTTTCCAGTCTGCCATGGCAGCTGCCACTTCTTCTGACCACTCTGAGGGACTGTGCCTGCAGAAGGCTGCACTTAAAACTTCACCAAGGTGTGGAGCATGCTGGAGGTGCAGAACCCTGCCAGGTACCCCAGGCCCCTGCAGACTGGCCCAGGTTCCATCAGTCAGCAATGACTAATGGCCTTGCAGGATGGAACCTGGAGGGGAGGGGAGAAGGCTGCACCGCAGGTGCTCTGCTGACTACGTGGAGCTGCTGAGCTCTCCTGGGCTGGCTCCAGCAAGCCTAGGACTCGGGAGGAGTCAGGACAGCAGGTGTCTCATGTGGCCTCAGTCCCATTATGCAACTTAATCTCTGTTCAGACTGCAGTCTGTGGCTGGAGTCGCAGAGATGCAGGGTCCAGGAATAGATGATGGAATGTGTCCTCTGCACTTGGATTTCTCAAGGAAGCCCAATAGGAAGCGTCTAACATCATCCAGATGTGTTATAAATGTTAACAAAACAAACCCCAAGAAGAGAGGAGAGGGGTGTGAATATGGGACTGGTAGGTGCTGGGGCTCCCCGGATAGGGACGGCAGAGCCCGGATGAGTGAGAACAGGGGAGTGGGTAAGGTTAAAAGGCAGGGCAGGGAGAAGGGAAGTCCAGACTTCACCCAGCTGAGAGCACAGAAGAGCTCCCTTGCCAACTCCTACCCAAACCCACCTCGTCTAAAAGAGCTATGTAAAGTGTGGCCCAGAATCCTGGAAGTGGGAACTGGAAAGAGCTGCCAACTTCCTCTACCCAGGCCCAGGAGAGACCCGGCAGCCCACGCAGCTGTCAGGGCTATGCAGAGAAGACCTGGGAAGAAGACTGGGTGGGACTGTCCCCAACCCACCCAGCTCCCAGCTGCCTGGTGGAAGTGTCTGCACCTTCTTAGGGACCAGCTTTGATGTGACCAGAGAGCTCAGACCCAGAATGGCGCTCCAGAGCCTAGGGATGAGGTTACTGGGAAGAGGAGTTATAATGGGAAACAGAGGGAGGCAAGAGAGGGAGCAGAGGAAGGGGGCTGTCAGCGAGGGCAGGAGACAGAGGAATGGGAGAAGGAGGCAAAAGCACTTGTCCCCAGGGTGCATAGGCCACACCTGACTCCCTCACGCAGCTGAGCATCCCAGCTTGTGGGAAGGTGAGGGCGGATCACGAGGTTATGCCACGTGAGAACCTGCCTGTTGGACACGAACTAACGTGGCCCACAACCAGGGCGAGGGGAAGGGGAAGAGCGTCAGGCAGCTTATTCTGGCTTTGGATACGCCACTGAGCCACCACACACGTAGGGCCCAGATGGCATGTGCACCCGGTACCTTGGTCCATTAACGATCTTGTCTACCCAAGCTGCATGGGTATGGCAAGCCTGAATATGCAACAGAAGAGAGCAGAGAAGTGACCCAGGAGAGGGGCTTGGGATGGAGTGAGGACTTCTGGCAGGACTTAAGCTGCCTGCTGGAGGCAGTCCAAATGCTAAACATCACCCTCTCCTAATACCACATGGTACAACACATACCTCTATGTGCTGGTCCTAGAACCAACCCTGCTCCAGACACTCCCCAGCTTGCCCTGGAGACCCAGGACTCCCATCCATCCCACCTGTTACCCACACCCTCCCTGGGACCCAGCTCCTGTGGAAAGGGTGAGGGTTTCCTAGGGAAGCCACCTGGGCAGAGGAAGCCTCGGCTGTGTGCTGCCCGGCCAACAGCAGAAACAGGTGTGAGCCAGAAAGTGCAGAAGGTGCCCCTGGCCAGGCTCCTGTCTCTAGGCCCTGGGTCTCCTCGACTGTACCACGAGGGTTCTTCAGAGGCCCTTGACATTCTTGATCATATGGTTCTGGATTAAGATTGTGGGAGACAGAAGTGCTCCTCCAGCTCGGCTCCAGGTGCTCAGAAATGCAAACCTGCCTCTCTCCAGGGGAGGACTCTAGGGGAGAGCACACCCCCGCAGAGAGCGCCCCCGGGACCCAGCACTGGCTCCTGGACGCCTTGCCATGTGGCCCTGGACTTCCAGCTGTGCTCACTCACCAGGCTTGGCCAGGCTGCAGCTGAGAGGCTAAAGAAAGGCTGGTGCTCCGAGTCATCTGTGTGTTCAAACTCAAGGGCTTCGTATTCCTGATTCCCTCTACTCTGTACTGCTACAGTCAGCCTGGCCCAGCAAGCCCCAGGTTTACTTTCTCCCAGAGCTTCTTAGACTCATGTGCCTCCTTCTCAGCCTTAAGCAAGACAGGGATTCTCGGAGATCCAGTTTGTGAGCTCCTGTCAGGCCCAATGAGCCTGTTCACCTGCACGGACTATGTACGGCTTTTCACCATGGCCCAGGCCATGTGGGTAGCAAAGAATTCCCTGCTAGACTGGGAGCTCTGGGAAGGCAGATGCTGCCCTGGGCTCAGCACTGCGCTCAGGCCCCTGGACTGTGGGCTCTCTCAACCTGAGCCAGTTCGCCACTCTCAGGGGACCTGGGTGAGTGAGACACTTACCCATTCTCTCCACTCACAGAAACCAATCTGTGCAGTGGCAGCAGAGTGGCTCGGGTGTGAGGTGCTGGGGATGTGACTGAGACACCTCCCACCCCCACCACCACTGACAGAGACACACGTGGACACAGCAGATAACCTGGCGCTTTCATAGGTGGTGGAGCCCAGCACCAGCCCTGGAAGGAGGAGCAGCCATCCCAGACTGGGGGAGGGCGTGCCCAGGTCATATGATTCAGGGACTGATCCCCTTCCAGGTGGAGGGGCAGGTGAGTTGGGGGTGTGGTGAGTGCAATGGTGGGGAGGCCCGAGGAGGGTAAGGTGGCCAGAGCAAAGAGGGGCCCCAGAGGCTGCAGGTGGAATGGTGAATGTCCTGATTTCTGCTGTGCTCAGCACACAGCGGTGTTGAGAACAGAGACAGAGCCCAAGAATAGAGGCACACGGGGAAGTAGACAACATCGACACTGCCACAGGGGCAGGCGGCCCATCTGGTGTTGGCCCTGTGGCAGGTGGTGGTGCCTTGTTCCACAGTGCCAGCATACTCACCCACTGACGATCTCCTTGGTCTCCGCCCGGATGAAATGCTCCTTCTCAGGCGTCAGAATACACAGGGAGAACTTCTGGCCCGTGCGGCCCTCCCCATCCACCACATCTGTGCACTGGTTCATGTTGATGGTGCCCTGAGGAAGGGTCGTGGGCTGGAAGAAGGCGGCAGAGAGTCACCCAGAGGCCAGCCAATGGGGCCACAGATGTCGTACAGCCCCAGGCCATTCCTGACCCTCCCAGCCTGTGGGGCCTCTAGGAGTGCTCTCCCTCACTCCAGCCCCAGCTCCTCTTCCTTTGTGCCCATCCCAGGGAGGACAGGGACAGGCCTGGCCTTCTCCAGAGGACACCCAGCTAAACATCCCTCCTACGTGGAGAGCGACATCCCACTTGCACTGGAGGGGATATGCAGGGGAGGACAGGATGGGGACAGCTGCGGTGACAGGGGCAGCTGAGATCCTGGTCTCAGAAGGGCTGCTGATCCCACAGAGAAGCAAGAAAAAGCTCCAGAGGAGGCAGTTTCAAAATAGCAGGGTTATTTTTAGAGGCAAGGAGGGGGCCAGAGAGAAGCCACATCCTTGAGAGCAGGCTGTGGGGTGGGTGCACTGTGCCTTCTTTAGAGGCGGCCAAGGAGCACGCCCGGCAGCCTGGCCCACGGCACCTTCCCAGGGCCATAGCAGAGCCCAGCAAAGGCTGCCACACCAGCTCTGGCATGGCAAACAGTAACTTTTTTTCTTACAGCAAAAACTGTTACACACTGAAATTAGGGACAGAAAACCAAAAGCAGGAAAGGATGCCTTTAAGAAATCCCTACTGAGGCAAAGGGCTAGGCAAGAGGACCTTTATGGAGATGACTTGTTTAGCCCTGTACCCTCTGGCCTCTTTCTTACTCTCCCAACGTAAGGATGCTTTGGGAGAGCAGATGGGTTGCCATGGTTACCACCACACCAGGGGTGCCCCTGTCCTTAACACACTCCACACTGACTCCACCCCACTAATGGACAGCTGCTGGCTTCTCCACTGAGCACCCCCAACAGCCCACCATTTCCTTGTTCTCATTCTTGAAGAAGCAGAAGATGCTTCTGATCCATCTGAGGGGTGGCCTGCAGTTGGGCTGCCTTCCACCCAGAGGCCATCCAGCCTCAAGCTCCTTGCTGACAGTCAATGGGGGCTTGGTCTCAAGAGCAGGATGCTGGGTCTGGTGCCCATGCTGAGCTCAGACCAACCACTCTCCACACCCCGACCTTCTTCCTTTCAGAAACAGGTTAGGTGCAACCTCCTTGTCCCTCCACCTCAAGCTCCTGTGATCTTCCTGTTACTTCCTCTGACCTACTTGCCACCTCTTTCTACACCCCTTGATGCCTGCCTGCAGGAGTCAGACCGGAGGGCTGCTGGCTTTGCAGAGCCCTTGCCTACATGGCTGCTGGCTCTTTTCTCCATGGTTAAATGTCCAGGTCCAAGAAGCCTTTCCTTGTGGGGTCTCTGGACTCAGCCATCCCCCGTGGGTCCAGCTCAGAAGGGAGGTGGCACAGCAGGTGGGATGGAGGCTGGGCTCACAGGGAAGCCTCCTTCAGTGGCTTCACCCTTTCAGCATACACCATTGGCATCCTGCCTCAACACTGACCCTGGGGGGACACGAGGAGGAGCCACATTCAAGCCCAGCTCAGTGCTCTCCATCAGTGGAGTGGCCCGCAGGTGTCTCTTCCAGACACTCTTGGAGGGTCCTTGAGAAGGAGCCAGGAAAGGGAGATGGGTAGGGTTGCTCTGCAACCAAGCAGTGGGTGTTTCTTGAGAAGGAGAGGGTACAGGAGGCAGCCTCAGACCCCATCTTTATGTTAGTCCAGGAAGCCTGGATCCAAGCCCCTGCCACCTTCTGGTTGGGGAGACCCACACTGAGTGCTATGGCCACAGCCACAGGACAGGTGGGCCTTCCTGCCCAAGGTGGGGGTCCTGGCTTTCCTAATCTCCTCTCTCCAGCTCCAGCCCCTTTACTCTATTTGACAGAAATTCTCATCCTGGGCATCCTGGCATAGTGCAGGTGCCTGTCTGAACCCTCTGGGCAAATGAAGGGTTGCTCTGACTTCCCTCTTGAGCCCAACACCCCCATGCAAAAGCGCACCCCACCTCCACCTCCCTAGACAAGGCATCTTGTCTCTCTGAGGTGGACTCTCTTGTTTGCTGAGGAAACTCCATGGACCACAGTGAGGACTGGATGACATGAAATGGTAAAGTGGCCAGTGCACTCGTTACTAGAGTGTCAGAAGCCATCCTGAAGGAACCACTGTGGAGGCAGAGGGGCTTTCCTAAGGTGGCCCTTCCTCTCTGGTCTTTGACTCCCACCCTGGTCCTTGGGACCGTGGTCTCAAACTGCTGACAGTACAGGCCCTGGATGAGCTGTGTATCCATACCATGGTGCCAGTCTATTATGAGTGTGCATGCGTGTGCACACACACACACAGAGACATATGTTAGATGGAATATATCAACAGAAATTCCAAAGTTTTCTTCTCAAGGGATCATCCACCGGCCCCCTGGAGGCACAGACCCCACTTTGAGGCCACTGTTCCAGGGTTCAGTGTCACCAAATTGCTCACTGTCCCTGAAGCCCACTCTTCCCTCTTACGCAGTAATTGTTTGGGCACTTGGCCCCCAGCTGAACAAAGCCCCTGCTCTGCTGCTGAACGTGGTTGTGTCTCAGCCTCACCAAATGAGTATGAAGCAATGCCTTCCACCTCTCCACCTCTCTGGGCCTCAGTTTCCTCATGTGCAAAGTGAGGGTTCTATCTCCTTCCAAAAAGGATTTCAGAAGCATTAATAAAAGGCAAAAACATACCAAGCTGAGCCAGGACTGAAGGAAATTAGCATGTATTAACTACCTGTGTGTCAAGATTTCACAGTTACACTCCCTTTTATGCCCTCTTCAATATTACTTACTGTGAGGCGGGCATCACCTAACCCTATCACACACAGAGAAAGGAGAGCAAATGGGGGTAAATACGTTATCAAAGAAGGGAATATTTTAACTCCAGAGCCCAATCTATTTCCATGGAGGAGGGAAAAAAAACTTCCTGCTCTTAATCAGATGATCTCATTTTTATTTAATCCTGGTATTAACTTTTCGTTTTTTCTTTCTTTTTTTTTTTTTTTTTTTTTGAGACGAAGTCTCGCTCTGTTGCCCAGGCTGGAGTGCAGTGGTGTGATCTCAGCTCACTGCAACCTCCATCCCCTGGGTTCAAGGGATTCTCCTGTCTCAGCCTCCCAACTAGCTGGGACTACAGATGCATGCTACCACACCCAGCTAATTTTTGTATTTTTAGTATTATATTTTTGTATTTTATAGTAATTTTTGTATTTTTAGTAGAGACGGGGTTTCACCATGTTGGCCAGGCTGGTCTCGAACTCCTGACATCAACTGATCCGCCTGCTTCAGCCTCCCACAGTGCTGGCATTACAGGCGCGAAGCCACCGCCCCTGGCCTAACTTTTCTTTTTAACAACAGCTTTATTGAGATATAATTTACATACAATTTACCTAAAGTGTACAGTTCAATGGCTTTTAGCATCATGTTCACAGAGCTGTTCTGCAATCAAGTGCAGAACATTTCCATCTCCCCCTGAAAAGCCATTCGCAGTCACTTCCCTTTGACACCTGTCCCCACCTCAACAACTGCTAACCTGCTTCCTGCCTCTGTGGATGCATCTCTTCTGGATACCTTGCATAAATGGAAAAATCTGGCTTCCATTTAGCATATTTTCAAGGATTTAGCATATTTTCAAGGTTCCTCCGCATTGCAGCATGTGTCAGTCTTTCAATACTTTTTACAGCTGAATAACGTTCCATTGTGCGGCTATACCGCATTTTGTTTATCCATTCATCTGTTGATGGACATTTGGACTGTTTCCATTTTTTGGCTACTGTGTATAGTGCTGCTGTGCACATTCCTGTACAGTGCTCCTGTGCTCTCATTTCTCTTGGGTGTGTACCTAGGAGCAGAAGTGCTGGGTCATATGGAAACTATATGTTTAACTCTGAGGAGCTGCCAGACTATTTCCCAAAGTGGCTGTGCCATCTCACATTCCCACTAGCACTGCGTGAGGGTTTGGGACTAACTTTTTAAATTGTATTTATGTACTGCTTCTAACCAGCACTCTTGGAAGACAGGTCCAGGTACGTACTGAGGACCTGCTATAAAATAGCTCCCTTTGGCCAGGCGCAGTGGCTCATGCCTGTAATCCCAGCACTTTGGGAGGCCAAGACGGGCGGATCACGAGGTCAGGAGATCGAGATCATCCTGGCTAACACGGTGAAACCCTGTCTCTACTAAAAATACAAAAAATTAGCTGGGCGTGGTGGCAGTCGTCTATAGTCCCAGCTACTCGGGAGGCTGAGGCAGGAGAATGGCGTGAACCCGGGAGGCGGAGCTTGCAGTGAGCCGAGATTGCGCCACTGCACTCCAGCCTGGGTGATGGAGCGAGATTCCATCTCAAAAACAAAACAAAACAAAACAAATAAACAAAAAAACAACAAAATGAAAACAAAAAACAGCTCCCTTCGATTGTGGAGAGAAAGGAACACTTATACACTGTTGGTGGGAGTGTAAATTAGTTCAGCCATTGTGGAAGACAGTGTGGCAATTCCTCAAAGACCTAAAGATAGAAATACCATTTGATGCAGCAATCTCATTACTGGGTATATACCCAAAGGAATATAAGTCATTCTATTATAAAGACACATGCATATGTATGTTCACTGTAGCACTATTCACAATAGCAAAGACACGGAATGCCCATCAATGATACAGACCAGAGAAAGAAAATGTGATATATATACACCATGGAATATTATGTAGTCATAAAAAAGAATGAGATAATACCCTTTGCAGGGACATGGATGGAGCTGGAGGCCACTATCTTTAGCAAACGAACACAGGAACAGAAAACCACACAGCACATGCTCTCACTTGTAAGTGGGAGCTAAATGATGAGAACATATAGACACATGGAGAGAAACAACACACACTGGGGCCTTTCAGAGTGGGGAGGGTGGGAAGAGGGAGAAGATCAGGAAAAGTAACTAATGGGCATTAGGCTTAATATCTGGGTGATGAAATAACCTGTACAACAAACTTCCATGACACAACTTTACCTATGTGACAAACCTGCACTTGCACCCCTGAACTTAAAAAAAGAAAAAGAAAAAGAAAATAGCTCCCTCCAAGTCTCAGTAGTGCAGTGTTCCCCCTTCCCCTGCTGCCGATGGGGAAGCAGCAACAACAGCACCAGCACAGGCGCAGGGCACAATGGTGCTCATGTTTGCGCCCATGCCCTTGAATACCACGCACTGCTGCAAACTCTTCCCGTGTCCTCTCACTGAACATTCCGAACACACTATGAGGCAGGCACTACTGTCACTCTCATCCCGCAGACAAGGAAGCAGACTGCTAAGAAGCTAGGTGCAGTCATGCACCGCACAACGATGTTAGTCAACAGCTCCCTCTATGTTTTGCTAGGTTTGGATACATCAATACTTGCCACTGTGTTATAACTGCTTGTGATATTGCAGTATATGCTGTACAGGTTTATGGCTTCGCAGCAATAGGCTCTACCACAAAGCCTAGGTGTGCAATAAGCTGTACTGTCTAACTTTGTGTAAGTGCACTCTAGAATATTTACACAAGGACCAAACTGCCTGAGAAAACACATTTCTCAGGATGTGTGCCTGTCATTAAACAACGCAGAACTGTAATTTTGATTTAAGGTCACAATGCTAGGAAGTAGCCATGTCAGGATTCAAACCCAGGCACTCTGGTTCCAGAGCTGGTCCCCCTGCTGCTCTGCACTCAGCAGCATTTCCAGACTGAACAGACTCAACCAATGGCTCCAGGGAGCCCCTCAGCCAGCACCTCTCCCCTCCCCTGCCTCTGCCTAGGGGGCAGGATACAACCATCTGTGTCTGGGTAGGCCTGAATCTTGTGCTGCGAGAGTAAGGGCAAATATCTAGGCTGTAACCCAAATCCAGCCAGAAGGAACGCCTCAGCTCTAACGCTGTCAGCAAAGCAACTCTGATGAGCTTCCTGCCCTAATTCTATACCTCCAGAGGTCAGGAATCCAGGTTTCCTAGGAGGCTGAGCTTCACCTAGTTTTGTTTGATTCATTTTCCAAAAAAAGAGACGGCCCTCTGTAGGCCATCGACTCTGCTATGTCACCAAGTTATGGGTTCAGCCCCCACATAGCCCTCCAGCTATCTGGAGCCTCTGGTCCTCTTCTGGGCTCCACCCTACCCCAGCTAAGGGGCAGAGTTGCTACAGGCTGCAGATTGTTTAGGCAGGAGGACACAGGACTCAGGCTTCTCTCCAAAGAGATGAGCACACCCTGCTCCTCCTGCCGGTCCTCTGTCCACAGGCCCATGGGAGGCTGGAAGCTCTGTGCACTGCAGCCAGGGCATCTTGTCAGAGGCCAGAGTGACCTTCCTGGGTTAGGATAATACTGCTATAGCAGCCTCTCCAACCGGGGACTCTCCACCACACCCCTGGCCCAAGCAGAAGCACTTTTGGGAAAACAGGCCTTTGTTTCTTGTTGACCCCATGAGTGTGGGAAGGCAAGCTTCTAAGAGCCAGAGGGAAACAAGAGGAAAGTAAGCAGAAATATGGTGAGAGGCTGTTTGGCGTTATCATCAGGAGGACCTTCCTTCCAGGCAGCTGCTGTTACAGAACCAGTCGCACGTGAGACCTGGGTGGGAGTCTTCCCTTTATCCCCCAATCCCTCATTCAGACCAGAAAACAGAGACCCAAGAAACAAAGGCTTTCCCCTAGGGCAAAGAATTACTCCCAAAATCTCAAGGTCAGAAAGGGGATTTCAAGGTGAAACCTGACTTCCCCCCACACCTGAGGTCCTGAGACAGCATGTTTCACAAACTCATCCAACCAAGGCCCACATGGAACACCACATTCACACCATGATGAGCACACACACAAGTGCACACATGCACATGAAATGGAAAACGGTGAGTCAGTATTTCTACCATGTGCACTGTATTTATTATTTTTTCATATGCACTGTGACCCACTTAAGGAGTATGAAAAGCTTTGTCTGCAAACTTTGGGGCTGAGCGGTCGCCTTGCTCATCTGCACTCTGGCAGGGACAGGCAGCTCGGCACGTTCTAGGGAGGACACAGGGAATTGCCTTGCAGTAGAAGCAGGAAGTGTATTCACCACTTCCTGGGTGCTCACTGTGGCCAGGCCCTGAGTAGCTACAGGTACTGATGACAGCTTCAGGAGGCAGGCACATCATTGTTCTGACTTTCAAATGTACAAGCTGGGGCTCCAAGTGATTATGGGACGTGGCACTCTGTGGGCCACCCAGAACAAGTGTGGTCCTCTCTGACTGGCACCCTTGCCCCTCTCTCCTTGGCATCTTTCCTCCCTGGACTTAACAATTGTTTGCACAAGGTCATGCCTAAGTTTATCAGAGAAACTGTAGGCAGGGCTACCCAGCCTGGACCACGTGGAGACTTGCCCAGCACGGCCCCTGCCTTCAGCCTGGCACTTCACTGAGCTATGGCCTGATTAGGCAGCGCCCAGGCAGGAACACCACCTCCCTCCTCCCTTGGGCTGGTGGGCTGTGCTGCAGACATGGTCTGGCTGCTCGAGCCAGGTCTAAGGAGAGGTCCTTCCTTTCTTTGGAATTCAGGACATTGGCTCCAGAGTTTTCTCAGGAAGGAACACAGCCCTTGGGGAGCACCAGCTGAGTTCCTAGGCGCCCCTGGAACCCACATCCTGGGAGGCACAACACAGGAGCAGGGCTCATGGGGGCTGTGTGGCTGGCTCAGGTCAAAGGTGGTCTCCCGGCTCTTCTTGCTGCAGCCAAACTGCTTCTAGGAGCCCGATCTAACAAATCACAAGCCCCTCTCTTTTGAGGAGGTGCTGGTGACTACCCCAAAGGCCATCAAGTGTAGAAAGGGCACTTAACTCTTGGCCCAAAGTCCCTCTGGGGCTGCAGACCTCCCCAGGGAGCAGCACTCTCCACAGACAGATATCCCCAAAGCCCAAGTCCTCTGAGGAAACTGGAAAGAGCCGCAGAAAAGGGGTCATGATCCCATGCAGGCCCAGAGTAAGCAAAGCCTCTGCCTGGCCTCTGTGCCACAACTCAGAGAAGTGTTAGGCCAACCACGCCTAGGGACTGACAATGGGCCTAGCAGGTACCCACCAGGCAGAACTCCCTTCCCCCTTCCCAGTCGTCACCGCCAGTCCTGGTGTACTCCACAGTCCTCATGGTTCAAAGGGCAGTTCCACAATCATCCTCCACACTGTAGCCTCCTGAAGCTGCATGGAACAGCCCCTAGGCTGGGCTGAGCCCTCATCCCAATGCCTGTCCTCAGGTGTCAGGTCTGATTCCAGGTCCTATCACCTCCTTGGGAAGGGAGCCATGATTCTGCACTCTTCCCCACCCTTCAGGTGTCCCACATGAAACCTGCATGCTACAACCTGGCAGACCCCAGAGAGGGTCCTGCAACCCCAGAGGGACTTTGGGCCAAGAGTTGGATGCCCATTCTACACCCGATGGCTTTTGGGGTGGTCCCCAGCACATCCTCAAAAGAGAGGCTTGTGATTTGTTAGATCAGGCTCCTAGAAGTAGTTTGGCTGCAGAAAGAAGGGCCGGGAGACCACCCCATGACCTGGGCTAGCCACACAGCCCCCGTGAGACTCCCAGGACCTTAGGCAGCTTTGGCCAGCCAGGGCTACCTAGGCTGGACCTACAGCACAGGCCAGGGAGACCAGCTCATGGGGCTTCCATCAGCCCAGGACAGGAGGAAGAGCTGGAGCCACAAACCACTGCTCTCCCAGCTGTTTCCCTCTGCAGAAGTTCTGAGATCTAAGGTAGACTCTAAGCAATCTGTTTTCAGAGCTCTCTAGCCAAGAAGAGCCTACCCTTGGAGTCAAGTCCTAGCTCTGCACTCACTAGCTCTGTGATTCTGGGCAAGTCGCAAATTGTGAGCCTCAGTTTCCCTAATGTAAAATGGTAGTAAATATAGGCCTCGTTTTGATTGTAAAGTGGTGTAGCTATTGTGGAAAACTTTAGCAGTTCCTCAAAAAATTACAGACAGTTTCCATATGACCCAACAAGTTGATTACTGGATATATACCCAAAAGAACAGAAGACAGGTACTCGAACATATACACAAATCATATCGTAGCAGCATAATTCGCGATAGCCAAAAGGTGGAAACAGCCCAAATGTCCATCAGTGGACAAATGGATAGACAAAATGCAATATTCATACAATGGAATATTATTTTATTCAGCCATAAAAAGAATGAAATCCTGACACATGCTCCAACATGAGCAAACCTTGGAAACATCACGCTAAGTGAATGAAGCCAGTCACAAAAGGACACACACTGTGTGACTCCATCTTGGTGAAATGTTCAGAAAAGGCCAACCCATAGAGAAAAAGCAGAGGAGTGGTTGCCAGGGGCTAGGGGAGGGGAATGAGAAGTGGCCTAATGTTTTGGCCTAGAGATTTCCCTTTGGGGTGATAATCTACCCCCTTCTGTCACAAGACTACAAACGATACTGCACAGCTGAAGCGGGACTCGAGCTCAGGCTCGGGATGGCACACCCGTGCCGCCTGCTGCTTCTCAGTGCACATCACCACTCTCCTACCAAGCAAGGGTGGTGGTCAGAAGACGATGGGTTCAACAACTTTCCTCGAATGTTTGGGAAGGAGGGAGGACAGTGTCGGGCATGTTCCGTCTTCTACCCTGTGGCAGAGAGGCAGGGCTCAGTGGACTGAGGAGCTCTGGGCATCATGGGCCACCGTCTTCTGCAAGGGGAGGGGGCACATCCTCTACTCAGAGACCATGGCCATCTACTTGTGCTAAGATGGCTGATAAGGGCTCTTGAAAACAATGGACCAAGCCGAAGGGTCAATCCAAAGGCAGCTGAGTACCGTGCAGATTCTCCCTGTGCCTCTCTGGCCCTTGCCTTGGGGCCCTGGGGAGCACCAGAGGCTGGTTTCCCAGGCCACATTCCAGGGGAGAGCAGGGTCTGCCCCTCTGCTGAGCCCCAGGCTGACAGCACCTGGCCCCAGACACTACCTGCAAAACATTTCTGACCCCTCTCCCCAGCTGCAGATGCATGCGGGGCAGGCCCTTTCCCACTGCCCACCAATACAGACTGGGGACTGGCAGGACGGAGGCCTCAGACCTGTGATTCTGGGAGTTCCGTGGGAGGCTTGGCTAGATGAGGCCAGCTGGGAACACCTGGTACACAGTGAAGAGGCCCATGGGTTCTACCCTCCTAGGCACAGCAGTGCTGGGAGCCTCAGAATGATTCAACAGGAACAGCCCCAGAACCATTCTTCATGAACATAGATCCGGCCAAGCCAACCCACAACTCAACTGCTCCAACAGCTCCCAGCCCAAGCTCTGCTCCCTGCACCAATTGCCCCACCTTGCCTCCTGGACCTACTTGCTGGCCTGGGAGACCCACGGTTACCCGCTGCACAGAGCAGCCTCCTTTATCACTGTCCTGCCGGAGAGGCCTGCCTGGCACATCTCCCCTCCTGGATCATTGTCCTGTGCTCCCTGAAGGGAGCCCCTGTGCAGAGGCCATGGCCCATCCACAGGTCTGCCCAACTGCTCTGCATACTAAGCCACAAGGTGCCTGATAAAACTCCTTGTATTTACTCTATACACCTAGGTCAGCACCTTCCAATATGTGCTTCAGTAAACATTTCTGAATGATGGAACAAGCCAACCCTGCTAGATTTATATTATAGATTTAATTATAATATAAATATTTGATTTACTTATATATGTAATAGATACGTTTTATTTATAAAATAGAAACCATCATTTTAACCAAAATCCCATATTCATTAAGGGTTAACAGGATGACACGTGTGCAAAGACCAGACAGTGGCAGGCTCTGCAGGGCATGAGGTAGAGAAGCTGTCTGGAAAGAGATGCAGGCCCCTGAGGAATGGCCTTTGCATGATCAGCACCTAGGCCACCAAGTCCATGGTGTTGGTCTGAAGCCACCACCCCAGCCTTGGGCCAATGACTCTGCTGCAACCAGCAGATGGTAAAGTTGTGAGATGATGCTGCATGACTCCATTTACATCAAGCGTCCAGGACAGGCCAATCGATAAAGATGGGAAGCAGGAGGGGAGGAGTGGCGGTGGCAGCTAAGGGATGCAGGGTTTGTTTGGGGGTTGATGAAAAATGCTCTGAAATTAGATTGTGTTGGTGGTTGTATAACCACGTGAATATCCTCAAAGACAATGACCTGTACACTTCAAACAAAACAAAACAGAACACTGCACAGATAACAGGGAGAAACCACAGGCTCAGCAGCAAGCAGGCCAGGCCTTCCAACAGGCCTTCATGGCTCCATCACGAGAAAGAGCTCGCCTCCCTGCCAACCCAGGCCTGGAAGGCCCTCTACACCCCACCTCTCCCTAACGTCTGGACGTGGAAACTCAGGCCCAGGCTTCCTAACTCCTAGCCCACCACAGCATGCCGCCTCCATCACAGAAGAAGCAGGAACCATGCAGTCAGGGCCAAAATCCCGAGGCCCTACCTTTCCTTCCCTCTACTGGAATGTGACAGTGGGTGTCACCACAGACGCAGAGCTACCGCTCCCATCCCAAGTAGGCCCTCTTCTAAGATTCAGCTCTGGCCCCAGAGACAGTGCATGCTTTCTGAGGCATTCGTGGATTAGCAGGAGGGGGCCTCCAAGATGTGCAGCATCTGCTAATGCCAGCAGCAACAATGCAGTGTGGGCCTCGCCCCAGCCTTGGTGCTGCAGTGCGTGGGCTGGGCCTTCTGCTACAAGTGACTTTGTGGGATGCTGAGGAAATGACCCGTTCAGGGCTTTCCCAGGGGCATAGTTAGAACCACTAAACTACTTTTTTTTTAACGGAGAAAATAAGAAAACAAGGACCTTTTTCACTTGCTGCCAAGACCAGGAAGTTCCTCCTCACACCTGCTACGCCAGGCTGGCCTGCTGGCTTCGGCCGCTGCCTGGGCAGCGAGATACCAGGGCCCCCGCCAAATGGCCAAGGGCCCTCTGCCAGAGGAGCTTCCCTTGGGAGCCCTCACCCAGTTAAGGCCCACCTTCCTCCTAAAACTGGTGGTGGGTGGGCGGGGGGTAGATGGGAAGAAGGTAGGAGAGGCATGGGAACTGGGGAAGAACAGCTTTTCATCCCCCTCACCCACCACAATGGTCAGCTAGCAGGATCCACCAACCAAGGGTGACACTACACCATATGCAACAATGAACTTGAAATGGAGCAGATACCTCAATGCAAGAACAAAGGCTATAAAATGCACAGAAGACCAAGGAAAAAAGCCCTGTAACACTGGATTTAGCAACCATTTCTTGGATATGACGCCAAAAGCACAAGCAACAAAAGAAAAAAAAAAGATAAACTAGACTTCATCAAAATTAAAAACCTTTGTACATCTAAGGACCAAGAGAGCGAAAAGGCAACCTAGGGAAGGGAAGGGAATACTTGCAAATCATATATCTGACAAAGTATTAGTATCTAGAATAAACAGCTCCTAAAACTCAACAACAAAAAACAATTAAAAATAGACAAAGGATGTGAATATACAAAGAAGATATACAAATGGCCAAGACACACATAAAAAGGTGCCTGACGTCATTAGTCATTAGAAAATGAAAGTCACCTAGCACTTCAGAAGGCCAAAGCAGGAGGATTGCTTGGGGCCAGAAGTTTGAGACCAACCTGGGCAAGATAGTGAGACCTCATCTCTAAAAATAAAAATTAAAAAATAAATAGCCAGATGTGGTGGTGTACTCTTATAGTCCCAGTTACTTGGGAGCAGGGAGGATCCCTTGAGCCCAGGAGTTCGAGGTTGCAGTGAGCTGTGATGGCACCACTGCACTCCAGTCTGGGCAACAGAGTGAGACCCTGTCTCTTAAGTAAAAAAAAAAAAAAAAAAAGAAAAGAAAAGAAAAGAAAATGCAAATCACATCAGCCACAATGAGATGCTAGTTCACATTCACTAGGGTAGAGGTAAGTTAAAAAACAGAAAACTGTCAGTGTTGGTGAGGTCATGGAGTAACTGGAACCGTGGTGCAGCCACTCTGGAAAGCAGTATGGAGCTTCTTCAAAAAATTAAACTGGACTTTATAGATTTGCTGTTTCATCCAGCAATTCCACTTGTAGGTATATACCCAGAGGAACTGAACACAGGGACTCGAACAGATATTTGTACACCCACGTACCATGGCAGCATTATTCACAATAGCCAACAGATGGAAGCAGCTCCAGTGTCCACCAATAGATAGATGAATAAACAAAATGTAGTATGTATATACACTGCCATATAATTCAGCCATAAAAAGGAAAGAAATTCTGGTATGTGCTATACTATGGATGAATCTTGAAAACACTATGCTAAGTGCAATAAGCCAGTCACAAAAGGATAGATACTGTATGATTCCACTTATGTGAAGCACCCAAAGTACTCAAATTCATAGAGAGTAGAATGGTGGTTGCCAGGGTGAGAACAGCTACTGGCAAATTTCTTTTCAAAAATTCTGTACCTGACCTATACCCCAGCTACCTTTCTCTGGCATTTCTGTCCCTGTCTTCATAGAAAACAGACCCTTGAGAGCTATACCACTAGTGATGGACTCAGCTGGGGAGGGCAGGCAGGGATACCAATCAGTGGAAGAAGAGACTGCAGGGCAGGGCCAGGAGCCGTCTGCAAGGGCAGCCTCAAGTTGCCACCCCCCAGGGCATGAAACAGTTCCAGCCCCAACCCTGGGGAGTCCCCAAGTGGACAGCTCCCAAAGCTCATGGGAGCTAGTGAGACCCCAAGTTCCATCCCAGCTGTCTGAGCTCGGAGGACCGCTGGGAAACAGCCCAGGGCTGAGGATGCCTCACTGGCCTCCTGTGGCCAGGGAGAAAGGACAGAGTGAGTTGGCTGTGTCACCAGCAGAAATGCCTAGCCTCTCCCAAGGCCCGCGTGCTACTCAGTGGGGATGGAACGCAGTACAGGCACAGCCTGAGGGCCGCCTCATCCTCCCTCCCTCCCCCTCAACGCCACCGGCTGCGCTGAAACACCTTTGTCCAGTGGCACCAACCCACAGCCCAGTTGCAGCCCTGTCCTCAGGAGGCTGTCCTCCTCCCGCAGAGCTGGGCTCCCCTTAAAGGGGCAGAGGGGAGGAGGCTGGGAGTAAGTGGAACTCAGTTCATGGGAGCGATGAACCATGCAGATGACGGTCCTGAGTGAGCCCTGCAGGAGCAGACGGCAGGAGCCAGGACTGTTCCACGTACAGAGGACAGGGGCAGCTGGGGAGGGGCTGGGGCTGCGGGGCAGGGCCACCATCCCCCAAATCCTTTAACTCCATGGCATCTACTGGACATCAGGCTTGGGGTCACAGTGATGAGGAAGACATGGTGCCTGCCACAGACTTCATGATACGGGGGGAAGAGAGGGCATACATAGCTGCTGTGAGATGGGCACTTGTGGGATGCAGGGGCAAGGAGGCCGGGTTTGGAGGATTCAGATGTCTTAAAGGTGGCCCCAGGCACAAGGCTCGAGACTTGTCCTGGGAGATCCCGACAGAGAGAGCTAGGCCCAAGGAGTGGGAGGGCAGAGACAGAGCTCAGCTGGAGATAAGAAAGCGCCGTTACCCAGGCCTTTCACACAGGCATGTTCTGTCCCGCAAGTATGAGGTGTATCACTGCCATCGCATACACAGGGACACCAGTTGGAAAAGCGCAGCAGCATGCCCAAGGTGGACCACGCTGCCCACAGCACCCGCACACCTCGTAAATATTAATATTTACCCAACACCTGCTCTGTGGGGTGCCGACGACTGTCATGCGACAATGAACAGAACTGATGAAACCTGGCCTGGACGGTTGCCCTTCCAAGCAGTCGGGCAAGCTAAACAAATGCCAGGGTGGGTAGCATGTGGGGAAGGGCCTCGGTGAGAAGCCAGCAGATATGGTGGGAAAGGCCTCCTGGGAACAGAGAGTGAGTGGGCAGTGCTGGGGAAGGCGGCCCGCTTGAGGGAGACTGGGCACAGGTCTGACCAGACATCACACTCAGGAAGGTAGGAGACTGCCTGCTGTTGGTACCGCCCGTAACAGCTGAGTCAGTCCGCAGTTCCCACTTGGTCCTGCTGCCTCGGTTTAACAGGCAGAAGAGTCTGAACAAGTCCTACAACAGAACATGCGGTCCCAAGAGGGACGCTGGCTTCACTCTCCACAGCTGTTCCCCAGCATGGTCTCTCAGGGGCCACCCGTTGCCAGGTCTCCCTCCTCAGCAGAAGCAGAAAACAGAGACCCCCCTGGACACACAGGCCAGCAGGCAGGTGCCCAGGCTGCAGGGGAGATGGGAAAAAGCCCCTGGTGAGGCTCCCTGCTGAGCCCCCACTTCCTAGCTTTCCTCTCATGACCTGGGGCCCTGGTCCTGCCTCAGGACACCTGCTGGGGCCTTCATGGCCAGGGTGCTGGTCTTCCCTGTCCTTCAAGGGCAAGGCCACTGGCACCTGCTTTCCAGGTCCTTCTTAGCAGCCTGGCCTACAGTGGCTTCCTCTCTCTTCGAGTCTCTATGGTACTTTTTTTTTTTTTTTTTTTTTTTTTTGGGACTACCCCTTGTGAAACAGGGCTCTCCCACGACACTGTGCCTAGAGGTTTTTTCTTTTTTTTTTGGTTTTTTTTTTTAAACTTTTAAAATAACCTTTTAATTTCAGAATAGATTCACATTTACAGAAAAGAAGACAAGAGTGTGTGAAGAGTTCTCCTACACCTCTCACCCAGTTTACCCTGTTATTAATACATCAGTGCAGTGCATTTGCTACAATGAATAAACCAATACTGACCTGTTATTAACTAAAGCTCACACCTCATTCAGCACAACTTGATTCAGGTGGCCTCAGCTTGCATCTACTGTTCTCCTGCTCCAAGATCCCACTCAGGACCCCACATCACATTAAGTGTCCTGTCCCCTGAGGCTCCTTTTGGCTGCAACAGTTTCTCAGACCTTCTGTGTTTTGGGTGACCTTGATGGTTTTGAGGAGTGCTGATCAGGTGTGTTGTAGACTGCACCTCAATTTGGGTTTGTCTGACGTTGTTCTCACGACTAGACTGTGGTTATGTGTTTAAGGGAGGACAACCATAGAGGTGATACCCCTTCTCTTCCCATCCTTCCAAGGCTTCACGACTGATCACTGTTGATGATGACCTTAAGTGCCTGGCTGGGGTCGTGCCTGTCAGTTTCTCTGCTGCAGAGCTGCTCCCCACCCCTGTGCTCTCTGGAAGGAAGTCACCACTCAACACGGAGTGGGGAGCTATGGCCATCTCCTTAAGTAAGGAGTAGCTGCATAAATAACCTGGAATTCTGCACAGGACATTTTGTTTCTTCTCTCCCATTTATTTATTTCTTTACTAAATGATTTCCTTATGCCAATACGGACTTGTGGATTTTATATCTTGTCTTAGTCTGTTTTGTGCCGCTATAAGGGAATACCTGAAGCTGGGTCATCTATAAAGAAAAAGAGGGTTATTTGGCTCACAATTCTGGATGGCTGGAAAGTTCAAGATTGGGGATCTCATCTGGGGAGGGCCTTGTGCTGCTCTACTCAGGGTGGAAGGCAAATGGGCGCTGGTGTGTGCAGAGATCACATGGTCAGAGAGGAGGGCGGGAGTGAGAAGGAAGCTGCCAGGCACTTTTTAACAACAAGGTCTCCAGGAAACTAACAGAGCAAGAACCCACTTGCTGCCCCGCCCAGGGCAGGGCACTGATCTACTCATGAGGGATCTGCCCTCATGACCCAAACGCCTCCCAACTAGGCCCCACCTCCAACACTGGGGAACACATTTCAACGTGAGGTTTGGAGGGGACAAACATCCACACTACACCATAATCCAACATTACAGTATTTATTTTGTTGCTCAAAGTGTTCCAGCTTTGGACACTGGGAGCTTTTCAGCCGGCTCCCATGTCCCCCTGACACACCCCCATCCGCATGTGCACCTGTGCAGCCTCAAAGCACTTCCTGGCATTGCAAGGTGCTTCATGTACCTTTAGGGTATATTTCCCGCCCCAGCCCTAGAATTGATCATTTCCTCCAGAAGCCCTGGTTTACTTTTATTGGAAAGTGCCATTAAAAATCAAGATCTGGATGGCAGGTGTGCTCATTGTTTCGCGGGTCTCACAGCTTCTAGGCCCTCTCCGCTAATGGAACAAGGAAATAGAGGTGTATATAACCTGGGCATACCACATATCTATAAACACTTCTCTCTGTATCCTTATGTATCTTTATTAAAGTCTCTATCAACTAAACACACTAGCACCTCCGTGGATCAGTCTAGCCTCCTTCCCTTGCCTGCCTGTTCCTTGTCACTGTGTGCAACAGTGGCTCCTGCCACCTGCCGTCCATTTACTTAACTGTTGAATCCCAGTACACAGGCATTGTGGTCTCAAAAGTGTCAGTACTCGTGTGAGAGAACTGCTTTCCCTTGCACACAGAGCCTATGTATGGCTCCTCTGGCCTCTTGGCTTGCAGACTCCACTCTACTGCAAAAGTGCACACTCCCTTTTACACCACTGTCTGGAAGTCCCTCTGGTGAATTCTCAGAGAAGAACCTGCAACGGTGCCCCATATACCCACGAGCTCAGCAGTGGGCAGAACGGATACTGATTGAATATTTTATACCTTCAGCATGAGTTTTTGAGACCTTTCCAAGGCATGTTTGGATAAGAAGGGAGGGGAACAAAGTGGCGAGGGTAAGGAGAGGACACAGAAGGAAAGGGAGAGAAGGGGGCTAAGGGCCCTTCAGCCTGTTTGAGCGCTTTCAGAAATCTGCGCACCACAGCCGGCGGGAGAAGTTGCACTGGAGAAGAGGCAGTGCTAGCATACAGGTGGGCGGAGTGCTGCCACTGGTGGCTTCAGATGGAGCTTCCTGTGTCCCAGCTTGCCTGGTCTCCAAGTCTGCCTGAGCCTGAGAGGGAGAGGGCGCTGCCATGCCACATGGTGTAACTGCCTTTTCTGCCCAAAGGCCTGCCAGGCAGATCTAGAGAAAACAAGCTGCTGTTTGCTGCAGTGAGACTGAAAGCAATGCAGCTGTGAGGCCCATAACATTCACCCGGCCCCACCCCCAGCACCCTCCCGGTCACCCCTGAGGGATCTACAGCAGGGAGAAGCAGCTTCAGGGGGCCCAGACCTCTCTAGAGGCTAGAGACAAAGGCCAGCTGGCTTAAAATGGAAGGTTTTAGAGCTTAAAGCAATGGTTCCAAACTTTTGCTGAATAATGTAATCACCTGGGAAGATTTCAAAATAGAGGTTCTATGCCCAGAGAGAGACTCAGATTTAAATTCTCAGATGTAGGGCTGAGGCATAGGAATTCTTAAAAGCTTCTCTAGTGATTCTAATGTTCAGCCAAGGCTGGGAACCACTGCCTCAAAGGGAGACCTTGATCTATATTTGATGCCAGAGGCTTGGCTCCGATGGCTGTCTGTCCCAGGCTGGCCACCCAGCTGTATTAAGTCACTTACAGCTTTTTGCTGGGCCAAAGAGGGCCTGATGAAAGCAAAGAAAGACAGAAGAGTGTGGAGACAAAATGCAGCTGTAAAGAGCCTGCTGGCAGTGGGGGTGAATGGACATGCTGGAGCTGCGATTATGATTCATAAAGTGCTTGGGGACAGTACCCTGAAAGGCCATGCCAGCCACAAGAAAACGAAACCCTCAGGCAGCCTGAGGGACAAGGCAGGAGGGAGGGCCATCCTTCTCCAGCAGGCCTGGGAAAAAGGGAGAGGTGGTGGCTGTGTCAGGCAACTGCTCTATCTACAGGGAAATGGCCCTTGCAGGTATGTGAGGCGGGACATGTGGCCAGGGCTCCGGGCAGGCCCCTGAGCAGCGAGCAACCTCTGCAGCCCTGGCCCTAAGCGGGCATACCATAGGTTCTCACACATGCACCTTCCTGCCAACCACTTACAGACACAGAGGGCAGCAGGCAGGCACAGAGGAACCCATGCAAGCTGGAAGCCCAAAGGACTTCAAATCACCTGCTGGGGAGAAACTTAAGATTCCAAACCAGCTAGAGAGATGGGAACTCAAGAACGAGCTCAATGCACAACAGGAATCTCTGGGTTTCCCCCGCCATCAGAGTCTCAGACACGAAGGGGACAAAGGAGGGTAGGGATTGCTCTCTAGCAGGGGATGTGCAGGACCAGCCTGGGCCTGTGTGCCAAATCCACCTGAATACAGGCCAGGCCACAGCCCTCCCTGTTGCGCCCCAGGACACTGAACTCCAGAGGAAGCTGCTGCGTGAGATGATGCAGGTGTCTCCCTGCACCAACAGTGTCAGGCTCACAAGGCACCTGCCAGCCCCAAGCCTTCTAAGGACAGGTCTTGTGCCCAAATGCCAGATGCCGGAGCAACCTGAATAGCACCCAGCCTCTGTCTGGCTCCTGCTCCCCACATCTACCCAAACCTGGCAGCAGCCTTGAAGTCCCCGCCCTGCCCAGGCTCTGAGGCTCCTTCCTGAAGACTCTTGTCTTCAGTGACTTTGTCACTGGGAGGAATTGGGCCTCCTGGCAGTAAGTCCAGAACCCTGAAAGAAGCTCTCTGGTGTTCTCAGAACTGATTCACAGAGAAAACCCACAAACACCAATCCACCCCCTCACTCTAAAGGGAGGGGCAGGGGGCTAGAGCCCATTAAATCCCGACACCCTCCAGGCTACGTTTCCAAAGGACAGGAGCAGAAGCTAAGAATAGACCAAATGTGTTGTAGATAAAACTTTCCTTGAGAAAGGGGTATGACATTAAGTTCCTCTTTGGCTTATTTTCTGCTTCCAAAGACTTCCCCACCCAATAAAATAATTATTAAGAACTGAGATCCTCTGCCAGCATTCCAGGAAGGCCAGCATCTGGGAAAGAAGTCGTTATCTTGGATGCTCTCATCTGCCTCTCTCCCACTGGGAATTCCCAATCTGCTTCTCAGAAATCCAACTTGTTATGGGAGCTTTGCATCAACAGTGATGTTTGAAGACCTATCCTTCTAGCCTGCCACTCCTACCTTGTCCTTCCAAGGTTGGGAAAATGTAGTTGGTCAGTTATGATGGCATAGTGGTGATTTCCTTCCATGTGTGGCGTCTTTTTTCCTTGTGTTCAGCCCTGACCCACCCATCCTCTGAGACTGACCTGCCTCCCAGACTAAACAGCTCTGCATCCCGGATCTCTCCAGCAGGCCTGGCCAGCCTTCACCAGTCAAAGCCACTGAGGGACTCAGGAAGATCCGGTTCTGGAAGGAGGAGAGGAAACACTATGTGGATTCTGTCTGGTGGGCACTGTCCAGGTCTCAAAGCACCAAGCTCTGTGGAGGGCAGGCTCCAGAGCGCTCTTGCTGCCCTCTCTCTGAAGTGGTGGAGGCTCAACTCTTTCAAGATCACAGGTTCTGCCCACGCCAGGCATGGTGTGTTCCTGCTGCTGCCTGCCCAGGATCAAGTCCTCTGGGCAGAGGGGCTTCTACAAGTCGACCACAAAGAGTGAAGCAGCAGAAACACCAAGACACAGACTCCCTGGAAAAGACCAAGAGTGTAGGAATCCAGTTGCCTTTCACCCATTCAGTCACTCAGTAGAAAACGGGGTACTGAGCACCTCTGCTGTGTTGGACGCCGGCAGGGCTGAGAAAGACATGGTGGTGAGGCCACCCCGTGCCTCACTGCAACACTGCAGACACTTCGCCCTGGACAAGCTCCCACACCCACCTGGAGATGCCGTGCTCTGAGATCCCTCAAAGCCACTGAGGGACTCAGGAAGATCCTGATCATGGTACTGGCTACACAGGTGTGCTTAATCTGTGAAACTTCATCAAGCTGAACCTGGGATGCACATGTTTTTTTGTCTTACGGCTTGCCACAATAAAAGGTTTCTTTAACATGCCTCCCTTTGAGTGGCAGATGTCCTATATGGGGTAGGAAAAACTATTTTAAAGATCAAAACCTTAACCTAATCCTAACCCTAAATAAAGATCAAAACTATTATAAAGATCAAATCCTTGAAAGGAAGGCCCTGCCTAGGCCACCAGGCTGGTAATGGCTGAGCTGGAATTAGGGCCCAAATCAGACCCCCTTCCCATAGTCCTGGAGTCACACTGTTTCCAGGGAACAGCCCTCACTGAAAAGTATCTCATTACAGGACGTCGGATAATCAGAGACAGCGTCTCTCACACCACCACCAGTGAGTGACTGCCTGCCCTCCTCTGCCTCAGTGGCCTGACTCAGTGGCCAAGGGACCCATCCATCTCTGAGGTGAGAGCTTTCCTGTCTTGACTGGTCTCCAAGACAAGGTGAACAGGGACCTCACCTCTACCTCCTTCTTAGGGGGCGAGAACAGTACTGCCCCAGTCAAGAGGAGCACGGGGGAATGGAGGGGTCCCCACCCAGTTTCAAGACCGACTCCGCCTCCCTAGGAGTATGGATGTAGAAAGATATGTGACCCCACAATAGCAATGGGCAACCCTGGACTCTTAGGAGACTGTTGGCCAGAGAGCAGCAACAGGGGCTGCCTGGGGGTGCTGGCTGAGGCCTGCAGTGAAAAAGCCCAAGAGCATCCCTGTTGGGCCCTCGACCTGCCCCACCACGAGGGTGGGTGAGACATGCTGTGGGACAGCAGGCAGTGCTCCCTGCCCTGGGAGAAAGCGATGCCCATCCCAGGTTCCATCGAATGGAATTAGTGCCTACTTGAGGATGAACAACAAAAGTCTATTTGTAGGCTTCTGTGTGTGGTTTATATAACCCTAAAGTGGACTGTGACAGGGAAGACAGGAGAAAGCAGCAAACACGCCCAGTGGATACCTGGGACCACTCTACCAAAGCACCTGGAAGCAACAAGGCCCCTCTCAACTCCACCACATGCCAACCACCCTCCCTAAACCAAGAAGAATCCCAACAGAGAAACCTGAACAAGTGCCCACACTGGGCCCCAGAGTGGGCTCAGGGAAATAATGAAGAGGGGTCTTAAGGACAAAGCTGGTGGCCCATACCACTGAGCCACAGGCCCATGCTTTTATGAAAGATGGAAGGGAGACTGGAAGCGTGGGTGCTCCGAAGGGAGGCAGCGGCTCCCTGCAGCAAGCTAGCTGGCACAGCACTGAGACCTCGTGGGTGGCTGAGGGGGAGGCAAGGAGCAGACGCAGCGGAAAGAAAACAATTGGGGCTCTGTCTCTCTGTGACACAGGACAGGTACTCTGCTAGCAGCCAGGGGAAGGTGACAGGGACAAAAGGAAGGACGGAGAAACGGTTCTGCCTTCACGGCTCCCCACCAGGCTTGAACACAGCCGTGGACTGGTCGGGAGGAAGGAAGGATGAAAGACACGGCCACCCAGCTGGCAGGAACAATCCTTGCCCACCCTTCATGCCACATCTCCTCAGGACACAGAAGCAATTCTCTACCAGGAAGGGGACAATGAATTCTGTTAGTTCACCAAAAACTCGCTCATGGCCAAAGGTTCTATGCAGCAGCACCCCACGGTCATGCAGCCTGGTACACTGCTGTATGCACATCCAGAAAACAGACACTCACGTCCACACATCAGGAGCGCTGGCACCATGTTAGATGGTGCAGGCACATGGTCACATAGCAGTGGGACGACTCAGACTCTCTAGGCCTCAGTTTTCCTCATCTGTATAATGGAGGTAAGCATGAGGCCTATTCCCTAAAGGCTGTCACAAGAATTAACTGAGAGTGTTTACGAGCACTTAGTGTCTGTGTCACATGAATATCTGACACAAATCAAACAGACATTATTCATTACCATCTTAGTTTTATCCTGAGGAAATGGGCTCACACGCCATTCCCAGAGCCACCAGGGACACACAGAGTTCCTTTCCTTTGGGAAAAAGCTAAATGATGACTGTTCCCGAGAAAACACCTGGTCTCCCATCCTAGGAGATATCTCACTGCTAAAAAGGAACAAAGAGGCTTTACTCGAAGGTTTGGTTCTTCGGCTTAAAATAAAGTGAGGGCATCAAAAGTGAGAGAAATCATGTGCGAAGGGCCATCATCTGAGGCAGGATGTAGGACAGCATTTTTAAAACCAATCTGTTTTCCTGCAGAGAGTAATGCTTCCATCTTTTTCAATACTCTTTTCAGCCCCCACCCCTGATGTCCTGATATAGCAGATAAAAGGGGGAGATCTTATTAGGAAGGAACCAACATCAATGCTGACAACCCACTGGAAATTACTTAAGAGACAGAGCAGGGGCCTGGGAAGGGGCAGTTTTTTTTAACAGCAAAAGCCTCCGTCTCCTGCAAAAACAAATCTGCTTTGGTCAGGGCATGAACTTCAGCTCTTTCCACGTAAAAAGAGAAGGCCAAACAGAAGGATCAAAGCACAAGGTGAGCTGGTTAAGCTCCACCAGGACCTCCAATTAGGCAGCTTACTAAAAATAGCAGCCGCTGCTCCCAAAGAGCCACTGCAAGATACCCTCACGGCTGCCGGCCCTGGGGTCTGAGCTGCTTTCCCAGCAGTGCTGATGGGGACACATGGCTGGGGACAGGGCCAGCTCCTGGTGACAAGCCTGACCTCCTTAGCTCCACACGTCACCAATGCTTTTTTCCATACTTTCACCAGAGCGCATCTGACATAACCTCCTCATCTTACAAAGACCCCATGGCCAGAGTGGAAGTGACTTAATCTGTGGCTGCCTGAACTGCCTGGGCCTTCTGACTTAGTCCAGTACTCGCTCCACCACACCACTCTGCCTCAAGGGAGACAAGGCCTTGGCATGGAGGAAACAGGCTAGCTGTACCTGGAGGCTGGCACACATGAGTCTTCCAACCCCCAGCACTCTCACACTTGTGTCAAAGTACATGAGGCCTGCATGCAGCATCAACTCTTGGAGCCCATGCCAGACAGAAGTGGTTACAAACGGGACAAACAGAGGTCCACCCCCAGAAGGGTGCAGGTTTGGCTGGGTAAGGGCAGGAAGAAGAATTACATGGAGCTGCCTGTCCACAGTGTCGACCTCAACGTTGCCCAGCAGGGCCCTAACCTTTCAGATGTTTCCTTCAGAGTCCTCTGTGGACAGGTGTCCACTAGCTGGGCTGGAACTGCAGAAGACAGGGAGGGTGGGTGTGCTGCCAGCAGATGCCACCTGGGCCACAGAGTGAGGGGTACCTGTGTCAGCCCAGGCCTGGCCTCTCTTGGGGGTGTGTATACCAAGCGCATGGGACATGAGACATGGCCATCTCACTACCTCCTTAATGACCCTGAGGAGGGGGCTGTCACCACTGCACAGGTGAGAAAGTGGCTTAGCCAAGGCTGCTCCACTAGTCATGGGTGGACCTGCTCGCACACTCCACACGTGCCCTGACGATCACCTGCCCCATCACAATGACCTGGCAGAGAAGAAAGCCTGACAGCTCCGCACTGCACCAGCCCTTTGGAGGCCCAGGTGTCTCAGCACTGAAGGGGCAGCAGAGGGATTGGCTTTCTTGGCATCTCCCACAATGCCTGGCACAACATAGAGTACAAGGCAGGTGCTCATGTAGGCCAAAGGAGAGGCAAGGGCCTTGTACACTTGGGGAGCTGATGGTATAGCCCCCTTCCTGGCCCAAGGCCTGGCCTTGACTATGGGTAACGCAGACAGGAGTGGCCCATAAAGACAGGAAGGGAGGCTGGGTGCGGTGGCTCATGCCTGTAATTCCAGCGTTTTGGGAGGCCGAGGCAGGAGGATTGCTTGAGTCCAGGAGTTTGGGACCAGCCTGGGCAACATAGGGAGATCCTGTCTCTATTTTTAAAAAATAAAAAAAATTAAAAAAAAAAATGAAGATAGGAAAGGAAAGCCTAGAAGCCAGAGGACTACACCCACCTGGACGTTTCCTCTTCCTCAGCCCCCAGCTCCCTGCGGGTGACATTTGAGCCAAGGGTAAGCCAGCCCTCTTTTAGGCCAAGCCTGACCTCCTGGACATCAGGATGTAGAGCCAAGGCAGGCAGGCTTTCTGGGCATGGCTTGAAGGCAGCCCATGGCCTGGAAAGGGCACTTGAACTGCAGCTGCCTGAGCAGTCTGCAAACCTGCCACAGGAGCCATAGCAGTACCTACCCTACGGGCCTTTTCCATTCTATTTCTAGAACTCTACCCTCAGGAAACAATTCCCCAGGCAGGAAAATATATACACAACTGAAGTCCTCACTGCTGTCTACACTACTGTTTAATGTTGCTGAAGGTTTTTCTTTGAAGTAACTATATATATATTTTTTTTGTTGTTGTTGTTTAAAAAAAATTTTTTTTGAGATGGAGTTTCACTCTTGTTGCCCAGGCTGGAGTGCAGTGGTGCAATCTCAGCTCACTGCAACCTCTGCCTCCCGAGTTCAAGCGATTCTCCTGCCTCAGCCTCAGCCTGAGTGGCTGGGATTACAGGCGCCTGCCACCATGTCTGGCTAATTTTTGTATTTTTTAGTAGAGATGGGGTTTCATCCTGTTGGCCAGGCTGGTCTCGAACTCCTGACCTCAGGTGATCCACCTGCCTTGGCATCCCAAAGTGCTGGGATTACAGGTGTGGGCCACCAGGCCCGGCCTTTTCTTTCTTAATATCCGGATATAACATTACTGAAATGTTAAACTCTGCTTCTTAACCAGTTGGCAGGTGTCACTGGGCCTGAGACCAGGAAGATACTTTATTGAGGGTGAAGCAAGGCTCTCCCTTGCTCAGAGGGCCACACAAGCATAGCAGGACATGGCAGAAGGTTCCCCTGCCTTCTCCCCAACTCTTAAGATAAATTCCCTGAGTGAAGCAGAAGGGTGGCAGAGAAGACAGGATATAGCGCTCCACTGAGTTCTGGTTTAAATCCACAGTCATCCTAAAAAACTGTTCTTATTCTCCCCATTCTACAGATGAGGAAATTTAGGTTTAGTGAGATTGCAAAACTGTTCAAGGTTAGCTAATGCAGTGGTCCCCAAACTTTTTGGTACCAAGGACCACTTTTGTGGAAGGCAGTTTTTCCAGGGCCACAGGGAATGGATGGATGGTTTCAGGATTATTTAAGCGCATTACATTTACTGTGCACTTTATTTCTATTATTATTACATACTCACCATAATGTAGAATCAATCAGTGGGAGCCCTGAGCTTGTTTTCCTGCAACTAGATGGTGCCATCTGAGGGTGATGGGAGACAGTAACAGATCATCAGGCATTAGACTCTCATAAGGAGCACACAACCTAGACCCCTTGCATGTGCAGTTCAGAACTGGCTTCACGCTCCTATGAAAATCTAATGCTGAAAGAGGTGGAGCTCAGGCAGTAATGCTAGCTCGCCTGCCACTCACCTCCTGCTGTGCAGCCCAGTTCCTAATAAGCCATGGACCTGCCTGGGCACTGGGGACCCCTGAGCCAACAGATGGCAGAACTGAAATACACACACACACACACCAATTCATGTATTTTCTGACAAAGTGCTTGAAGACAGACTAATCCAATTTCGTTTGTTTTGACTGGTTCGACAAGGGGGAAAAAGCCCAGCTTGAAATGAGCTGTGAGTCTGGCCTCTGTACCCTGGACTCACTGGGTCAGCCGTGCCATGCTCTCCAAGCCAGACTGAACTTGGTGATTCAGGAAGGGCATTGAGGCGCTCTGGAAACCTTGGATCTCAAGTCAGAATCTCTTTGGAATGGGGAAGGTAGGCTTCCAAATTAACGTGTTTCCAAGTCAATTCTAAATCTGTACCCTTCTATTCAACCCGCCGTCCAGGACAGCTATAGTGCAGGGTGGAGCCTGGTCAGAGCCACCAAAGGACCTCCAAAAGGTGGGCCTCCCCACCCAGCGCCATCCCAGGAGGAGACCACCACACAAGGATAAGTGTCCCCTTGCCTGCCACGAGTGACATCAGGTGGAGATGTCCCATCTGATTCTTCCTGGAAAACATCTTTTGATCTTTGTGCTTACCTATTTTCACAAAATGTATAATTTTTACAAAATTTGTACAAGACATATGTTAGTTTTATAATTGGGAAAAACACTTGGGACAGCAGACCATTTTCATGGCATCTACTCTCTTGCATATGACCACTCCTCTTGACTTGAGATCAAATCCAATCTTTATATATTTTTTATTGTCTACATTTTTTTTAAAAAAGAGATGGGGTCTCCCTGTCTGTCTCCCAGGCTAGACTGCAGTGGTGCAATCAAGGCTCACTGCAGCCTCCAACTCCCAGGCTCAAGCGATCCTCTGGCCTCAGCCTCCCAAGTAGCTAGGACTATAGGTATGCACCACCACATCCAGCTAATTTTCAAAATTTTTGTAGAGACAGCGGTCTTGCTATGTTGCCCAGGCTGGTCTTGAACTCCTGGCCTCAACTGACTCTCCCACTTTGGCCTCCTGAGTCACTGTGCCTGGCTCTTGTCTACATTTTAGCTACAGGTTTGCTTCACTTTAAGGACTCTTAGTAGGAAAATTCAAAGTTGCAAGAAAAGTGAACCAAAGGAGGACTTTTCACATTTCCTCATGGGTTTTCACAAAAAGCTGTGACCGCCTATTAAGTGAATTTAGATGCAACTCAGTAACCCTATAGGGAGGTGCTGGACCCTACAAGGCTGCAGGACTGGTTGGCCCAGCAAGAGCCTGGAAAGAAGGGGACTGCAGAGGACGGGGAGTGTGTCCAGGGAGGAGGGAGGGAGAAGCAAATGGCTTTCAGCTGGCTCTTCTCGGCTGCTATTTGCAATGTATGTGCCTTTGACATGGCTATTTTTGGGTTTCTGAGTAGGGGAAAATGAAAGAAAAGAAGCCTTTTGCACATCGACCCTTTGCCCTAGCCCACCCTCCTCCCTCCAAAGCCCCTCTAGGGGATGGTGGAAGCAGATCCTTGCGTATTCTTCATCCCCCACCCCACTACCCCCTGCTTTTGGAATATCTGTAGGCCTCACCCACGTGCTTGTCTCTTTATACAGAGCTGGGAAAATGTGGAGATAAATAAAGCCTCTATTAGGCAGGCATCCAATGCTGGGGGGTGGGGCAGGGAGGGGTCTGAGGCTCTGTCCCAATCTAGGAATGCCTGAGAAAGCTCCAGGGGCCTCAGGCAGCCTGGAGGTTGGAGGCTTCCCACAGACTCCTTTTGCCTGTGCTGACCAGGCGTGGCTGGGGCTTGGGAGCCCTGGGAGCCAGCTTCTTTCCCACCGGGGACCCACAGCAGGGCCTGGCTTCTCTTGGCCATCCCATATGCAGAGGGGAGAAAGGGGTTCTTGCTCTTTTCCCCTTCCTTCTTTCTCCTGGATTCCCTCCTCCGAGTGTGGGCCTGCACCGATGCCACGCCAGCCCTCCGGACCCGACAAAGGCAGCCCTACCCTTTCAACTCTGGAAACTCAGCCTTTCGTATTTATTCCGTTCTAATCCTGTCAAGAGAGGGAGATCTCATTTCCTCCCCTAGCCGAGGGTCGGGGGAGAGAAGTGGGCTCTGTGGGGACAGGCCTGGGTGGGAAGAGGCTTGCAGATATTTTTAGAGACATGGGAATTAGGCAGGCAGGGGCCTTCTGGAGCTGGAAACAATTCCAGTCCCAATTCCAAAAGGCCAAATGGGTGGTGGAGAGTGAGGGGCCTTGGAGGTGGAGTGGGCAGGCGCAGGTTCTGGGGAAAGAGGTTGAGGCTGAGCGCTGAGCTCCCTGGAGCTGCTTTACCTTTCTTCCTGCTGCCAGCGGTTTCCTCGCTTATCAAAAGGTGCGTGAATGCCACTACTTGGCATTGGAACCCTGGTGCCTGGCCCCAGCAGGACACCCCCAGCAGCCCACTCTTGGCAGAAGCAGCGCAGGGAGGCAACATGGCAGGTGGATGAAGGCCCATCACCCCCAGCTTCCTTTGCTGCTGGCTCTGGTTTGATAGCAGAAGAATGACACAGGATCTAAAATAAGATTTTTTCAATTATCTGCAGGCTTCCAATGGGTCAGGCTACCTCGGTTCTCAAAGACCACAAACTTAGTCTTAAACATCTGTGTGGTGCCTCACTCAAAAAGCTTCTCTCAATAGCCTCTGGAAAAGTCAGACAAATCTGGGGGTAGGATGTGGAGAAAGGAAAATTGAAAGGAAAGTGAGAGACCCTGGGTGCCTCCTGCTGCTGTTGGGAGTGAGCCAGTTCTGGACAGAGGTAACTATCAGCTGTCTCAAACATGCTTGCACCTCTGCACTGGCAACATTACTTCCAGGAATGTTCTCTGAAGCATCATATTAAAAAAGTAAAAATCTGAAAACAACTTGGATGTCCGAAAGTACAGAATAAAGGAATCAAATACAGCCACCCAATGGAATGGGGTGTAGCTATTAAAGACCATGCATAGAAGGATAGGAAAGGAATTGTGAGATAGAATTTGTTTTGTTTTTTTAAGAGACAGGGTCTCCCTCTGTCACTCAGGCTGGAGTGCAGTAGTGCAATCCTAGCTCACCGCAGCCTGGAACCCCTGGCTTCAAGCGATCCGCCCACCTTGGCCTACCACAGTGTTGGGATTACAGGCATGAACCACCATGCCTGGCCAGAATATTCTTATTAAAAATAACTGGTTTATTTAAAAATTATTGTTTTTAGGTCTTACATAAGCACATAAATACACATCATAAGAGAATAGATACATAACCACAATATGAACCGATTTTTACCTCCGTGTGGGGTTTAATAGGCAATTTTGCTGCATGATTTTGTTTCCCCAAATTTTCACCATGAACTGATTTTACTTCTGACATTAGGTGGGGGAATCACTGCTTCTTCAGCCCCTCTGCTTTGGCTGATCCTGCCTTTTGCATGTGACACTCCCTTCCTGCTCCACACCCCAGAATGTTCCTAGATTGTTCTTCCCCAGGGAGTTGCAAGGCTGCCAGCCTGGCTACGATAGCCGGGCAGGCACGTGTGCCTGTCTCAGTGCTTATGCTCCCTGCGATGGCTGGCCCCTTGGTCTTCCCAGCAGCCGACGAGATTCTAGAAGACAAGGATGCTTTTTCATATTTATTTTCCACCTCTGAGCCCCTCTGAGGCACACAGCAAGGCAGCAATGGGTGAATGAATCCAAGCTCCCTTGTGGTTTCCCCAGGCCCCAAGGAGAGTCACTGGGAAGACATCTGGAGTGAGGAAAAGGAAAATATATTAGTGCTCTGAGGCCCTGGGTAAGGACAGGGCTGAGCCCCAGATCTGCCTGATGGTATTGCTCAAGGCAGCCGGAGTATCAGCTGTGGAACCTGCCCAGTCAACAACAAGGGTCTTATTGTTAGTCCCAGGTAGGTGATTGGGCCCCATCAGTAAATGGCCTTATTCACCAGAGGGAAATGAGATAAACTGTCTCCTCTCCCTCCAACCTTTCTGGAACAACAGTCATCATTAACCCTTGGGTTTCCAACCAGAAGAATCTGGAATTTCAACTATTTATGAAAGTATCTTTTCCTCATAAAATTTTCTCCAAGGTACTGGAGCAAATTATAGATGGTACATTTAATGCAGGATGCCAACACACACAGGTCCCCTGGCAGGCATGTGCATTGACTCTGAGACACACACACACACACACACACACACACACACACACACACACACACACACACACCCTGCACACACACACACCCTGCCAAGCACAAAGAGCTACACAGGCCCAGACCAACAATATGACCCACACAGGGGACAGTGTGGGAAAGGACAGGGAACAGTGGCATGGAAACAGGTGGGTACAAGGCAGGCACGATATGCCCATGATGGACACCAACACGTGTCGACAGGCTGCGGGCCAGTTCCTGACACACAGAGGGGCCTCCAGTTAAACACAGGTGACTTAACACACCAGAATGTTCAATTGCCTGCTAAAACCCTAATTAATATGACCATAAAGTGTGTGTGGGGGGGAGGTATAAACTCTCAAGGATGAAAAGCTGGAGAGGAGACAAGAGCAGATATAAGATATCAAGTAAACTTTGAGTGGGAAGTGGCTGGATACATGGAAAGTGGCCTGGTGGCATGGAAGAAGCTTCCTGAGGACAGCTAGGAGGAGGCAGGCTGGCACTGCTGCAGACACCAGAAAGCTCAGGGCCTGGGGGCAGAGGGGACTCCAACAGCAGGGGCAGGGCTGAGAGCAGGAGAACTGATCAGCACCCGTACAAGGGCAGGCAGATCCCAGGGCTTGGCTCTGGCCAGAGAATCCTATATACTGACCAGCACGGAGGGTTGCCCTAGGAGGGCCCCTAGAGTCAGGGGCAGCAGGCACAGCTGAGGGGGCAGGGGAAGTAGGGGTGAAGGACTAACAGCAGGAAAAGTCCAAGAAAGTCTGCATCCTAAAAGTTGAGTCCCTCATCCCAAGCCCTTCTGCTGCCCACAGGTCTTCCTAGATTGGAGATGAGAGAATTCCTATCAGGGGAAACCAACAAGCCCAAGAGAAAGACCTCCTAAAACTGTCATTCTCCATGTAATGGAGACGAGAGGGCTCGTACGTGCGGACATTCTAGGGTCTCTCCCAAAACAAACTGGTGCCCTGCCTGCCTGTCCTTCTAAGGCAAAGCCTGCCAGTCGATATTCCTACACGCACCCCATATACACACACAGCCTCCTTCTGAAGGGTCGCCACTCATTCGAGAAAGCCCAAGACCATAACAAACAGAAAGGGAACTAGGAGAATGAAAGTCAGACCAGAGACAGAATACAACTTCAAAATAACTGAAATGATTAGAGAAAGTACTGCACCCATGAAACACAAACAGGATGCTACAAAAGAGGACACACGGAAAACAAAAAACAAGCTCTAAGAAATTAACAATTCAATAGGTGGAATCAGACCCCAACAGAAGGGTTAGAAGGCAAGGTTAATGTGATCTCAGGCAAAACGAAGCCACAGAAAAAGACAATAAACTTAGAGAATCGAGTCAGAAGGAGTAATAGCCAAATAACAGGAGTTTCAGAAGTAAAGACCAGGAAAAATTTTAAAAAAAAATTACCAGGATGGGCACAGTGGCTCACTCCTGTAATCACAGCACTTTGGGAGGCCAAGGTGGGCAGATTGCTTGAGTCCAGGAGCTTGAGGCTGGCCTGGGAAACATGGCGATACCCCCATCTCTACCAAAAATACCAAAATTAGCCAGGCATGGTGGCACATACCTGTAGTCCCAGCTACCTGGGAGGCTGAAGCAGGAGAATCATTTGAACCTGGGAGGCGGAGGTTGCAGTGAGCCAACATTGTGCTACTGTACCTGGGTGACAGAGCGAGACTCCATTAAAAAAAAAAAAAAAGACAGTGAAGAGAGGAGAGGGATGAGTTAAAAAAGAAAGAAATTACCAGAGGAAGAAAATATAAGACACACTCTGGACTAGAAGGTCAGAACTTCCCACACTGAAATATACACAAGCCTCTAGCTTAATAAAACAAAACAAATCCACACCAAGGCATATCTTCATGAAATTTTAGAACTCAAGGGATAAAGAGAAGCTCCTGAAAGTTTTCGGAAGGAAAATTCAGTTTATTTGCAAAGGATCAGGAATCAGACCCTTGCATATGAACTTCTCAATACCAATGATAAAGTTAAAAAATGAACACCACCTTCAAAATTCCAAGGAAAATTAGGTCCCATCTAACATTCTACAGCCAGTCCAGCTCCTGGTCAAGAGTGTGCACAGGACAGGCATCCTGAGACAGGCAAGGCCACAAAACCTTTCCTCCCTGTGCATTTCTCAAGAGGTTTCACCAAGTGAAGTAAACCAAAAACCAAAAAACAAACCAAAAAAAACCCCACAAAAACAAAAACGAACAAACAAAAAAACAGGTGGGGGAGAAGGTGGAAGAGAGAGAGAGAAAGAGAGAGAGGCTTCCCAGGATGATGGGGAAGGTCAAGCCCAGATGGAGAGCTATGCAGCAGGTCCAGAGGACAGCCAGAGTCAGTCTGGAACGTGAGGACGGCCAGCTCTGTGAGTAACATTACCAGGAAAAACAAGGGTAGCTGGGTAGGAGCAAGGAGCCAGGCCGATGAAAGAGCTAAATCCTATCTGTGGTGTATAAAACCAATAGATAATATCTTCTAAAACTCAAGAAGTAGCAGTAAAAACCAGTTATTTACAAACACAGAGGTAGGCACCGGAGTATTCTGGCTAGAAGAGCTGAAATGGCTTCCTCTGGGAACAGGACTCAGGAGTAAGAAGAAATGGAGCAGAAAACTCTTTTAGTATAAGCTTTGTGGTTACATATCTGACTTTTTGAACTACTGTACATACACTATTTTGAAAAAACAATTAAAGCCCCTCATTGCCTTTAAAATTCCCATCTGGCCCATTTTCAACCTTCACATATATCAGGGAGCACAGTAAGATCCAAGGGTAACTATTGCATGATAGGGAGAGAAATGGGTAAATCTTATGTAATCCCCCTGCCCCGGAAAAAATAACAACAACAAACTACTGCCCCACTATCACACCAATGAGAATACAGAATAAGTTTTAAGGGTCTGAGAGACTGCTCCCAAGGTCCTCAGGTCAAGCATTTTACACTTCTCTTTAGGTGTGTTTATACATAAAATTCTTCATTGGAAATAAAGATTGTTTCCCTAACTCCTAGGTCAAACTCCTCAGACAGGGCATCCAATGCAGGAGAGTTCATGCAGGGACTATGCGAAGATCCTTTCCAAGCCTCCAAAGTTGTTACAATTCAAACACTTGACTTTGGGGGAAATAGGATGTTTCAACCAAATGACTGATGTGTTCTAAAATTAGGCAAATGCTTTTTTCCCAGCCAGGAAAAGGCTAACAATATATGAAGGAAACCAGCATGGCCGTTGCCACCCGTTTATCCAAAATTCAAATGTGTTACTCTAAGGCTAGACTTCTATGCAACAGCCCTCTTACCCCTCCCCACCCTTCAAATTACTGCACAGTCCACCTCACAGCACCCAGGACTTCTCAAATGGCTGGTAAGTGACAGAACAAACAGTAAATGCACACTTGCACGTCTATTCCTTTCCATCGACAACTGACCCCTGGTGTGGCCGGGGCGCTCTCCTCACCCAGTGGGGGCCACGACAGAAGGGCGAGGCTGTGGTCCTAGAACACAAGTTGGATGTCCTTTGACATTACCTACACCTGTGTTTCCCTGCAGAGTCTCTGTAGGAGACAGAGAGAGAGAGAGATAGAGAACAAGGGTGAAATGACCCCAGGAGGAAAACTTTACTCCCCTTTCCTGCTCTGGAAAGGACAGGGCTTGCATTTACTTCAGCAACAGACACACAGTGAAGGAGCTCAGCGCAGGGTCTGATCCCATGGGCTGCAGGAGACAGAAAACGTGAATAGAAGCAAGCAAGGAGAAAGAAAAGGATGAGGGAAGCCTTCGGGAATTCCCACCAACTGGGCTCTGGCCTCTCCGTCCCCCACTCCCACTCTACTAAGAAGGGAGGGGCTAAAGATTAGAAGTGTCCACCTACCTAACCTGACCCTCGAGGACGCAGCTGTCACAATGACATATTCTGCACATCACAGTGCCTAGCACAAGTCAAGCAGATGACCAAACAGTGTGCACCTGACATATATTCACAGCCACTCCCCTTCCCTAAAATTCTAGCGCTGGACATTTAACACGACTATAACACGCCTCAGACCATGAGAAAGAGGAAGCTGAAGTCTGGCCACATGGATGATGTGAATGAGGCTGACACCTGTGGCTCTAGCCATCTGCCCCACTTTGTAGGGCTTACACCACCCATCTTTGGAGTGGGGAGAGGATGCCATGGGGAATATGGTGGAAGAAGCGACAAGATGGTACAGGCAGTCAAACAAAGCAAGCCAGGCAGGGCCCAGGGAGTTAAGGGGTTGTTCCCACAGAGGGCCCTGGCCTGACGCTGGGCTCCAGCACCCTCCTCTAGTGTGGGTCGCCATAGCATCACCCAAAAAGAGCACAAGTCCATTTGCAACAATATTCAACTGGACCTCTCTCCCAGATGTCGATGTTTATATAGAATGCTGCCAGGTCCACTGGAGTGGGGCTGTTTTCCTAATCTTTTCTCGTGGAGCACAAATAGTATTCTCTTCTCCATCTCGGAATGGAGGCCCCAAGAAACAAGAAACCCAAGGCGTTCTTGCAACACACATCCCACCTCTCCCACTGCAAGTCCATGTCTCTCATCACAGCCTCTCACCCTCCCCATTCTTTGCACCCTCGGTTTTTCCTGAGGGAGAGCCGCACCAACCCTGCCTCTTTAAGCAGGGCCGGGAGGACCGCAAGGGATGTGATGTAGTGAAAAGGGCACTGGAAAAGGGTCGGCTGTCCAGCCATGGTTCTGGGACAACCAGCCGCATGACCCTGGACAACACATTCCATTCAGCCCCCAGTCACCCAGCACCTAATACGCACGAGAGCATCTGCTGGGCTGAGCCTTGAGGAGTGTCTCTCTTGGTCGCTCACTGCTCGCTGACAACTGCCCTGTTCACACCAATCCGGGCAGGGAGGGATGCTGCACGGAGCAAGCGGCATCTGTCTCTGAAGCCTACTGGGAGTGATAGTGGGGACCCTGCCTGCCCCCTGGGTCTCAGTTTCCTCATCTGTCAAAGGTGAGGGCTGGACTAGATGATGTCCCCAAAGACCCTCCTTCCCAGACCACCCCACACCTACCGTTCTCATGGCCCCTTCAGATACAGCTAGAACGGCCTCTGGGTCCGCTGCTGGGACCAGAATATATGGTCGTCCTCGGTGGGTCTCTTGCTGAAAACCCACTGGAAGTCAGGGCCAGGCAAGCATGTCCTCCATATCCAGGTGCAAGTCAAACCCCACCCCCTCCCCAACCGCCCCCGAGATCTTCAAACCTCAGCTGTCTTGGGGGATGAAGCCAAGAGGACTCCTGGCCCTGTGTTCCCCTGTGGCCGGCACGCTCCACAGGTATTGGCCACCTGACAGCGTTAGGGCCCATCACTTGGCAGAGGTGTAAATACCTGCTCCAGTTTATCCTGGCATAGCCGAGATCTTCAAACATTAACCAGGTAAGGCTCCAAAACCTTCAGGCTAGGGCGTGTCTGGGCCCCAGCTCACAGAATGGGAATGGAGCCAGAGTAGCTCCACCCACCAGGTCTCCAACCTGTGGCTCAACGCAAAACCCCCAGATCGCCCAGAAAAACCCTGATTTTGGGCAAGTTACTGCTCTCCTCATGCGACCATTTTCAGGATTAAATGCAAACACAGTGAGGACGCTAGCACTGTGGTTTGTGTGTGATTTCTTTTTACCTCTACACTGATCACAGACGCTTGCTGGTTCCAAAAACTGTACTCAGTGTCCAGAGGAAGTGAGCCTTGGACTTTTGCCCCAAGACAGCCACTGCACCCTGCAGACAGACGGCCAACACCACTGATGAACCCCAACACCACTGCTTCTCAGCTGGGCCCTGGGCATCACAAAGCATTCCCCAGCCACCAGGTGCAACCCTGGTGGGCTCAGAGGAAGACAATGACTCACTGCTTATTAGACTTTGTGGAGCAGCCCATCTACCACCCTTCCATCGAGGCAGAGGAACAGACAGAAGCCCAAAAGCAAGCATTAGCTACATGAGGACAGGGGACGGGTTGGGGCCGTAAGACCCTTCTGCCCCTGCGGGACAAGCCTGCCTTAGTGCGGCTGGTTGGAGGTAGGTCACAGCTGGGACTGCACAGTCCTTCAGAGCCTTGTGGCTCCAGGGAGTCTCTCTCCTCCTCCACCTGCTCTGTCCCTGTTCCTTCACCTTCGTGCCCCAAGGTCTTGGTCTGCAACACCATGCCTGTCTGCACCTCACACGTGAGAAACACAAAACCAGTCTCACCAACAAGACGACCCTGCTCAAGGACAAGGAGTCTTTTCCGTCTCCCCACCTCCCCCTGGGGTTGAATCAGTGAACAGGAGGCCAGGCGTCGTGTCTGCTGCGCTCTACACATTGAGGGGCTCAGCTTCCACGCTGACTTGAGTCAGGGAAACCTTCAAAGCTCTGCAGTGCCAGGCTCCACACTGCCCCAACCGGAGCAAAAGCCACTTCTCCATCGCCCCCAACTGAGGACGGGGCTGGCTCTTCCAGGTCCTTTCCAGCAATGACATTCCCTGATCCTGCTTCACACTGAAAACACAAATGCTCTGGAAGTGGGGTGATGCTGATACCTAGGTGGTGACTATGTCATCCATCAGGGCAGTCTCTGGTGGCCCCATCTTCCTTTCCCCGTTTCTCACGCCTACACCTCACACCTAGCAGCACCCCCACAAGTCCTACTTAGCCCTGCTGAACTCCCCAGAGCTCAACACCGGAGCATCTGTAATCCCAGATACTCGAAAGGCTCAGGTAGGAAGATCACTTGGGCCCAGGAGCTCAAGGCTGCAGTGAGCTATGACTGCGCCACTGCACTCCAGGATAGGTGACAAAAAAAAACCCAATCTCTAAAAAATAAAAAATGAAAGAAAAAGTCATCCAGATTCTGATCTAAGAGGGAGGCAGAGGAAAATGTGACAAAGAGGATAAGGAAATGTGATGACAGGAGCAAGAGACTGTAGTGGTGACAGGAAGAGGCCACGAGCCAAGGAAGGCAGGTGGCCACTGGAGCCTGCAAACAGTGGAGAGGGGATTCTCCCCCGGGACCTCAGAAGGAAGCTGCCCTGCTCACATCTGGACCTTAGCTAAGTGGTACTCATTTTGGACTCTCAACCTCCAGAGCCATCAGAGAACAAAGATGTGTTGTTTTAAGCCACTAAGTTTGTGGCAACTTGTTACAGTGGCCACAGGAAACAAACACACCTGCCATGTTGTGTGCTGTGACTGGCACCTCCCACAAAGGAAGCCACCCTGGAGTTCGATTCTGACACACTGAGGGCAGGTGTTTGCAAGTGACTGGTCCGTGCCTGTGTGTGGGCTGGACCAGCCCTCAGGCCAGTACATGGCATAAGGTGAAGGACACCTCCTTCCTAAGGTCCCTGTGCTGCTGACCTGCATCTCTGAGATCCCACCAGTGCAACTGCTCCCCGGGTTCAGAGAGTTTTCCCCACCATAAAGAACATTTCCTTCCCGGCCAAAGAAAAGATTTTTCTGAAAAACAGTCTTGCAGAGGCCAGGAGAGGCTAAGACACTAACATACTACATTGCCTGCCAGAAGTGGTGCCCTACGTGGATCAGCTCATCAGACTGTTTTTGGACATGATATATTTTCCAGGAATGCCCCAGGCAAAAGACATGGCCAGGCAGGTGGGGATCTCAGCAGGGGGCAGAGCAAGGGAAGCCTAAAAGGTGAGAGTGGAAGGGATGTGCCCCTGGGGGACTTTGCAGTCTGGCTCCATGCTGCCAGCCCTGTTTGTGCAAGTGTGTGAGCACTGCACAAACACGTGAAGACACTAGCACCAGCCATGTGGCTTTGCTTTTTCAACCCTAAATATTTTCTGTTGCACCTCCCATGAAATGACTTTTTTTGACACTTCTTTCCCCGCTCTTACTTAATTAGTTTCCTAACCAACTATTCCAAGCTTTTCACTTTCTTAATATCTAAAGTCATTTCTCTCTGTGTGGGAGGGAGACGCCCAGTACGTTATCACGAGCCTTCACGCTGCAGGGTACCGTCACAGCTGCTGCAGAGAAGTCCACCCACAGCTCTGAAGATAGACCAGCAAGGGTGCCAATCACAGCCCATCTTCCTGGCTGCCTCCCCAGTGCGGGGTGTGGGCCACAGAAACCCCTTTACCCTCACGACAGCTCTCGCCGCTCCCATCACCTTCCATCACTGAAAGAGCTGTGCACATGGCAAAAGTCTGAACAGAGAGCACCTAAGTGGATAACCAGGTGGAACCCCTCTTCAGCCCCTTGATAATCAATTGTGGGTGGCCAGCAGTCACTCCACTCAGGCAACACAGGGAAGGCAGAGAGAGAATGTGGGTATCTCATTATAGCCCTGAACACAGGCTGGCAGCTAATTCCCATTTTGTGTCCTTGACTCACCACTTATGTAACAGGAAGGTAAGCGCACGGGACAGTCCTGATGAGACAGAAAGGCACTCACTGGGCACCTGAGGTCACCAAATCCTCTCAGTGCGGCCTGAGATTCAAAGAAGGGGGACTTTTGGGAGTGGCCTACCTGAAATCTTTACATCAGAAACTCAAGCAAGAAAGAGCTGGGGAGGACAGCTGCCTGATTCGCCAGCCAACCAACATGTGCCCTGTCTACGCAGGCAGACACCAGTGCTGCCTAGAGGCGCTCACCGTCCTGTAGAGGGAGATCCTCGTGGAAGTTAAGGGCAAGGTGCTCCGCATGCTCTGACAGGTGTCCTCGGGTTAGGAACACAGGGAGGACTCGCGTCTGGCCAGGGCCAACCTGTGTCTTCTCTTGGCTCTCCAGAATGACCCAGGGTGACCTGCAGAGCCCTCTCAGTACCTGCAGAGGTCCCTTCCTCTGATCCTCTTTGCCTGCTCACTCTGGCACGTTCTGCTCCAACTTCTTCCCTCTACAGGGCTCAGCCATCCACGTATGACTCCAACACTGGAGGTACAGAACATCTAATACTGGAGGCACAGAACATTCAAACTGCCCCACACACTTCCCTCTCCCTCTTTCCTTCCCTGAAGGGCAACTCCCAGGCTCTAAGTCGGGACAGGAGATCCAGGGACCCGGCTGCTTGTCCACATCTGTGGTTCAGTCACTCCCTCCCCCTCCCCCTAGCTAAGCTTCCTCACTACAAAATGGAAGGTCTGGATCAGGTCACAGTGGGAACCCCCAACTGTCACCCTCAGGAGTTGGCTGTTTTTGGTCCACACAGTCCCATGATTAACCTTTGCTGGCTTCCATTCCCTGATTCTTTCAGTGTGGGAAATGTCACTTGGGCCTCTGGGCAGAGGTGCAAACAACAAGAAAGCTCCCAAAGGCAGAACCTGCCCCTGCCTAACAGTTCCGGGTCCAAGAGACTTATAAGACTGGGTCCCAAGCCCTTCCCGGACCTGTCATTAGCTCTTCTCCCCCAACCTCCCAACTATGACAAAAGGAAGGGAGGGGGCTTAAAGCTCAGCCTCCAGTTTCCAGAGAACATCCATCTTGAAGCTCCCACGGAGGTACAGAGAATGCTCCGACCTCTACGTGCTCCACTCAAATGGGTGAACTTTCATGAGTCACCGTAAATTACACTTCAGGGAAAAAAAGTGGGTGTCACTTGTCAGCAAACAGCTCTGAGCTTCCCTTATGACCCCTACCCTCTACTTTCACAGCACTTAGGAAGCGTTTCCATCCTACCTGGGTTCACCTGCACCCAGACCTGGCTCACTCACCTTTAGTGTTTCAAAATAACTTAAATCTGGCCACAGATGCTCTAAGGCAAAGTGGCCTACAGGAAGCTCAGTCGAGCAGGGCCCTCCCTGCCCCACTTATTATCCCACCAACTCCCTGCTGCTGAAAAGAGCATCGCACAGACTCCACCGCACTGGTTCAGACCTCATCTTCCAGCCAAGAATCTACCTTCCTTCATTAAGGAATTCATTGTTACAAATAGGCAACATCTCAATTGTCATGACCAAATCAAGACGGGATGGGGACTCATCTAAGGCTCTGTGTCCTGAAAAGTCAAGTCGGGTGGAGGGCAGGGGTAAAAAATCCTCAACACCCTGGAAGAACCTTCTCAACACCCTTGGCTTGTCTTCAATTTCTGGAATCTCGTGGCCATGCCAGCCCTGAAAGCCAATGGACTGTGCTCCGGACCCAGCCGCTTCTCCTTGTGAACACAAGCCTCCGTGTGCCTGAGAGTTCACCTATAAACATGGGCACTGCTCATTCACCAGTCACCACTGGCAAAGAGCTTGAAGACATTGACTACTTTGGGAAATCTTTAAAAAATAAATTTATTCATTTGGAAAAATTATCAAATGATTGCACAAGAAGAGGTGCCTTTCCTGAACAGGTCTGTGATCTGGGCCTCTGGGCACCTGGATAATTCCGCAGAGAAGGAGGTTGGTCCGGTCTGGTCAGTGTGTATTCCTTTTTGTTTTGAGACAGAGTCTCACTCTGCTGCCCAGGCTGGAGTGCAGTGGCGTGATCTCAGCTCACTGCAAGCTCTGCCTCCCGGGATCATGCCATTCTCCTGCCTCAGCCTCCAGAGTAGCTGGGAGTACAGGCACCCGCCACCATGCCTGGCTAATTTTTTTGTATTTTTAGTAGAGATGGGGTTTCACCGTGTTAGCTAGATGGTCTCGATCTCCTGACCTCGTGATCTGCTCGCCTCGGCCTCCCAAAGTGCTGGGATTACAGGCGTGAGCCACCACACCCAGCCGTCAGTGTGTATTCTTTTCTGCAGCTGCCAGGGGCAGGGGTTGTTGATGAGGGAGGGGTCAGAAATATTCCAAAACTTCAAATAAAGCAGCACCTGACTGTATACATTTTAAAACTTGTATTAAGACTCCGTGCAGAATTCCACTTAAAGACCGAAGTCTCTCAACCAAAAGTCTGAAAGCACCTAGGGACCCCGCGGGAATGCGATGCATGGGGAGGGCCTGCGGGGGCTACCTCCCCCATTAACAGCCCCTCATACCTTGCTCGTGGGGCTCATGTAAAGATGAAAACACACCCGAGTCCAAAGTTGTTTTTTTAAATGATCTGATTCTGAAAACACACAGCACAGAAATAGAAATGAGCAGCTGAGCAGAGGAGGAAAGAACACAGGGCTTCCTGTGGTCCGAATAGCCCGGGAGGTGCCTACACAGGGAGAGAGGGCCTGGGTGACCCCACAGTTACTGACCCCACTCCAACAAGCCCTCCCTAAGGTACTTGGGCTCCACGCACCACACAACAGGACCTGCCTCCTTTCCCTTGCGACCAGGACCTCAGCACAAAGGCCAGGGCAAGGCTGAAACATGACAGATTTAAAGCTAAACCTGAAAGTATAAGACTGACCCATAAAACATCTTCCCCGGTTCCCTGTCTTGCCCCTTCCTGTCCTTTAAACATGAAGGGCCTCCAGGCCTAAGGAAGCTTCTCTGCCTCTCAGACAGTTACAGGCTCTATGTTCTTATTGTTCTGATTTCTGTAAATCTCTCTGAATATATATTCATATGCCCATGTAGCAAAGAAGGCAGGTGGACCCTACAGCGTTGCAGGCCTGCAGCTAGCTTGGTTCAATGGCATTAATAAAGACACAGGTCAGCTACTATAGTTGGGTCAGTCTGCAGCAACAGACAAACCAGAGGGTCAGGAAGGACACTGAGAGCCCTGCCTGGCCTCCAGCAAGCCCTATTTTCCACCCGCACGAGGCAGCAGGTGCTGGTGGAGCGGCCTCTCTGAATGTGAAGGACAAGATCACTTGGTGAAGGAAAGACACCATCCCTCTCTCAGCAGGAGTCTGCCTTGCCTACACATCAAGGTCTGTCACTCATTAGTTGAGCCACCTCGCAATCTCTCTGGGCCTCAGTCTTTTCAACTGTGAAATGGACATGGTATCTACCATTGTGAGAAGTAGGATAGAGAATGGGCAGAAAGTGCCAGCAAGGAGCCCCGGCCGGGCACATGGCTCCTCCCGAATCTCTGTGATGAGCGAAAAGGCAGCCAAGTGCCACCTGTCTCCTCCCAGAAGACTTCTCTGCCTCCCCAACCACCCACCGCCTTTAAGAGCCTACACATCATGGTTCTGCTAGGGATTTAGTCTGCATATGTTCATGTGGGTCCTGAAAGGTATGAGCTTCACCACAGAAGAGGCCTTCCATGGCCTAGTGTCCTCTCAACCGCTCTGTTACGGACACAGCAGCCACTATGGTTCCCAAAGAATCAGATGCCCGGGAGGTGCCTCAGCACCAAGGAGGAGCAGATGGTTCCTCTCGCCTGCCTGGGAAAGCTCCGAGCTAGAGGAAACAAAGTCAGAGCTTGAAGCAGCAGTTCTCAAATGGAGTGGTTAGAAATCACATGGACTCTGGGAGGCCGAGGCGGGCGGATCACGAGGTCAGGAGATCGAGACCATCCTGGCTAACACGATGAAACCGTTTCTACTAAAAATGCAAAAAATTAGCCGGGCATGGTGGCGCGGGCCTGTAGTTCCAGCTACTCGGGAGGCTGAAGCAGGAGAATCACTTGAACCCGGGAGACGGAGGTTGCAGTGAGCCAAGATCACGCCACTGCACTCCAGCCTGGCGACAGAGTGAGACTCCATCTCAAAAACAAACAAACAAACAAAAACAAAAACAACAACAAAAAAACACACAAAGTGGTTATTTAAACTGGTTTCCCAGCCTCGCCCTGCAGATTCTGATGCAGGGCAACATCTGCAAAAAAATGGCTTAGGGAGCAATGGGAACTGGGCGGTCAGCTGCAGAAAAGGGAGAGAAACCTCAAATGATAGATCCTAAAGACAGCAGGGCTCAGCGGTAATGCCCCTCCTCCTAGGCTCTCACAGGCCTAGGCAACGTTGGGCTGCTCATGGCTTTAATACCACCAAAAATTGCAGAAATTTGTCAAGAGTGAGGTGAGCAGAGGTCCCAAGAACAAGGCAACCTCCTGGACACTCTCCTATAGGAAGCAAACTCAAAATAAACCAGAATCCTAACCTGTCTGCACCTGGAGTGCTCTGAAGATCCTTTGGACCAAGCCTGTTTACTTTATACACAAGTACACAGGCACCCCAAATTAATTTCTCAGGCTGGAACTTCACATCTTACGGGACTGACAAACTCCCAGGTTGCCCCTGAAAAAGGCACATATCCAAGAGCTAGAAGTGTTTTCTCTACTATGTCCGAGGATGTGAGCTGAGATTATGAGTCCTTAGCACAGCCCCTACACAGTCAGGCAGCTCTCATCTCTCGTGATGCTCAAGGACTCTCCAGGCTAGGATGGAGCAGAGCTCCACACCATGGAGGCCGGCCCTCAGCACCATGCCTGCCACAGAAGGTGGCCTCAGTCTCTCCATGGCTTCCATGTGTGAGAGGCTTGGGGTCAGCAGACATGGTCCAAGATCATCAGACCTACCACAATCAGGAGGGAGGAAATTCTGACACCAACCAGGATGATCTTTCAGGACCTTATGCTGAGTGAAATACACCAGTCACAAAGGACAAACACTGCATGATCCCATTTATGTGAGGTGCTGGAGGAGTCAAATTCATAGAGACAGAGAATAGCATGGGGGTTTCCAGGGGCTGGGGAAGGGAGTTATAGTTCAATGGGTGCACAGTTCAGTTAGCAAGTTGAAAAGGGTCCTGGAGAGAGACCGGTGGTGGTGGTTGTGCAACAATGTGAATGTACTTAATGCCACTGAACTGCACACTTAAAAACGATTAAGATGGTGAATTTCCAGTGTACTTACCACAGTTAAAAACATTCGAACAGACCGGGCACGGTGGCTCATGCCTGTAATCCCAGCACTTTGGGAGGCCGAGGCGGGCGGATCACCTGAGGTCTGGAGTTCAAGACCAGCCTGTCCAGCATGAAGAAACCCCATCTCTACTAAAAATACAAAATTAGCTGGGCATGGTGGCCCATGCCTGTAATCCCAGCTACTCCGGAGGCTGAGGCAGGATAATGGTTTGAACCTGGGAGTCGGAGGTTGCTGTGAGCCGAGACTGCGCCATTGCACTCCAGCCTGGGCAACAAGAGCGAAACTCCGTCTCAAAAAAAAAAAAAAAAAAAAAAAAAAATTGGAAAAAGCATTTGATCAGCTTTTTGCCTTGGAGAGCAGGCCCTTGAGAATCCCAAAGCCTCATGGCCTGGCCTGCTCCACCCTAAACTCCTGGCGCTCCCACTCTCCTTCTAGACCTGGAGCTCCTCCCAAGAGCCTTCTAGTGATGTCTGGTGACATCCACACCTCAGCTCGACATCAGTCCCCAAAAACTTGGTGACAGAATTAGGTAAAATCATGGGCAGCACTTTACAGGTGGAGAAACAAAGGCAGAGGACAGAGGCAGCAATCTGGGTTTCTAGATTGTTGCTTTGTCCACTCCTGAAAAACCAGGGGCCCAGCCAAATCTCTCAGGCTTTTACTTGTCTGTGAGGCTGCCCGGACCCCACCTCACCTCAGCCTGCATTTGAGAAATTTCTTTTCCTTTTTCGGGAAATTTGCCTCTCCTCCACACCCACCAGTTACAGGGTACGTGGGTGTATCGAGAAAGAAATTTCCCAAAAAAGGAAAAGAGATTCCCCAAAGTTAGCCCCATCTCAGGGCTGCCTGGAGAGGCAATGGTCAGCTTCCGGAACTGGATGAAGTCCAGCAGCCCCAGCCCCAGCAGAAGTCCCCGAGCAGAAAGGGCTTCCCGAAGCCACTGTCCCCAGATCCAGGGACTGCTGCTGCCTTCCTCCCTCTCCTGCACGCTGTGACCTCCTGATGTCCACCTTCCTCTCCAGGTCCCAACCCAGTGGGGCTGAGGTAACCGAATTTTCCCCATCCCAGTTATCTGGAGCTCTTGGGAGGTTTTCTCCCTTCTGCTGAGTAATCCCTAAAGGTCACTACATTGCTAATCTCCCTCCGAGGAACACCCCTTTTCCTATCTTCTCTCTTTTCCTACCCGCCCTGTCTTAAGGTTTTCAAGCTGGGAGCAGAAATTACGCAGCAAGGCATTTACAAAGTTGGTAGTTCAACTCCACACATATTTACAGAACACCTGGCTAGATTTGTGCCGCCCAAACCCCATGCTAGACAATGGGGAGACACACCAAGAATTATCACGGGCCCAACAACAACAAGAAGTCAGTCTAGTTGGCAAGATAACACTCAAGCAAATGAAATCAAATGGTAACATCATATAAGTCAGTAACAATTCGAAATAGATGCTGATTGAGTGTGGAGGGCACAGACCAGCCATAAAATGCTATAGTTTATTATATGAGCCTGGGAGGGTCAGAGGTAGCCACGGGCTGCTTAGAGCTGCTGCTTTTGGAGACAAATGCCCAGGTAGGGATTGCTTTGCAACATCACGGTCTGAGGGCACCACGTAGGGAGTGCCACCTATGTGCTCCCTGGTACACACACACACAAGCAGTTCTGCAGGCCCTGTGGTTGCCTGGTGTGCAGGGGAACCCCGTAGACCTCTCTAGATCAGAAACAGGCCCACCCCATTCTACGACTGGCACTGCACCATCATCCCCCTCACTCCAGGAAATCTGACAGGTGAGTCCCGTGCTGTTTAAGAGCAGAGCTAATAGCAAATCACATTTACATTTTCATTTTTAAAAATAAATAAGAATTTAAATAAACCCCTGTCGAAACTGCTCAGTTTCTTGGCCTTGGCACTGTTGACATTTTGGGCTGGAGCCTTCCTTGTTCTGGGGGCTGTTCTGTGAAGGAGATTCAGTAGCATCCCTGGCCTCCACCCACTAGATGCCAGCAGCATTCCTGCCCCAGGTGTGACAATCAAGGATGACTCCAGACATGGCCAGTGGCCCTGGGAGGCATGACGCTGAGGACCACTGGTCTATTTCCAGGCACTCACAAAGGAAGCTTCCAGCTTGGCTGGAGTTTACCCACACATAAGCCTATCTGAAATGGAGTTTTCCTGCTCCAGGTCTCAGGATCCTGCCAGCCTGTTTGGGGTGGGACTCTCAGCTCAGGGCGGTTGACCGTTAAGCTGGAGCTCCTGGGCTACAGGCTGTCTGCTCACTCTGGGGAGTGGCTCTGAGGAGCAAACCCTGATGCAGAGCACTGGGTGCTAGAGAAATCTCTCCAGCCTCTGCCTCCTCCCACCTGGCTTCTACCCTAAGTGCCTCCTTGCAACCTTCCCCTGTGACCTTCCTGATACAACAGGGAAACCCCTCCACAGCCTCGGCTGGGCAAAGCAGTATTTACTGATGGGCTCACTGGGTCAGTTTCTCCAGCTCCCAGGTCATCTGCCAGAAAGCAGCCCGTGGCCCAAAACTCCCAGCTCTGGGCCTGCCCCCATGCCCTCTCTCAGTCCAAGTTTTCCCTGGGACTTCTTTCTTTCCCCACATCCCTGGCACAGTCCCACCTCTGCCTGAGCACTCCATGAAATAATACGCAACTCATATCCAGGTTGCTGGGAGACCACAGTGCACTGTGAAGTGTCGGTGCTCCTGGCTAAGCGGCCTCAATTATCCAGAAGCCGTGCCTGGGAGGCAGCATGTGCTCTGCACTTGTGCCAGCACCAAGGCGTCCCCAGAAGCTACCCTCTTTGTGCTTGTGCAACTGAGCCAGAGGGAATAATGGATTTTGCTGGACTTTAGTTAGACCTAAAGAAAGATTTCCTGACTGAAATTATCAGTCCCCAAGGAAACAGTGCAGGGAACTTTGTTTTTTTGGGATGGTTCATGACCCAGCCCAGCCTGAATGTAATCCAGTGACCTCTTGAGGCTCCTCTGATACTGTTAAGTCAATTGCAGGACTCAGCCAGTCAGTCAGCCACAGGGAGGCAAGATAAACCTCACAGCTGCAGGAGCCCAGCTCTGACCCCAGGGCTACTCCCTGTGTAAGGGCTAAGCCAGGAGAACACGAAGTGTGAAGTCTAATCCTCCAGGTCTGCTTTCTTGCCTCAAAGGAACGGAGTGTCCAAATGCTTTGTCTCCCTGCTCCTACTTCCAGCCAAGTCCACAATCGGTGCTCACCTCCAGTACACTACCCTGGAGCACAGACGTTCCCATAGCAAAAACCCCCTATGCTCTAATCATGATGTACAAATATGCTCACCGGAAAGAATGAAAAGGAAGACAATTCTTTTTAAGTAGGAACCAGTGAGGTGACAGTTGATACAGGATTATGGTACCATCCTCTTAATTCACCCCAGAAACAAAAGTAGAAAACATATCACATCACAAAGGTTAGGACTCGAGTACAAACACGCCCACTTCTGACCTTTGCACATGTGAGCTGTAATGACCACCCAAAAATCCCAGGCACCCCCGCCACCCCCTGCCGCAGTCTGGAAGGTACCTCTAGGGACAGTTATCTCCACTCATACTTCCAGAGTCTGTCTCGCCCCTGCAGCAAAGAAACAAACTCTGGGTAGGATAGGCAGGGGCTGCCTATTTTACATAGTGAGACTAGGCTTTCCAGGACAGTCCCAATTTTAAAATGCTGCACATATGGGCACACAAACATTCACCCACCAAGTGGAACTGGAAAAGGCGATCAAATCTCGCATCTTCAACCCTTTACAAAGTTTGGAATGCAGTCCTACTTTAGATTAATTAGGAGAGACTAATCTCCTTTAGAGAAAAAGTCAGGAGATAAAATGGGTGGAAAAAGAAAAGCCAGAAATTCCACCTAGTTGATTTTCAGGTTTGGCCTCTGGGGCAACAGCAGCAAACACTCATCCAGCCCAGGAAGCAACTGGAAAACCAGGGAGGTGGGGAGGAGGAAGAAGCCTGTCTGCCTGGTTTAGTGACCAGAAGAACGATGACCTTGTGACCAGGAGGCCTCTGAAGTCAGCTCGGAAAACTAAGCCAAGCTCAAATGAGACAAGCAAAACCAATTACAGTCGCAGAATTGACAGGCAACCCCAGGACTAGGTGCGTGAGCACATGTGCCAGCCCCAGGGCCAGCCCCTGCCCCACGCCCACAGGTCCACAGCCTGCACACGTGATCCAGGACTTTGCCCTTGCTTTCCCCTAACCAGGAGTGCTCCAGTGAAGTCCACACTATTAGCCTTCAACAGAAATGACTTCCTCCCTCACTTCTTCCTCTCACTCAAGACCACAGAAGATGATGTTTCAAACCAAAGGTCTGGGTTTTTAAAGCTGTCTCCAGCAGGTGCCACAAGTTCTTCAAAACATTCCACACTCCCAAACAGACACAAGCAGGAGCACATGGCTGCTGTGCTCTCACATGACAACGCAAGGGCACTGTAATGGAGGGACTTGGTGAAGGCTGGGGACAGGGAGTGGGCAAGGATAACACTTACCATCTCATCCAGGGCGTAGCGCAAGAGGCCGTGCTCGTAAAGGATGAAGAACCGTCGCTGCCATTTCTGCAACGGAGCACAAGGTGGGTGGTTAGGAGGATCTGGGTCCTGGCCCCAGAGCTTGGCTTCTGGAGTTCCCACGTCTGACAAGTCCATATCTAAGGAAGGTCACTCCACAGATTCCACTTCTGGGGCAGGTGGCAGGAAAAGAGGGACCCGAGGCACAAGAATGTTGATTCATCAGCCAGGACTGGGCTGGGAGACAGGCCCAAATCACATGAGTGATTGAGGCTTAATAAGAAGTCTTTTTTTTTTTTTTTTTTTAACACTTGGAAGCTCCTCAGGAGCAGAAACAACGTGTGGTTACCTTTTTGTATTCCTGATGGTGCTCAGCATAGAATGCATCACATGACATGTGTCAATATTTATTTGATGAATGATCTGACATGACATGGAATAATCCAGGAATGCCAAGGCATGGATTCACCACTTCTGAAAAAACCTGGGAAACTGCTACAAAAGGGGTTGTTCTGATGATCCACTGGCAAAGAGGAGGCACAAAAACAGCCAGGCTCCAGAATTCACTGAGGTGAAATGAGTTAATGAAAATCAAAACAGAGGAGCAGCAAGACCAGTGGAAATAACTCCAATATCCAAGGAGTGACCAACTGGCACAGATCATCCCCCGCTCTACTCTCCCTCCAAAAGCCAGACCACTGGGAAGTGTCCACGGCGGTCAGATGCCATCAGGAGCTGAAATGAAATGGACTATGCGGTGTATGTCTTCCTTTGTGTGGGGAGAAGGGACTTGTCCATAATGCGAGTCTGCTGGCCCAGGTCATGAATGACAGGCACAGCTCCCAGCCCCAAATCATCACAAGGGTCCATGACCTATTTTCAACATTTCAACAAGCCCAATCCAGCCTGGGCAGCATGGTGAAACCCCGTCTCTACAAAAAATACAAAAATTAGCTAGGCATGGTGATGCACGCCTGTAGCCCCAGCTACTCAGGAGGCTGAGGTAAGAGGATCACATGAACCTGGGAGGTCAAGACTGCACTGAATCGAGATCATGCCACTGCACTCCAGCCTGGGTGACAGAGCAAGACTCTGTTTCAAAAAAAAAAAAAAAAAAAAAAAGCAAAGAGCCCAACAATACTCAGAGTTTAACTGGCAGTGAGGCCACGTGAACTGACTATAAAAGCACATCTCTCTGCTTTGGGCCAGGGTTATCATTTATAAAAAGACTCCTGTCAGAGGCTGGAAATGGCAATTTTGTACAACCTTGATATAAAATAGGAAAGGGAACTACTCCCTGGAAACTGCAGCCCAGCTGGACCAGTGATGCCTGAGTTCTCCTGTCTGGGTGGCATGAACAGGGACTCAAAGGGCCTTGCAAAGAGGCCTTGTAGAGGGCTGGTCTATGCTGGGTGTGTAGAGGAGGCCACCTGAACATGTTTCCCAGGAACATTTCCAAGGGCCTTATGTGCAGCCTCTGAAATCAAAACCCATTCTAGAAGCAATCCCAAAGAACAGAGACACAATGCAAGGCCTGTGGGACCAGAATACACAGCCCAAGGCCCCTACTCCAAAGTGTAATATTCAGGGTGGGGAAAGGATGAGCAGCAGAAACTAAGAAGAAGAGGAAAGGGAGCTCCCGGGGATGGAGGGGGCTGAGTGGAAGCAATTTATAGGGTGCAAGCGGCAGCACTGTAAGAAAGTTTGTGAGGAAGGAGAGTTTTGTAACCGGAGTCAAATCCAGAGGGGCTTCCTGGCAGAGAAACAAACCACAGGTCAGGCCAATGATGGTCCCAGCTCTAGCGGGGCCCTGCCCTGGGCAATGCACATTTTAGTAAGAGGTAAGCCAAGGCCTCTGGGCCCCCAACCCTTCACTAGTGCTAGTGTGCTGAACCCCTGGCTCAGGAAGAAGGGAGGTGCTACAGGGGCAGGCCTTGGCATGGAAGGAATTGGGAGCTGCTCGGTATAATGCAAACCTTTAACTGCTCTTTTGCCTCTTCCATTTTACTGTTCCTAGAGTCAACCTGACCCACAAAACAGGCAACACCCACATGAGAGCTCCTCATTCTGAAGGGAGCACTACACACAACTATGTATAATTGAGACCTTTTCTGTACAACGTACAAGTGCACCAAATGGGGGAGCCCTGCTGGTCCTGCTATCCCAGGATCCACTGTTCAACTCTCCATCTCCCTCTTCCACTCTGCCAGTTCACCCTTAGATGGGTCCCTTCTCTGGTTCCTCCCTGAGAGTTGGCTCTGATGCCCTTACCCGAGACCGGTGCACTGGGTTGTCAAAGTCGGTCCCATCTGGAGCCAGGAGCAGCCAACCGCCATAAATGGGTTTTGCCTAGAGGAGAAAAAAGAGGGCAGGTCACCAGCAGCCTTCAACCCAGAAGAGAGAACAGGTCAAGTTAACAGCAAGCACTCGCTGGAAACAGATGTTGCCTCTGCTCTGCAGAGGTCATGACACCTATTTCCACTGCGGTGCGTCTGCAGCTGCTTGAGAGTCAGAGGCTGGCGGGGATTCTGCAGCATCCGGGGTGGAGAGCATACAGGCCCTGGCAGGAGTGTGAGAACCTGGAGAGTACAGGATCCCCTAAGACATGCTGTCTCCTGCAAGTTACTGATCAAGCCACCAAGATCAGGAAAAAATGACATGTTATTCAACAAATATGTGAGTGTCAGTGTGTGCCAGGCGCCAGGAAATAGGACATGAACAACACAGTCAAAAAGCTTCATCCTGAAGATACAAAACAGGGCCTGGAGAAGAGACTGCTTTCGTGATCAAAGCCAGCTCTGGCCAAAGAATCATCAACTGACTGGCTGTGTGACTGCGTGCAGAAACTCTTTGAGTTCAAACTCTCCCATTTGAAAAGTGAGAGTGATGACAATTCTACCTAAACCTCATGACTCTGATGTGAGGACTGATGAGATAATGCAATCAGTAAAACCCAGCACAGGGATGTAAAACGGTGCTGCCACCTTGGAAAAGTCTGGCAGTTCCTCAGAAAGTTAAAGGCAGAGTTACCCTAGGGCCCAGCAATTTCACCCCTATGTATACACACCCAAGAAAACGGAAAACAGGGGCTCAAATAAATACCTGCACATGAATGTTCATAGCAGTATTATTCACACCTGCCAAAAGGTGGTAACAGCCCAAATATCCATGGACAGATGAATAGATGAACAAAGTGTGATGGGTCCACACAAGGGAACATTATTCAGCCAGAAAAAGGAATGAAGCACTAACATACACCACAACACCGAGGAACCCCGAAAACATGATGCTAAGTCAAAGAAGCCAGGCACAAAAGCCCACATATTACAGAATTCCACTTATGCAAATGGTCCAGAATAGGCAAATCCACAGCACAGAAAGCAGATTAGTGGTCGCCAGGGACTGGAGGAAAGGAAATAAGGAGAGACAGCTAACAGGTATGGGGTTTCTTTCGTGGGTGACTAAAATATTCTAGAATTAGACAGTGGAGATGGTTGCACAACATTGTAAATATGCTAAAACTCACCAAACTGTATACTTTAAGAGAGTGAATCTTAAGATATGTGAATTATAGCTCAACTTAAAAAGCTGCACAAAGAACACTGAGCACAGTGTCTGGCCTGTGAGGTCTCAACAAATGTGAGGCACTGCTATATTTTACCAGCCACAGAGTCCCCACTCCCCAGACCACGGGAGGAGCTCAACAAGGGGAATCTAGACAGACACTCTGGCTCAATCTCCTTCCTCAGCCACACCCAGCTGGCGAGAATGCATTGGAAAAGGTACAACCAGTCCCATTTATCCAGTGCCTTTCGGAGGGCGGTAACACAAATTAAAACCCAAGTTCTCTGACTGCTGCTTACACACACAGGACCCCTCATGGGTCCTCCTGATGTGCTTTTTATTCAGTGCTCTCCAAACTAGGAGGCCCCACCACACTACCTCATTTGGTAGCTGCAGACCGTGACTCAGAGAGGGCAGGCCACGTGCCAGAGGCCACACAGCCTCCAGGCTGAACCAAGAACCCCCCTTTACTTGGCTTCCGCCTGCAGGGTCCTCAAGGTCCCCAGGAGCACTGGCTTTCCCCATGAATGGTGCAAGTGGAGCTGTGTGCCTGGGGTCGGGGGAAAGCTGCAAGGACAGGAGAGGCTTGCTTTGCTGCAACAGGGGAGTGGGTGTTGGCTGCAGACATAGTCCAGGAGGGCCAAGGAGTATGTGGTGGAAATCCCACCTGGGAAGGCAGAAGCAAAGGCGAGGAGAGGTCTGTGCTCTCTACGAACTCCAGCTGTGCCCAGCAAACCTCAAGGTGGGCACACACGCTCGGCCTCTCCACACCCCACCCAGGAGTGCACATCCTAAGCAGACCCCACCCAGAGGCCTTGCATGGGAAAGCCGGAGCTGGACAACTCCCTGTGTGTATCTGGACTCTGTGACTCCCAGCTCGGCCTCTCACCGGCCACAAGTGCCCACCTGTGAGGCCAGAGGCTAGCCTGCCAAGCCATTCCTCTATCTCCATCTTGACTATGCGCCACCACCCTGGCCTCTGGAGGCAGGGCTTGGGGTGTCATCACATAATCAGCTACATTTACCTGACCTTTCTCCAGGAGGAACTGTGGGGAGCCAAGGGATCAGCATCTGTTCCCTCAGAACCCGAGCCCTGGTCTCAACCCAGGCATCGTCAGCAAACCTCTGCTCAGGAACCCCGTGTGCATGGCCCTGGGTGCTGTATACCAGGGAGCCTGCAGCAGCCACTTTGCTTGGCTGTGACTTCCTGATATGGATCACCACAGAGGGGACTGATGCAGGTGGGCGGGCGGCGCAGACACAGAGCAGAGAGCGAGATGTAGGGCCTCTGGGTGGAGGAGCAGGCTGGGATGCAGGTGACACCCCACCCAGCGTTCATCAAAGCAATTCCAGAGTGATAGAGAGCAGAGGAGTGGCTGCCTGGGGCTGGGACGGCGGAAGGGGTTGGTGACAGCCAAGAGGTGCAGGGTTTCTTTTGGCGATGATGTAATGTTCTAAAAGTGACTGTGATGATGGCTGCACATCAGTTGGAATATCCTAAAAATCATAGAATTGTATCATTTAAATGGGTTAAACGTATGACGTGTGAATTTTATCTTAATAAAGCTATTAAAAAAAAGCCCTGAAGGTAAGGACCCCATAGATAACAGGGGGAGGCCTGGGGTGGAGAGGACTCTCTGGGCAGGGGCGCAGCTGATGCACAGGTGCAGAGGCAGGAATGATGGCGCCATGGGGCCATGAGGAGCCATCTGTAATTACTGAGAACTCACTCCTCAAGTCCAGGGAGCCAGGGACAGGAACTGGCCAGCTATATCACCACCACTCTTGCCTCTCACAGCCAGCCACGTGGGCTGCGCAGCCTCCCCCAGCCTCCTCAGCTCCCCAAAACCTGGCCCTCTCTACCATCCCTCAGGGCTTCCCCGAAATGTCCCTTCCTCAAGGGGACAGTCCTGACCCTCCCCCTCAGTCTCTAACAACTCACTTCTGCCATTACCGTCACTGCACATCACAGAACTAATTTCTACCTACCATTTCATTATGTACGTAATTACATTGCTATGACATGTCTTGCCCCCCACCCCCACCCCAGAACCTTCGCTCCAGGAAGGCAGGGATGGGGTCTGCCTAGCCCTGGCTGTGTCCTTGATCCTGAGGCAGGTGTGCAGAGGGAGTGGAGGTGAGTGCCCACCGGCCTAGGCCAGCAGTGGGTGGGTGGTGCCCTCTCTGAGTTACCTTCTCCTTACATAACCTAGGTCCTGACTCAGACAACCTGTCCTCATCCCCAAGGCGTGGGAAAGGCCTCCCAGGAAGAGCTGCTGCTTCTCTATGTCTCAGACTATCTAAAACTGCTGCATCCTCCCCCGCACAGCAGACCACAGTGTCTTTAAGTGCAGCAATGCCCACGGGCAGAGGCTCCCACGCACGCCCACCTGGTCCTGGGGCAGCACCTCTAAAAGGCCCTAAAGTATTCTCTTCCAGACGGTCCTATAATAATCTGAAACTGGGACACTAAAACAGACAGCCCAAAAGGCAGCAGGCAGGAGGGAGTGTGCTCTGGAAATGCTGCGTGGGTAGGCTTAGCTTTGCTGTTTTCTGGTTGAGCTGCTGGGCATTTTGGAGGGAGGCAGGAGAAGCAGGTATCTGTTGTTGACATGGGGGATCTGAGCTGGGCTGTAAGGACCCAAAGGATGGGGCCCGAGTCCTGTTTCAAGCAGCCCTGCACACAGGGCCCCTTTCTATGCAGGTCCTCCCAGAGGATGCATGTGGCTCCGGATCCCATATAAAAGTGACCACATGAGAGACTCCCCCGAGCTACCTCCTCTCCAATTAAACTCGGCCTTCACTCATGACCCACACAAGTCGGAGGCTCCACTTCTGGCTGGCCTCTAGGAAGAGGCTGCTGGTGGTCTGGGTGTGCCTTCAACCTGAAGCTCTTTCAAAAACAGTGCCTTGAAACTTCTGCTTCCTGGACGATGGGGCAGATGTAGATTTCTCCTGCTAAGTACAACCAAAAACCTGGGGCCATCATGTATAAGACAAACATGAGAAGACTCTGAAAGGTGGAGAAAAAAAGGTAAGTGGGCCAGGGACCCAGGATCCAAGGAAGGACACCGTGGTGACTCTCCCAGGCTTTCTTTTTGTCTCACTATCCCAGAGTGGGTACTGGAGAAACTGGCAACCTGAAAACGCCAATGGGCACACAACCAAAAAAAACAACAACAAAAAGCTACTTTCCATAGCTGAAGAACCAGAAAGGAGCAGCCCAACAAGACAGAAAACTCTTAGACAAGAACCGCCTTACTCTGGCCAAAAGTCACAGGAAAGGCAGCACCCCACCCCCAAGTGAGCAAAGGTTGGACTTCCACCCTTGTGAGGTGCCCCACACCCCGGCCAGGGTGGTGTCAGAAGACACAAGGGCCTTACATCCCACCAACAGCAACGAGGACCCTTCTTGCTCCATGCTAGGGTGTGTCAGAGGGCGCCCAGAGGAGGGTCAGGGTTTTTACCATTGCCCAGTGGGAAGGGAACCCATGATGAGGAGCCTCCCAGTTCAGGCATCAGTGGAGGCCGAGGGATGGACTTCTGTCTCCATCTAAGTAACCAGGTGGTCATGGTGACTCCCTTCCCCCACGGAAGCACTGTCAGAAAAATCCACTGAAAGAGAAGGTTCAAATGAGACCCAGAGTCACCCAACAGAATACAAAAACACTTGGTTTCCACCAAAAATCATCATCATACCAAGAACCAGGAAGGTCACAAACTGAATGAACAAAGACAACCAAGAAATGCCAACACCAAGATGACAGCCATGCTAGAATTATCCCACATTTAAAGATTTTAAAGCACCCATGATAAAATGCTTCAACAAGAAATTATGAGCACACTTGAATTAAAGGGAAAGACAGCAAAGAAATAGAAGCTGTAAGAACCAAACAAAAATCCTGAAATTGAAAAATACGGTAACTGAAATAAAAGCTCCCGGGTGGGCTTAAGAGCAGAAGGATTGGGGGCAATGAAAGAATCAGTGAACTGGAACACAGAACAACAGAAATCATCCCATCTAATAACAGAGGAAAAACAGACAGGAAAAAATGAATAAATAAAAGGGAACTGTGGAACTGTAACAAGAAGTCTAACATTCATGTCATCAGAGTCTCTGCAGGATAGGAGGAAGGGTGAAGCGGAAAAAGGGCTCAAAGAATGGCTAGAAACCTCCCAAATTTGGCAAAAGTGGCAACCTACACATTCAAGAAGTTTAGTGAACATCAAAGGATAAACCCAAAGAAATCCAGACCAAGACATACAATAACTAAACTAAAGAAAAACCTAAAAGACAAAGAAAGCCAGAGAAAAAAAATCTCAAAAGCAGCCAGAGAAAAATAAGACCTTATAGTTTTGAGAAAACTAAGCAGAATGACAATAGATTTCTTATCAGGAACCATGGAGACCAGAAGGAAGTGGCACACTACTTTTCTGGTGCTGAAAGAAAACACCTGTCAACCTAGAATCCTATAACCAGTAAAAATATCCTTCAGGAATGAAAGGGAAATCCAGACCTTCTCAGATGAAGGAAAACTAAGAGAAGTTTTTTGCTGACTTACCCCTAGCAAAATGGCCAAAGGAAGTTTTCTAAACAAAAAGGAAATCATAGAAGAAGGAATCCTGGAACATCTGAAAGGAAGAAAGAACACAGTAAAATAAAGGGAGGGAGGGGGTAAATAATTAGGCTTTCCTTCTCTTGAGTTTTCTGTTTCGTGACTAAAGCAAAAACTGTCTAATGTGGTTCTAAACGTATGTGAAGTAAACACTTAAGACAATTATACAAGGAAAAGGTAAAGGAGTGAACAGACAGGTACTCTCTTGAACTGGTAAAATGACACCACCAAGAGACTGTGACAAGTTATGTCTATATAAAGTCACGTCTTATTATAACCAGTAAAAAATATATACAAAGAGATACACTTAAAAAACTATATTTTGATATATAAATCAAAATACAATTCTAAAGAAAATGTTCAAGTAACCCAAAGGAAGCAGGAAAAAAAAAAAAGCAAAACAAAACAGAAATAATAACCAGAGACGCATTAACTATGCCCTAAGTTATCCGTAAATATTTTAAATGTAAATGATCTAAATACACCAATTAAAAGATTGATAGAGTAGATTTTTAAAATAATTCAACTGTACACTGTCTACAAAAAATTCACTGCAAATATAATGATGACAGGCAGGTTGAAAAGAAAAAACTAAAAGTGATACATCCTGAAAATATTAATCTAAGGAGAGCAGAGTTGTTATGTTATCAGATAAATTATATTTCAGCACAAAGAAAATGACCAGAGACAAAGAGGAATATTATATAATGATAAAAGGGTCAATTCACTGAGACATAGTGAGCCTAAATGTTCATGCACCTTTAAACATCAGAGCTGCAAAATTATGTGAAGTTAAAACTAATAGAACTAAAAGGAAAAATAAATAAATCCACAAATATTGTTGGAGACTTCAACATCCCTCTCAATAACACAATTAAAGCAGTCCTAGGAGGGAACTAACGTAACTATGATGCTCACATTAGAAAAGAGGAAAGGTCTCAAATAAATAATCTAAGCTTCTATCTCAAGAACCTAGAAAAATAAGTACAAAATATATCAAAAGCAAGAAAAAGAAGGAAATAATAAAAGATAAAAGTAGAAATCGGGCTGGGCGCAGTGGCTCACACCTGTAATCCCAGCACTATGGGATTACAGACCGAGGCAAGCAGATCACAAGGTCAGGAGTTTGAGACCAGCCTGGCCAACACAGTGAAACCCCATCTCTACTAAAAATACAAAAATTAGCTGGGTGTGGTGGCACACACCTGTAGTCCCAGCTACTCAGGAGGCTGAGGCAGGAGAATTGCCTGAAACCGGGAGGCGGAGGTTGCAGTGAGCCAAGACTGTAACACTGCACTCCAGCATGGGCAACAGAGTGAGACTTCGTCTCAAAAAGAAAAAAAAAAAAAGATAAAGGTAGAAATCAATGAAAAAATCAGTGAAACAAAGAGCTGGTTCTTTGAACAGACTGATAAAACTGATCAACTTCAGCCAGGCGCGGTGGTTCATGCCTGTAATTCCAGCACTTTGGGAGGCCGAGGTGGGCAGATCACCTGAGGTCAGGAGTTCGAGACCAGCCTGACCAACATGAAGAAACCCCGTCTCTACTAAAAATATAAAATTAGCCGGGCGTAGTGGAGCATGCCTGTAATCCCAGCTACTCTGGAGGCTGAGGCAGCAGAATCGCTTGAACCTGGGAGGCAGAGGTTGCAGTGAGCCGAGATCGCTCCACTGCATTCCAGCCTGGGCAACAAGAGCGAAACTTCATCTCAAAAAACAAAAAACAAAACAAAAAAACACTGCTGACAAGACCAAAAAAGAAAAAAAAAGACATAATGGCACAAATTGTTATCAGAAATAAAACAGGGATAGCATCACAGATTCTGCAGACATCAAAGGGATAATGAGGAATACTAATACAATTCTACCAACACTAATTTGACAACATATAGGAAATGGACCCACTTCTCTAAAAAACACATAATTTAAATGATTATATAACTATTAAGGAAATTGAATATGTAATTCCATAACTCACAAAAAAGAAATCTCCAAGCCCAGATGGTTTTACTGGAGATTTCTAACAAGTGTTTAAGGAACTGACACTAATTCTATATAATTGTTAAAAAAAAAAAAAAAAAAAAAAAAGGAAGAAGAAGAAGAAGAAGAAACACTTTCCAATTCATTTTATGAAGCTGGTGTTACCCTGACACCAAAACCAAACAAATTACATGACAAAACCCCAAAATTTTTTAAAAATGAAATAAAGAACTATGGACTAATATTCCTCATTAATACACAGTAGTTCCCCCCTCCTCCATCCACAGTTCCACGGTTTCCCTTACCCACGGTCAACCACAGCCTTAAAATATTAAATGGAAAATTCCTGAAATAATTTACAGGTTTTAAACTGCATGCCATTCTGAGTAGTGTGATGAAATCTTGCATCGTCCTGCTCCATCTTCCCAGGATGTGGAGCCTCCCCTTTGTCCAGCGCATCCACGCTGTATACTCTACCTGCCCCTTAGTCACTTAGTAGCTGTCAGTTATCAGATGGACTGTGGTGGTGTTGCAGTGCTTGTGCATCCAGCTAGTATTATACATAATGGCCCCAAAGCACAAGAGTAGTGATGACAGCAATTTGAATATGCCAAAGAGAAGCCATAAAGTGCTTCCTTTAAGGGAAATGGTAAAAGTTTTCAATTTAAGAAAAAAAATCATATGCTGAGGTTGCTAAGATGTACAGTAAGAATAAATCTTCTATCGCTGAAATTGAGAAAGAAAAAGAAATTCATGCTAATTTTTCTATCACACCTCGAACTGCAAATGTTACAGCCCTTGTGCGTGATGAAGTGCCCAGGTAAGATAGAAAAAGTATTTATGGCTGGGTGTGGTGGCTCACACCTGTAATTCCAGCATTTGGGAGGCTGAAGCAGGAGGATGGCATGAAGCCAGGAGTTTGAGACCAGCCTGGGAACTACAAGACCCTGTTTCTACCAAAAAAAAATTATTAATAGCTAGGTGTGGTGGCAAGTGCTGGCAGAGGCCCAGCTACGTGGGAGGCTGAGGCATGAGGATCACTTGAGCCCAGGAATTCAAGGTTGCAGTGAGCTATGCTTTTACCACTACACTCCGGCCTGGGCAACAGGGCAGGGCAAGACACTGTCTCAAAAAAAAAAAAAAAAAAAAAAAAAAAAAAAAAAAAAAAAAAAAAAGATGAAAAAAGTATCTGTGGGTTTGACATGAGGGGATATCTAGGTTGTTTCCAATCAAAAATGAGTTCCAACTGAAAGCAATCAGGTTCAGTACTATCCGTGGTTTGAGGAATCCACTGGGGCTGTTGGAATGTATCTCTTGCAAATAAAGGGGGACTGCTATAGATGCAAAAATCAACAAAATATTAGTAAATAGAATTCAGCAATATATTTATAGAATTATAAACCATGACCAAGGGGGTTTATTCCAGGGATGCCGGTTTAATATTCAAAAATCAACCAATGTAATCCACCAAATTAATGCTCTACAGAAGAAAAGCCACATGGTCCTATCAACTGATGCAGAAAAAGCATTTGACAAAATCCAACATCCATTCATAATTATTTTTAAAAACCTCTCAGAAAGTAGGAATAGAGGGGAACTTGCTCAATTTCATAAAAGCATCTCTAAATAACCTCCAGCTAGCATTACACATAATGGGGAAATGCTGATTGCTTTCCCTCTAATATCAGGAACTAGGCAATGATGGCCATCTCAGAATTCTTATTCAACATAGTGCGCGAATTTCTAGCTAGTGCAGTAAGGCAGGAAAAGGAAATAAAAGGCATATAGATCAAAACTGACAAAATAAAATATTCACAGATGACATAGCTGTCTGTATAGAAAATCCCAGAATCTACAAAAAACTCCTAGAACTAGTGAGTTCAACAAAGTTTCAGGATACAGGATCAGCATACAAAAATCAATTGTATCTCTATATGCTAGCAACGGACACGTGGACATCAAAATTAAAATACAATACCACTTAAAATTGCTTCAAAAAAAAGAAATACTTAGGTGTATATACCACACAATATGTACAGGAAATGCTGAACACTACACAACACTGATGAGAGAAATCAAAGAAGATCTAAATAAGAGAGACATAATGTGTTCGTGGACTGCAAGATTCTAAGATGTCTATTCTCACCCAACTGATATTCAGTTTAACACAATTCCCATCAAAATCCCAGCAAGACTTTTTATAGATATGGACAAGATTATTCTAAAATTTACATGGAAAGGCAAATGAACTAGAATATTTTTAATTTAAAAAAAAAAGAGGGTATAATCTATTTACCCAATCACAAGACTTATTATATATCCACAGTAATGAAGACTGTGTGGTATTGGTGGAAAGTCAGACACATGGATCAATGGAACAGTAGTTAGTAATAAACCAACACAAATATGCCCAATTTTGACAAAGGTGCAGAAAGAATTCAATGGAGGAAATACAGTCTTTCAACAAATGGTGCTAGAGTGACCCTTCGTCCACAGGCAAAAAAAAAAAAAAAAAAATCATCTCAAGCTGATACAGAAAGTAGTGTTATACAAAAAACAAGACAAAATGAAACATATTTAAATGGATAAACTGGACTTCATTAAAATTAAAAACTTTTGCTCTGCACAAAGTCCTAAGGAAGATGAAAAGATAAGCCACGAAGTAGGATAAAATATTTTGCAAATGTCCTTTTGCAAAGGACTAATATCTAGACTATATACTAGTATTTAGACTATATAAAGACCCTCAAACTCAATAGTGAAAACACAAAACAATCCAATTAGAATATGAGCAAAAGACACGAGAAGACTTTCTACAGAAGATAAATAGCATGAAGAGGTGTTCATGCTATTTATGAACATCTTATTTTATAATGGCTAAAAAAAACAAATGGTGACAACACCAAATGCTGGCAACGTCACAAAGTAAGTATATCTATCACTCATACACTGCTGGTGTGAGACAGTTTGGCAGTTTTTAAAAAAACTAAACATGCAACTACCTACAACCTAGGAACTGCACTCCTGGATATTTATTCCAGGGAATGAAAACATACACTCACACAAAAACTACATGTGAATGGTTATAGCAGCTTTGTTCGTAGCAGACCAAAACTGGAAACAGCCTAGGTGTCCCCTCTTACCATGGAATGCGAGTCAGCAATAAAAAGGAGCAAACTACTGATCCAAGCAACAACCTGGATGAATAGCCAGAGAATTCTAGGTGAAAAAAGCCAATCTCAAAGGTTCCAGGTTGTATGATTTTCTTCACATAACATTCTTGAAATGTCAGATTTATGGAAATGGAGCAGGATTCCTGGGTGGCTGGGGTTGGGTTGATGTGGGAGGGAGAAGGCGATGGAGACACTGGGTGCTTTCTGCATTGTAGTCAGTATCCCAGCCGTGGTGCCGTACCACAGTGTTGCAGAAGGTCACCATCGGAGGACCTGGGCAAAGGGGTACATGGGATCTCTGTTATTTGTTACAACCACAGGGGAAACACGATTATCTCAACGTAAGTAGTTTAATAAAAAAGGAAAAACAGTGGCACGCACCTGTAGTCCCAGCTACTTGGGACGCCGAGGCAGGAGAATCGCTTCAACCCAGGAAGCGGAGGTTGCAGTGAGCCGAGATTGCGCCACTGCACCCCAGCCTGGGCAACAGAGATAGACTCCATCTCAAAAAAAAAAAAACAAAACAAAAAAAACCGAAAAACAAAACTCAGCCACTGTGGCCTCTGCAGTCAGTCCTCAGGGGTCTACAGGGTATGGCCACGGGCCTTCTTCAGTGACGCCTGCCTGCCATGGCCCTGAGCTGCACCGCGTATGCTCTGCTGGCCTCTCCAACTACTTCCCTGGAGGCCACCCACATCCCTTCTCTCAAGGGTTCTTCTGTCCCTTCCCCTCACCACCCTCCCCAGGCAAATCTGGGATGCATGCCAGGATGAACCCAGCTGTCTCAACTCTGGGTTGCCCAACTGCCCCAAGCGGGTGGCCAGGGGCAAGGGACAGAGAAACATCTCAGCCTACTATACCCAGTGTTGTCAAGCTGCCACCACTGATGCGTCTCAGACGTGCACAGGTCTCTGGACACAGCCACCCCATCACAACCAGCCCACACAACATGCTTGGCTCTCACTCCGTGTGGCCTGTTTGTGGCTCCAAGAGAAGGGAACAGTCGGTGACAAGATCTCTAACGGTGGTTAACCCAGGTTTCCTGTCCCCTTGGACTCACCTGTCCTTAGACTGCAGTGGGTGGGGAGAAAGGTAGTCAGACATATTGCGCAATCCGGCACCAAAGAGGGCAGGCCTCAAACAGTCGATGCAGACAGGTGGGTCTCACTCTTCTCACCCCATCACATCCTGCCACCCAGAAGGCCCTCTATGGTCCCATGCCCCCTCACCTCCCATACACAAACATCTTCTATTCCATGGAATAAGGAGATTCACTGTCTCATACACAGACCCCTCAAAATCCCACACCTCCTTCAAGAACACTAACCGGCTCCAGGCCAAATGTATTCCTTCTCTCTCACAACACCACATCTCCTCGCTGGGGACAAGAATCCTGCCTCATCCAGTGAAGCACCCAGTACAAAGTTGGGCTCCAATGACCAAATAAATAAACACAAGTCTACAGGTACACTTATTAGTCACCCCCACCCAGCTGAAAAGGTAACTGCTCCCTAACAGCTCTGAGTGCTGCTGGAAGGCCCTCCCAGCCAAGACCTGGGCAAGCCAGGCTGCACTGCACCTCTGCCTCCCACACCTGAGCTCCCAGGTCACTAGGACAACGCTGGTCAGCACCCAGGAGTGAGGGACGATCAGCACTGAGGCGCAAGTAGACACAAGCCAGGGCCTGCCCCCGCACATGGCTGAATCCAACTTGTACTTCTCCTTTCTCGAGTCCAAGTCTCCAGTTGTGCCACTGTGTGCACTATGCCACCAAGGACAAGAGACAGGGTGTGGACAAAGCTGGCACTCAGACAGCAGCACACGGCCACATGCAAGAGCCACGATGCTTCCACACTCCTGATACAGTGAGCCCATGTCCAGAGCCTGGGCCTGAAGAACTCACAAAGAGAGAAGCAAACAGTCTCATTCCTGATGTGGGAAGAGCTCAACACCCAACAGAGAAACAGTTTCGAGAGTGACTATACATCTACTCCCTAACACGCTACCTGGCCATTAATTACCAGCGAGGACAAGGATTCAAGATGCCCTCCAGGGCACCGCCCACACTATCAACGCAGCTGGCCTGTCCTGCGCAGGCCTTCATGGCTCCGCTGCTCTGTCCGCTGGTGAACGGCACCCCCTGGAAGTGTGCAACAGAATTTCTCCAGCAGCTGCCCTGAAGCTGGCACCACTCAAGGCCCTGCAGATAAAAACATGAAGCACACACATCTCCCAAGGGGCTCGTGGTCAGTTCTGTTTATAACACATGTAAGGATGGACAAAGATTGAGAGTTGATGAGAAAACAGCTATTATGCGGACTGCCAAGATCAGCAGCAGGTTTGGGGGCTTTTGCTTGATTTTACCATTTTTGTAATGTAAATGCCACTACATGGCACTTACCAGTTATTATTTAAGGGAGGGGAAGATGCCTGCCTGACCGAGCACGCAGGACTTCTGATATAACCCTGGCAGAGTGGCTTCAATAGGGGAGATCTTGGTCATTCCTGGCAGAACAAGAAGTAGGTGTAGTTAGGGAACCCCTACACTCTACTGTCCACCAACAGGACCTCACAGCTCCAGGTATTTAATGTACACTGGCCTGGGAACGAGAAGGCCAATTCAAGTCTTGGCTCCACCACCTACTCGATGTGTGGCCCAGGGCAAGGCAGTATCTCTGTGATTCTCAGTTTCATAATCTACAGTAGAAAAATACACATACTCCTTCCATGCCATTTTTTATTAAAAAAAAAAAATGATCATGTCAGACACAAGCATACCCTAGGTAACTGCACAATCAAGAATGCCTCAAGGTCAGGAACATACACCCAACACTTGTACTGGTACTCAAACCAAAGCAGTGTTCACGGGAGTGCTCCACAGTGGAAGGAGCCAGTGGGAGCCCCAGAACAGCACCGGTCAGTCCAAGGGCTGCTGGGCTCCTGCTTCTGAGGGTGGGGCAGGCACCCAAACCCTACGCTGGCTCCCTCACACCAGGCTCCACCCCAGACTCCAAGCAGAGTGGTCATCCCCAGGAAAGTTCTTCAAAAGGAAAAGTTCCACACAGTCCTGAAGAAGGACCCACACCTGTAGGGGCTGATGCCCCAACTCTGGGCAGATTCTTGGGGCAAAGACTTCTCTGGACCAAAGGTGGGGGTGGGGGCTGCACTCAGGCACTGGATGGGACAGATGGCCCCTCACTGGAGTCACTGAAAGATCCATAAGCAGAATGCGTGCAAACCGTGGCTAATATATCCTCTGTAGTTTTCAGGTTGATTCTTGCCCTTTTCTTTTTCCCAAAAAGGTGTCTGTGGAAACACTTCCACACTCACAGCAAATAGGCTGTTTAATAATGTTCTCTGCATTTCAATTCCAAAGAGAAAGGATACCTGGGTAGCAGCCGTCTGGCCCTCTTTCTAAGCTTGTAAATCATGGGAGACTTCAAGGTTGTCCGTCTTTTCTGGGACATTCTGATGTAAGTCAGTAAAAGTCAGGGGTGAGCACACAGCAAAGTCCAGTCTCAAGCCTCACCCCTGCCAAGACCTTGTGTGTCCTGTGGCCACCCAGATGGACTGCAAGAGGATCAGTGGCTCTGAATCTCAGCACTTGGGGAGGGAAGCTTCTTGGCGGAGCTGTGCCCACCTGCCTCACCCACAGTGGGTTCTCAGCACACACCTCTGACCATGCTCAGAATGGGGGCTTCTCTTTCAGAACAAGCCTGCCAGGGCCGACGAACACTGGTCACCACTGCAGACCCCTCAAGAGGCCACAGGCTTGTCCTGTGTTGACCAAACTGTGCTAGAACTACTAAAAGTTGTCCATGGGGCCTTGAGTCCTGGAGAATACTGTTCTATTGCTCTACAGCCACACAGTTGTGGACCCAAACTACCTTCCTCAATATAGGCTTCCACAAACAGCCAGCCACTGTGCAGATACTAAAGATGGAGCTACAGCCCCCGCAAGTGTTTCAACATCATCAGGACCCAGAGCCCTGTCCCGGGAGGAAGCCAAGCCTCCGAGGGAGAACACCTGCTCACCAGCTGCCAGGAATGCATTCTGCAGGGAGGACATACATCCCAGCTATGGGAGCACGAGGGCAGGTCTGCACTCCTCCCCGCTGGCAGTGGAGCTGACCCCAGGGCTTAGGGCATATGAGCTCTCATGACCTCCATTTTATACCCCAGGAAACCGAGGCACACAGAGACTCAGTGGTCTGTCCAAGTAAATAGAGCCAGGAAGCAGTGGAAGCAAAACAGGCACCAAGGCCACCTGGTTCCACACTGGCCCTGGCCCATGGGACACTCCTCCCCAGTTTAGCAGGCCATTCCAGAAGGTAAAGGGTGACACAGGTGAAGGGCATGTTCCCAAGTGAGATGTGCTCCCAGGGGTAGGGGTCTGGTCCTCACCAGCACAGCACTCAGTTCTGCCCCACATCCATGCAGCTGGGGCCACGGCCCTGGGAGGCTGCAAGTGGGGGCTTAGGGACCCGGTGGGGCCCCAAAGCACATTGCCCATGAGGCACACATGGAAGGAAGAGCCCTACAGCCTTTACTTCCAGATGAGCCAGCCACAGACCACCCTCCTGCAGCACACACCCAGCCTGGCCATCTGCGCAGGAGGTCAGGAAGCTGGCGGAGATTGGGGGCTGTCCTCCAGAAGGACTCTTTCCTACCTGTGCAAAGACATCAAGGCTGGGTGCAGGCTACCACCTCCACCCACCCCAGGAAAAGCTGGGCCAATAAGCCACCTACTTCAGAGCCTCATCAGTAAGGTGCTCAACGTAATTTATTGTCTTAATTGGGAGTACTTGGGGAAGGAAAAGGGATTCTGCTAATTATGCCAGGACTGCTGGTCCCAGAACTCAGAACAGCCATGCCCACCCGGGACCCTGCAGACTGCAATTGGCTCACCTCCCAACTGGGCCACTCCCCATCCCCACATTCTGCTGCTCTCTATGGAGGCAGGTCAGGGATGCCCCTGATGTCTACCAGCCTCTGCAAGGCCACTGATGCAAAGTTCGCAAAGCCTCTGGGAATACCAACAAGGAGACGAAGACACGAAAGGTGGTGCAAAGGGAAAGGAACTCAGCACCATGCCAGGGAGCAAAGGGGAGGAGTGTGGGAGACTTCCCTGGGAGGGGGCAAATGACAGACTTCAGAAATGGAAGTCAGGGGACACCGTCTGTGGGAAGCTGACACAGCCACAGCCGAGCAGGCCCCAAGGCAGCGGCGCAGCCTGGAACAGTGAACTGCACTGCCCCTCCTATAGAGGCCGGCATGCTCCTCAAGCCCATGGCCCAACTTAAGCTCGACCAGTGGTCTGCAAAGGTGGGAGTCCCTGAGGCCCTTTTTGGGGTCCCTGAGTCAAAACCATTTTAATAAAAATACTAAAACATCCTTTGCCTCCTCTCTCACTCTTTCATGAGTGTACAGTAGAGCTGCCCAAAGGCTACACAGGACATGCTATGGCCACAGACTGTAGAAGCTCTGAGAACCCAGCTGTCTTTCATTATGGCAGACCGTAAAGAGCTCTGCAAAGAGTTAAAAATGTGAGGCTTTTCAGCAAATTTTTGTCTTAGAAAAGTTATTTTTCAGAATATATGTTACGTGACTACATAATAGGCTTATTGTTACTTTTAAGTGAATTCATGAATAAACTTTTTCAGTTTTAACTTCTAATACAAGAAATACCAATGGACATAACCCAGGTAAACTAAAGCGTTCTGAGGGCCTCAATAATCAAGAGCATAAAGGGGTCTGGAACCCAAAAAGTTTGAGAACTGCTGACCTAGCCACCCACTCCCCTAGCACGTCCCCACCCCTTCTGCACCTTTGCTTGGGGAGCAGCCCTGCTGATCCCACTTCTCAGTTGCCATGTGCCCAAACACAAACTTGCCTTTAAGTCTATCTCCTGGTTTCTACTCAAGAGTCCTTTCTATCCAACAGCACTGCCTTAAAAGGCGACATCTAACCCCAGACTTGCTCCTGGTGGCTGTGTTACATATGGTCCATCTGGAAATGAAACAGACTCCAAGGCACAGGCAGACAGGAAAACCTTTCTCTCAACAATGCGGACCTCTGCCTTGGTGAGGAGGCCAGGAGGAGGGGCTGTGACAGAGGCAACACCTGTTTCTCAATGGACCTGGAGCCCTCCCTGGGTCCCCACTCCCCACAGTCCCTGGAGCTCTCCTCCCTGGGTCCCCACTCTCCATGGCCCCTGGGGCTCTCCTCCCCGGGTCCCCACTCCCCACGGCCCTGGAGCTCCACTCCCCGGGTCCCCACTCCTAACAGTCCTAGAGCTCTCCTCCCCAGGTCCCCATTCCCCACGGCCCTGGAGCTCCCCTCCCGGGGTCCCTACTCCTAATAGTCCTGGAGCTCTCCTCCCTGGGTCCCCATTCCCCATAGTCTTAGATCCCCTCCCTGGGTCCCTGCTCCCCCTGGCCCCTAGAATCCTCTCCCCAGGTCCCTGCTTGCAAAGAGGGGCTTGAAGGACCACAAACATAAGCACCTTTACTGTGCCACAGGACTAACGTCCCTGAGCCTGTGGAGAGGAGTCAGAAAAGCAGGGGACTCCACTGGAATGTGCTTCTGTCCGTGTTCCCTAGAACAGCTCGACCAGCACTGGTGTGAAGGGCAATGCCTGAGCTACCCATCTGGGCCTCGGCTCCCACCCCTAAATCATCTCAGGTCACCTCTGTGAAAGGGATACCACTGGGGAGGGGCGTGAAGGATGCTTTGAATGGATGTCAGTGTTCTCTTTCTTAAGTTGGGTGGCAGGTTCACGAGCATTCATTTTTATTATTTAGATTTATATTGTAAATGTATGCTGCTTGTATCCTTTTGTGTACATCCAATATTGCATTCTATTAAAAAATATTACTGCAAGTATTAGAGTATATCAGCGGCTCTTCAAACTGTGAAGATCCCTGGAGGTCATGCTTCAGGGGCCACCTCGGGTGTAGGATGGGGCAGCGGGTGGGGGTCAGGGTGGTCTCATAGCTGATGCCATTCCTCTTCCTGTCCTTCAACATGAGAACATTCGTGCATCATATATGTGAGCTCCACGTTTCATTTCAAGGGGGTGGGTGTTTTGCTGCCAAAGAAATAAAGGTTGAAAACTGGTAACAGTGATGAACAGCGTAGCAAAGGCCTTTTCCCTCTAGCTGACCCCAAGGTCCTCTGGGGACCACTGTGGGGCTCTGTGGGCCCTCTGCCAGCAGCTCCCAGCACCTAGCACTGGGAAGGCACCGCGTCTCCCTGGGGTCTCCAGCCTTCAGCTCCCATGCCCCACAGCCCTCCTTCCAACAATGTTTAAGGATTAACTTGCCTCTTTCTTGGCAGTCAGATGATCTTCAGGTCAGACAAAAAGGGAAGAAAGAAGGCGTGTACCTCCGAGCAGCTGAGCCACCCCTGCACCGCCCCGTGACACTGCCTCATGGCGGCATTTCATGTGTGCGACTCTTGAGGGATGGTCCAGGAACCCAGTTTCCATCCCAGACTCCTCTGTGAAGAGCCCCAGGCTCTGGGCAGGCCTTATTTGGGACCCACCCATAGCCCTCCCACCCAGCAGTCTGCAGGGCTGACATGTGGCTCCAGGTGCTGATGCCAAACAGCTCACTGACAGAATGGCCACAGGCCAGCAAGTCCTCTCCTGGGGTCCGCTGAAAGGAGGTGTTCAGACAAATGCCCGCACACCTGTGTTCACAGCAGCACTATCCACAACGGCCAAAAGGGTGAAGCAATCCCACTGTCTACCATCCATACAAGGAATGAATTCTGACCTGTGCTGCAAGGTGGATGAACCTTGAAAGCATTAGGCCAAGTGCAAGACACCACAGACAAAAGGTCACATATGGTATGGTATGATTCTGTTTTGATGAAATTTCCAGAATAGGTAAATCCATTGAGGCACAAAGCAGATTTGTAGTTGCTGGGGACTAAAGGCGGGGGTGACTGCTTAATAGTTAAGGTGGGGGGTTCTTTTGGAGCAATGGAAATGTTTTCAACTGAAGAGGGGTGGCAGTTGTACAATACTGTAGGCTAAATGCAATGGAATTGTACATGCTAAAATGGTTAATTTTATGTTGCGTGAATTTCACCTCAAAAAAAAAACCCCTCAAAACCAAGGAACCACACACACAGTTCACCCCATCATAGCACGGGGACAGCAGGGCCCACAGCTGCTGGCTGGCTGTAAACTACCCCCAACTCCCACTGGGCTCCTGGCCTCCCTCTGCCCACACACAGGTCCTGCAAGCCCAGCCCCGGCCCCTGCCCCTGCTCCCCACTGTATTCAAGCTGGAGGGGGAAAGTGACATTTTAAAAGCCTCTTCCCTGTTTGGTCTTGACAAACAGCCCGTGGCCACAGGATTTTTGGAACATGACGCCATTCATGGCAAAGGGAAGAGGGCTGGAGAATGCGTGGGGACAAATTTCTGGGGCAACGTCTTCGCAGGGAAGAGTCACACCCTGTTCCTCAAAAAGCCGTCCTTCCCATTCAGAAACAGGTAGGACAGAAGCACGGTGGAAGGAGGAGCAAAAAAAGGGCAGGAAAGCTAAATGAGGTCAGCCCCACCCTTCCCCGCACATGCCAAGGTGGTCAGCCCCGCTCCTGGACACTAGGGGCCAAGGGGGCCACACACAGCCAGACATTGATGGTCTCAAGGCCAAGCTCAGTCCTCTCGAGTCATGTGGAGACAGGGAAGGCCTGGAGTCCCACAGCTGGGTTTCCTCCCGGCTTTGCCACCAGAGGAGCTGCTCTAGGCATATTATACTACCTCTCTCTACCCTTCTCTTAACTCCGCCTTCTGAGACTGCTGGAAATATAAATGAGCTAATAGTGGCCTGGCACATGGCAATTCCTGTCAGCTATGAATACCACCAACAGCGCCACAAAACAATGCCAGGGCAGGCCACCCTTCAGCAATTTCCGTATAGGAAAACCTCCACACCATAGAAGGCCAGGTGCTAGCTGGCCGGGCCCCCTAGGAAGAGGACTCCTAAGCTCCCAGGCTCACGGGGTTTCCAGGCGGGAAGGGAGATGTGGAATTGAGAAGTAGTGGGCTGTCTGCCGAGGTGACATCTGCCTATTAGAAGAGCTCGTTCTCAGGCTCAAAAGAAGAGACTCCTCCTGTTTAGATCTCATAGAAGGGTCCCCTCAGCAGAGGTGCCTTTCCCTGCAAGGGTGAATGACTTGTAAAGGCTGGGGGTAGGGTGGACAGAGAGGCTGGAAGGACCTGCCTGCCAGCTGAGGGGACCCACTCAACACTGGTGACCAGGGGGCCACGAAACGTCCTGGCCAGATCTCCCACCCACCCAGTGATTTGGGACTAGACCCGGCTCCCCAGCTCTGGGATCCTCTCTACCTTCCTTGGGCATTTCAACCAGGCCCGGCACAAGGATTTTCCTTCCCAGACAACTGCAAGGCAGTTGCTCCATGGATACGAGTGGGATAAGCATGGCTTCTCTTAATCTTCTCCCACACTGCCCATGGCAACTCATACACCCATCAAAGAAATTCCTAAAATTGGGATCTGCTCTGCCCTTCATGGGACCTGCATGACTTCTCTGGGCTTGACAGGGGCACAGAAGTGGCCTCTAACATTAAATCCTAAGCTGATGAAGCCTGGCCCCTTCACTTCCTACCCTCTAAAAAAAAAAGAAATTTTTTTTTTTTTTTGATACAGGGTCTCGTTCTATTACCCAGGTTGGAGTGCAGTGGCGTGATCTCAGCACACTGCAACCTCCACCTCCTGCCTCAGGCAATCCTTCTACCTCAGCCTCCCAAGTAGCTGGGACCACAGGCATGTGCCACCAAGCTTGGCTATGTTTTTTACTTTTTTGTAGAGACAGGGTTTCCCTGTCTTGCCCAGGCTGATCTCGAACTCCTGGGCTCAAGCAATCTGCCCACCTTGGCCTCCCAAAGTTCCGGGATAACAGGTGTGAGCCGCAGCACCTGACCTAAAAATTCTTAAAATCAGTTCAGTCCTTACACAGCAGGTCCTCAAATAATGCCATTTCATTCAACATTGATTTGTTATAACAATGTTGAGGAAAAAAAAAAAAGAATTCCTGCACCCACTGCCTGTGTGGAGTTTGTGTGCTCTCACGACTCCGTGGGTTTTCTCTGTACTCTGCTTTCTTTCACATCTCAGAGATGTGCACATTCAGTGAACTGGACATCTAAGTGGTCCCAGTCTGAGCAGGTGTGGGTGCAAGTGTGTCCTGTGATGGAACGGCGTCCTGTCCAGGCTTTGTGCCCTGGGAGAGGCTCCAGCTACCGGTGACATTGAACTGGAATAAGCAAGCTGGAAAACGCATGAATGAATACAGGTAACTGCCTACTAAAAAGTCATCAAGTCTACGATAATCACACAAACACATGACAATAAACTATGCAGTAAGAAGCACTCAGCCAGCCCACCGCTTTTGTCCTTGTTTTTGAACTTCCTGGTGGTAGGAGGTATGCCTTACAATTTTCACTTTGCAGACATTTATTCCTTGATTTAACCTACCACCATGACTGTCATCACTCACTGTCATCACTCACCAAAACTTGTATAGATAATGATCTTACTTGTTTTTATTCATCTTCCTGAAATGTATATAATAGCTCACATGTATTTCCATGTTTAATATTAGAAATACTTTGGATCTTTATTTAGAAGTTTGGTTAATTTTTATAACCTGAAATATGCCGTAGAAACTTAAATCCTGTTTATATCAATTAGCTTATGATAAAATTGGTTTGGTTGTGTGTTGTTATGCTTACAGTAGCAGTTTCCAAGAGCCCATCAATGACGGTGAGGACTTACTGTACTTACACATTCTGAAAAATCAAACACACACAAGGCAAACTGACTACTTCCTTCCAGTCCTCAAGGGGCTGACATAAGAAAGCTGCTAGGGTGGTGCAGAGCAGCTCAGTGGGAGAGGAGACAGCCTGAGCATCTGTTTAATGGGCATGGGCCTGAGCTTCTGTTTAATGGGCATGGGACAGACAGAAACAGGTTTGAGGGCCAGCTTGCCCACAAAATCACAGTGGAAGGTCCCCTCCCTGGGCTGTTTTCTCTGCAGTAACCTAAGAGGGATGGGGACCTGGTGCTCCCCGCACTGCCCCTGCCCCATCTCGCCCATGGCCTGGCCCATGGTGGACATTCAAGAGCAGATGGGCCAGCATGCTAAGTGAGAGCTTCCCAAGGGCAAGATCCGTGTCCCACACACAGCTCCATACTACATGGTTTATTGCTGATAAAACGGACCCCATTTACTAAGCACCCACCATATAACCCAGTATTTACAAACTCTGCCCTTGCCACAGATCCTGCGGTTGCTGAGGACTTTGGAAGCATCTTCCTGCATCCTCATCAGGACCCAAAGCCATGGGTACTATTATTATAACCCCCCAGTTTTCAGATGAGGGGCATAGATGCTTCAGCTCTAAGTAACTTGCTCCATTAGCATGGAAAATGGAGCTAGAATGGAAACTCAAATCTGGGCTCGCCACCATTCCAATTCCCTTGCCTGGGCGCACTGAAATGAAAAGTGGGACTGTGTCAGATTTCTAGGTCAGAGCAGGTCCCCAAGCAGAAGCCATGCAAATGCCCTGACCCACCCCTCCCGCGGCCCTGAGGCTCCTGAGCCTCAAGTGGCTCACCCAGTCCTGATAGTGAGGCTCTGGGTATGGCATCAGGAGACCCAGGAGACATGGCCCCTTTCTCTGGCTCAGCTGGGGCTCCCTGCAGCTGCTCCCCCTTCCCTTGGCCCCTTTATCTATGGGAAGGACCACGAGGAGGTCAGAAACCTTGTGTGGAAAGTGCGCCACGGTTGCTTGTGGGTCTGTTAAATCCAGTGCCTCAGAACCTACAGAGATCAAGGACAAAGCTATTTCCTGATTCTGAATTCCTCTTTCAGAGGAAAAAATTGTGCTTCCTGTTCAGAGCTGTGCCAAAGGTGTGGCTGCTGCCTAGGCCAGTAGCCCATGTTGGGGATGTGGGGCACCCCGAGGCTGAGGAGAGGTGAAGATCTGGGCGATGCCCTGCACAACAGCCTGCACCGTTCACACACACGCCCCACCACACACTCAAGAACTAAGGAGTCCAAGTTGGGGCAAGGCCCTGTTCCTGATAGCAAAGGTTAACACTTATTAGAGACAAGGTGGCCAAACAGGACTTTGGAAAAAATCGTGCTGGACTTCCTGTGACCTAGGCAGGTCGCTGAACCTCTGCTGAACCTCTCCAGGTCTCGGCGGCTCCATCTGCTAATTGAAGACAATCCCTCACCTGCATAATGTGGGGGAAAGGCAGGGAGGGCAGGTGCAGACAGCCCCAGCAGGTCCCTCTTCCCAGGGCTAGGAACTAGAAGTCCAGGAAACAGCTGTGATTTATTCTGCAGCACTGCAATATACCAATCTCCCTACTACCCATCTGCCCCGGGGCCAAACAAAAACACTAAGGAGTTTACAAAGCAAAGTGGCCTTCCCAAGGACAGGGAGGATGAGTCTGGAGCCAGGGTGGAGTCTGGAGCCAGGGTGGACTCTGGCACGGGAGCCTCATGGAGCTGAAATCTGTATCACGGCCCCATTGCTGAGCAGCTCAGTGACCTTGGGCAGGCCGCTCAACCACTCTGAAAACTCAGGGTCCCCTCCTCCGAGGGAGGCCTTGCTGCCACCAGCCCTGCTGGCCACCCTTGCCTGCTGAGGTCTGTGTGAAATCACGGGCTATGACACAATATAGTAGGTAGAGGTTCAAAGGATCCGGCAGGCCCATCCACTCAGAGTCTCGCTGCAAAGCAGCTCTGACACCAGGGCCACCTCTGGCACAGCATGCAACCGCCAAGCTGCGCCCAAGGGGAAGGAGCCAGAAGGGTTACAGGCTCCAGGCAAAAACCAGGCTGTGGTTTCATGTGAACTAGGATGACCCTGACTGAGAAAACCAGTGAGTGGTTTGGAAGATTTCAGTTCCAGCTTCCAGAGACAAAATGTCAGTGAATCAACCCCCTAGGTGCTCTTGCCCCCAACGGAAGTGACAATGCCTTGAGAGCTCTGGGTAGGGCATGGGGGCTCCATTCCAGAGCAGCTGTAAGACTGCCTCAATTGCTAAAACTGGAAAAAGCACAAAATCTAGGGCAGAGTTTTCGAACCTGCCCCAAATGGCCCCAGAGATGACCCAAGGCCCTCCCCCGCCACCCCGCCCCAGGATGGGAGGCCAAGCTCCAGGCTTTGGCTGCCTTGCCCAGAGCTGCACTGCTTTTGATGAAAGCTTGAAAACCATCCACCTGGTCCAACGGTGTCATTCAGCTGAGAAAGAGTGGCTTGGGGAATGAGTTTCCCAGGATAAGAGAAGAGCCCGTTTTCTTAGGTCAGATGCTTCCAAATTAGCACCCAATGATCCTCCATGTCCAGTAGTAGGATGTCTTCCCCTGTGCCTCGCTGCCACACTCTCTCCCTCTTTCAAGACTAAGTGGCAGCTTGGGAACAATTTAAACATTCTGAGTTAAATTTCTTTATTTCTGCTAAAGAACATGAGGTTGCCCAAAGAAAGGCTACTTCCCCCAGAGGCGGCAGCCAGCGTGCTTCCTGGAACATCCCTCACCACATGGGGGGCTCAGGAACTCCCCATTCCATCAGCACACTACTCTGCAAAGAGAAGGCAGGCACCCGCTTTACAGGTGGGAGACATAAGTCACCTTCCTGGGTCACCCTGCACATTTGTGTCAGGAAGAGAACATAGGCCTTGGACTATAGTCCTTCTGTGTGGCAAGGGAAAGAGAAATCAGAGGAAAAGATCAGGTAACAGGCTAGAACCCAGGGAAAAAAGCTAGGGTGCAATTACATAATACTGGAACATTGCACGTCCAGTTTAGAGGGGGATACGCCAGCCTGCCCACCACGGCCCTCACCGGCTCCCCACAGGACAGGCCTGAGGCCCTGGCAAGGACCTTCCTCCCTTCTGCCCCTAAACTCTGCCTCTGGGCAGGGAGTGGGGATCAGAGCCCAGAAGAGAACTTCTAACACACCAAAAGAAGCCATCAAAGATGTGATAGTCAAAGAAAGAAACTTCAAAAGTTGGCAATAGACACCAAGGGCCAAGGAGGAGTGGGGACACAAACAGGAGTAACAAGTCCCAGAGAAGCAGCACTCCAGGAACCTTCCAACCCAAGGCCCAAGGGAGGGACGGAGGAAACTCACCACCACCTGTGGCACCCCAGGGCTGCCACCAGGACTGCGGGCAGCGGCCACACCACCAGGCTACTAAGCAGTGGGAAAGTGGCTCGTCTGAGCTGAAATGTGCTGTAACGTAAAATGCGCACGTCATAACTTTTTTGCATGGTGTAATGACAGTATTTTGGATATATCTGGTTAAATAAAACATAATTAAAATTAATTTCACCTCTTTTTTTTTTTTTTTTTTTTTGAGACGGAGTCTCACTCTATTGCCCAGGCTGGAGTGCAGTGGCGCAATCTCAGCTCACTGCAAGCTCCGCCTCCCGGGTTCACACCATTCTCCTGCCTCAGCCTCCTGAGTAGCTGGGACTACAGGCGCCCACCACCACGCCCGATTAATTTTTTGTATTTTTAGTAGAGACAGGGTTTCACCGTGGTCTCGATCTCCTGACCTCGTGATCCACCCGCCTCGGCCTCCCAAAGTGCTGGGATTGCAGGCGTGAGCCACTGTGCCCGGCCCCGACTAATTTATTGTATTTTTAGTAGAGACGGGTTTCACTGTGTTAGCCAGGATGGTCTTGATCTCCTGACCTCGTGATCCGCCCGTCTCGGCCTCCCAAAGTGCTGAAATTACAGGCGTGAGCCACTGCACCCGGCCCCTCTTTTTACTTTTTTAACGTAGCCGCTGGAAAATTTAAAATTTCCTATGTGGCTTCCATTACAGTTCTAGAGGACAGGGCTGGTCTGAGGGGTGGCACACTGTGCCCCTGTGCCAAATTGGCCCACCAGCTGCTTTTCTAAGACCCCAAAACCAAGAATGGCTTTTACATTTTTAAGTGGCTATATCCTACACAACCTCCTCGATTTTGCCTGTTGGCCTGCAAAACCTAAAATATACAAGATTTCTTTTGAGTAAAAGGCTCCGGGATTTGATGAAAGCTTGAAAACCACCGACCTGGTCCAACTGTGTCATTCAGGTGGGAAAGAGTGGCTTGGGGAAGGAGTTCCCCAGGATAAAAGAAGAGTCCTTTATAAAAAAAATTGCCAAGCCTTGGTCTAGACTCTAGAAACAATCAGATATTCACTCCAGGTGACACAAGGAGCAGAAGGCAGGTGTGTGTGTGTGAGAGAGCGATTCTTGTACAGACAGTCCCTGACTTATAATTTTGACTTTGTGATAGGTCTGATGGGTTTTACCTGGATGTACCCCCACCATAAGTCCCATCATAAGTCAAGAAGCATTTGGAAGTGAACAATTCAGGGGCATTTAGTACATTTCACAAGGCTGTGCAACCAGCACTTTTATCTAGTTCCAAAACATTTCATCACCCCCAAAATAGAACCCCAGTCTCATTAGCAGTCATTCCACATTGCCCACCCAACCCTCAGGCTCTGGCAACAACCGATCTGCTTTCTGTTTCTACAGATTTACCTGTTTTGGACATTTTACATAAATGGAATCACACAGTATGTGACACATGACCTTTCATGTCTGCCTCTTAGCGCAATGTTTTCTAGGTTCGTCCATGTTGTGGCATGTCTCAGTACTTCGCTCCTTCTTAGAACTGAATGATATTCCATGGTATGGATACACTATGATTTGCTTATCTACGCATTAGTGGATGGACACTTGGATTGTTGCTGCCGTTTGGCTATTGTGAGTAGTGCTGTTATGAACATTTGTATACAAGTATCTGTTTGAATACACCTGTCCTCAATTCTTCTTGGCATATACCTAGAAGTGGGAATGCTGGCTCACGTGGTAGGTTTTATGCTGAACTTTTTGAGAAACCCCCAAACTGTTTCCACAGCAGCTACACCATTTCATTCCCACCAGCAACGTGCAAGAGTTATAACTTCTTCACATCCTCGCCAACATGTTATATTCTTATTTTTTTAATTCTAGCCATCCTGACAGGTATGAAGTGATATCTCACTGTGGTTTCAATTTGGGTTTCGCTGATGACAACGCTGAGCATTTGTCATGGTGCTTGGCCGTCTGAAATGGGATTTTGTGTGTCTGAGATTTTTGACACGCTCCCTGCCAAGCAACACACCAACTCCTGTTACAGATCTTCTACAAGGGGGGGATGCGAAATCTCCCCGTTGTTTCTGAGATACACATTAAGTCAAATCAGGAAGTCCTATGCCTTAGAACTTCTACGAATGTCTACAGGAACAAAGGGAAACCTGATGAAATGCTTCCCTGAGACCTCGTCCTGGCCCACACCCTCTATGTCTGAAATTCCCACCTGAGGCCCCCGCAGCTTTGGAGCCTTGGCAGTGGGGTATGGGCACAGCAAGGGCAGAATCACACCAGGAAGACTAAGAACCCTGGGAGAGATCAAGACCGAGCTCATTTCCAGATGGGAAAACAGGCCTGAGCAATGAAAATGACCCAGCCAAGGTCCCACAAAAAAACAGGGCTAGACAAAGAAGTAGAAACAGGCTTGCAGGCTCCTTCCACAGAGGCAATGCCTGAAGTTACACAGTCAGCAGGAGAAAGAGACATCACCCCCAGATCAACACGCGGATGTAGAAGCTGAGCACCCTGGGTTCCAGACCTGCTTCTCCCACTAATGCCCACCCCTCTGATTCACCTCCCAGCCTCTGCACCTGCTCCCCTTTTGCCTGCCCACTACATGGGGGCTTCCTAGGCTGGTTCCTCTCCTTTCACTCTATGCAGCCTCCTGAGTGCTCACACTCACTCCCATGATTTCAGCAACCACCTCCACATCCAAGACTTAAGAATTCCAACCCAGCCTCCCTCTACGTCCATAAGGGTCAAACTTACCATATTATTTTTTACCCCTCCCCATCCCCCAAGTTTACTCCAAATCTGTTCTTCTCAATCTCTGTTAAAGGTACTTCTAACTACCCCAGGTTCCTCAACACCCACCTCTGATCAACCAACAACATCCTGTCCCTAGAGTCTGATTCCTTCCATCCTCACCAGCACTGATCTGGAGAGAATGCCTTGATTGTAATTTACCCAGTTTAATAGCCTCCAGTAGATCTTCTGCCTTTAACCAGAATTATTTTCCTAAAAAACAAGTCTGATAGATTAAAAAGCTAAGTATAAAAATAGCTATAAAAGAATATGAGAAATTATTTTACAAATCTTGGAAAGTAGGCCTTAAACATGACATTAAAACTACAAACTATTAAAAAAAAAGACCAACTGCATTTATATTATGAAAAAGAAAAATAACCACACAAAAAAGACAAGTGGCATTCTGGGAAAAAATACCTGCAATACGTGGCAAGCATCGGATTAATATCTAGTTCAGGGTCAGCAAACTATGGCTCACAGGCCACACATCATGCCAGCTGCCTGTTTTTGTAAATAAAGTTTTTTAAATTTATTATTATTATTACTTTTTTGAGAAGGAGTCTCACTTTGTTGCCCAGGCTGCAGTGCTGTGGCACGATCTTGGCTCAATGCAACCTCTGCCTCCTGGGTTCAAGCAATTCTCGTGCCTCAGCCTCCCAAGGAGTAGCTGGGATTACAGGCATGTGCCACCACACCCAGCTAGTTTTTGTATTTTTAGTAGAGACAGAGTTTCACCATGTTGGCCAGGCTGGTCTTGAACTCCTGACCTCAGATCATCCACCCACCTCAGCCTCCCTAAGTGCTGGGATTACAGGCATGAGCCACTGCGCCCTGCCGGTAAATAAAGTTTTACTGGAACACAGTAACTCATTCGAACTCATTCGTTAATGTGTTGTCTACGGCTGCCTTTGTGATGAGACGGCAAAGTCTGCACAGTTGTGACAGAGACCATATAGCCCACAGACACTAAATTATATTTACTATTTGGCCTTTTACCAAAAAAGTTTGCAGACCCCTGACCTAAAGCACTTATAGAAAGCTCCTACAAATCAACTGGGGGAAAAACTAACCTTACAGAAAAATGGGCAAGCAATACGAACAGGCAATCCACAAAAGAAACAAAAATACTCAGTAAATACTATAAAAAAGGCTCAACTTCATGAGTAATTAGGAAAATTATTAGAGAATTAAATCATTTGATAATATCCAGTCCTGGAAATGTTATCACACAGCCTTTTTTGGAAGGCAATTTCGTGGTATCTGAAAAAAAAAATTTATGCGCTTGATGTCAACCCAGCCATTCTATTTATAGGTATCTGCCCCCAGAGAAATACTTGCATTCATGCATGCACGCACACACACCCAGAAGTATTTATAAGACTCTTTGCCGAAACATTCACTGTATGTAACAGCAAAACCCATAAGCAACCTTGATGTCTATCAATAAGGAAACGGGTTAAATTATAGTACACTCCTAAAGGCCTAATATGCAAAATGGTTCTGGCATCTTTATATGCAACACCATGAAAAGAACGTAAAGATATGCTGATAAGCAGAAAACAAAAAATATGTCGCAGAGCAAATACATGCACACAGTTCAGGATAAAAAGGTTTAACTGTATATTTGAGCTGGGCACAGTGACTCACGCCTGTAATCCCGGCACTTTGGGAGGCCGAGGCAGGCGGATCACGAGGTCAGGAGATCAAGACCATCCTGGCTAACACAGTGAAACCTCGTCTCTACTAAAAATACAAAAAATTAGCCAGGCATGGTGGCGGGTGCCTGTAGTCCCAGCTACTCGGGAGGCTGAGGCAGAAGAATGGCATGAACCTGGGAGGCGTAGCTTGCAGTGAGCTCAGATCGCGCCACTGCACACCAGCCTGGGCAACAGAGCGAGACTCCGCCTCAAAAAAAAAAAAAAAACTGTATATTTGGGTCCGTATGTCGCTGAGAAATGCACAGGAAAACTGGAGGATAAATGACACTCTGTGAACAGGGGCCTGGAACAAGTAATAAAGGACGGTCACTTATCACTTATCCCAGATTACTCCAAATTTCCGTGAGGAGGAAAAGGCAAAGAACTCCACTGCTCCAAGCCAGCATTCTCAAGGCACCTCCTGCAACATAACTATCCCTGACATTATTGTCCTCATCATGTGCTCATGGTGTGGCCACTGTAGACCCTGAACAGGAGTAGGGGAACTAACATTGGCTTCAGAATCCTGGCTCCATCCCTGAACTGGGCAAGTCACTTCCCTTCTCTGGGTTTCAATCTTCTCACCGGTAAGAGGAAGTGGTTACATTAGCTGATCTCCAAGTCCCTTCCAGGTCTGATGCCATAATACAGTCCCTGCAAGAGGTTTCTGTGCCTCTCTAGGGGAAAAACAAACAAACAAAACCCACAGCTGAGGAAATAAACCTCAAACCAAAAGGCTCAGAGAAATGTCTGCTCCTGGGAAGATGACATCTCCAGAGCAAAAGCCGGCCAAGGCTGCCCACCACCTCCCTGGGCCCAGTATCCTCTCCTCTTAAGGAGGGAGTGGCCTCGATGGTGGCTGATGTATCTTCCAGCTTTGACGGTCTAAAATAAGCTCCAGGCTGGGAGGGGCAGCAGGAAGCAGGGGCTTGGGGGAGACTGATGGGAACCGATTGGTTGAGGTTTTCTAATGGAGCCATAAGGATGAGAGTGAGAGGGAGGGCCGGATGCAGAGAGCAGCAGAGAAGGCTGTTGGCAACAGCCCTGAGTCTCCCTCCTCTCTTTTCAAGAGCAGTTTCTTCCTGAAAGATCCCAGGAGGTAGAATGCTGGGCTAACCTCTCCCAGCACAAATAACCCCACTCATTATTTCAGAAACTACCATTCCAGTTGTGCCCTGAAGGTCTCAGGCCTGTTTCAAAACCCACAATTCAACTTTGAATACAGTGAGAGTACAGTATTTTAAGTTTGCCTCTCCCCGTGAATCCAATTAATAATCAACAGATTAAAAAAAATCTTAGCAGATTGGACTCAAACATGCAGATTCCATCCTAGTTTATCTAAGCTTAAGAATTCGAAAACAGCCCCTATGAGGTGTAAATTTACCAATTTTGACAGTTGCTTAGAATAACCAGGAAACTTACAAACCTCTCTCAGAACAACCCTTGCCCAGAAACTTCTTAAAGTGGCAGGTTTTTTTGGTTTGTTAAATTGTAAGAGAAAAAAGTTTCATAAAATATCATTTCTTGCTTTTCACAAATGCTCAGTGAAGGAGGTAAGCCAGGGACCAGGATTCCCAATTTACAGATAAGGAAATTAAAAGATACAGAAGTAAAGGGATTTGTTCAAGGTCACACAGCTGGAAGTGACAGCCAAGACCTGAAGCAAAGTCTCCTAACAACTCCTCATCGCATAAACTGTTTCATCCAAAAAAGCATCCAGATGAGAAGAAGGAATCAAGTTCTCCTTTACACTCCAAAACACCCTCCGAGGTAAATGAGTTCTATCCGTCCCAAGCTGACCGTCCTTAAAACCCTTGGTATCTTAACCATCTATGACTTTGCAGCCTTGAGTGTTTCGTTAAGCTTTTGGGGTTTAGATGAAAGGAATCTTTTCCTGGCAGTTGGAAACCTGACCTCAGAGAAAGGCCCCGTGCCCCAGGCCGTAACCCCTGCCCCACCACCCTACTCCAGTCGGCCATGTAAACAAGTCAAACCCTGGGTGCACTGAAGTGGCATTAAAAACAACCAGGCCCGTTCACTCGTTTTCAGTCTAAGGGGTTCTTCTGCGACAGGAGTGGCTACAACTAGGTCACACTGGACTGGAATGTGAAGGGACTTCCCCTGGCTTCATTCAGGAGGCTGAGAGAAAGCTCTGAAGAGGATGGAGATGATGGCCGTGGGGAGGGTACCGAGGCACATCCCAAGGAGGTGCACACAAGGCTCGGAATCCTGGAACACTAGGAGTTCAAACAGCAATCACTGCAGGGGTTCCCAAGGGCCATGGGGGCTGCAGCCAAGCCTCTTGGAGCCTTTCATCAATACAAATTCCCCATCTCCCCAGTCACTCCAGGGCGGGGGCCCCAGAACTCTGTGTTTAATGGCTATGACTCTAATGCACGTTTGGGAGTCATAACTAGTTCAAAGCCCTGTTTGACAGTTAAGGCTGGGAGACAGAAATCAACTTTCCCGAGGACCCACAGGTCTCCTCACCCCTCGGCCAGTGACCAGGGAACTGGTCCCAGCTCCCCGCTAAACTACGGCCTGCCAAACTAAGTTCAAGAACAAGACCCTCCTCGCCAGATTTGGACACCCCTTCACCTCTCTCCAGTGCTTGACAGTGACGATGATTCAGAATCGGGGCAGGCTGCGTCCCACTAGACGGAAGCCCACAGTCCTCCCCAACAATCCGACCCCTGGGCCACTCTGGCTGGACAAATCCAAGTCCAGTCCCAAGCCAGAATCTCAGGGGGGTCCCGTCAAGCGGCATGCAATCCCTAAGCGCTTTGTTCCTACTAAGCGAAACCAGGCACTTTTGAGTCACCCAAAAAGCATGAATCACACAGCCGGGCAATGGGAACGGGAAAGGATGTTATTTTTCGGCATACTCGAGGATTTTCCCTTTGTCCCAGCTCTGTCAATGCACTTCCCGTCCCCGTCCCCATGCCCCAGGACTCGCGCATTTCCCTGCTCCATTTTTATTTTCCCTGCAGCCCTTGGCGGCGCCCCGGCCGCCGACCCGCGGCTCCCAGAACGGAGGTGTCCGGGCCGGCCCCAGTCGCTCACCTGCGTCAGGTCCTCGTCGTTGAGCAGATGCGACTCGCGGGGCTTGAAGCAGTTCTGACACTTGCTCTTGTTGAAGATGTTGGCCTGGAATTTCCTGCACGGGTTCTCCTTGGCTGCCGACATGGTCGGCGCGGCGGCGACGGCGGCGGCGGCGGCGGCGCAGGCCTGGCCGGCCTGGCGCTCCCGGCGGGCTAGGGGCTCAGCGCGGCCGCGCCGCATCCCTCGCCGGCCCCGCCGCAGGCCCGGCCCGGCCTCCTTCCCGGCGGGCGGTTCGCTGCACGCGCCGAGGCTCCTGAGCCGCCCGGGCCTCACAGCGCGCGCGACGCCCAGCTCCCGCCCGCACCGCCGCCGCCCGGCCGCCGCGGGCCCATGGACGCGGCCTCGGGCCCGCTGCTTCCCGCTGCGGCCCGCCTCTCAGGCTCCGGTCGCCGCCGTCCCGGCTCGTCCGCGCCGCCGCAGCTGCCCTCGGCGCCCCGCGGCCGCTGCAAATGGGACCGGAGCGCCTCACGCACTACGGGGGCGGGCGGGCGGGCGGGCGGGCGGGCGGCCGGGCGCGGGGAGGTGCCGGGGCGTACGGGGCGGGGCCGCGCCCGACGCGATCGGCAGCCCCACCGGCCAATGGGGTTGGCGCGCTCTCGCTAACAAAGGAACCTCTGGGCCAATGGCAGTCGGGGGCGGGACCGAGGGCCGCCGAGCGCAAGGTAAGTTGTGCAGGCCGGGAAGGTGGGGGCGCCGGCATGGGACGTTCAGGTTTGGTGGACTGGCGCCGAGGCCGGCCGGGCTGACAGCTGCAGGGCCCGGGCGGGGGATGCGGGGGAAGGCGGAGCCGACCTCAGGCTGCCTCTCTGCAACCCCCTCGCTCCCAGGCTCGCCTTCCCGCGCCCACGCTGTACACCCAACGGAGGCATCTTCCCCAAGCCCAGCTCGGAGAGGATTAGTTTAGCACCTACTGTGTACCAGGCCCCCTCGTAGGAGTCAGTTAGCGTCGGGAAGGGCTGGATACTCCAAGGGCTCGCTCATTAAAGGTTCGCAACCTCTCCTTTCTCATCCCCATTTTACATAGGAGGAGACTGAGGAGCAGAGAAGTAACAGCGGGTAGTATTTCAAGGGATGACTAAGAGAAGATGTCAGCGGACTTGAAGAGCTGTCAGCTCCATTAGGGGAGATGAGCGAAGGCTGACTCTCTGCCAGGTGCTGAGCTAGGCATTCTTTCCCCCATGATGTGCTTGAGGAAATGAAGGGTCAGACACCTGGAGTAATTTGTGTAGGATCACTCTGCTAGGAAGGGGCCGAGCTGTCACTCCCGTCCTCCATTGTCCAGCCTCCTGGCCAAAAGACAACCTGGAAAAGGCTGTCAAAGGCTCAGGCAGAAGGTTGCAGGAGCCCAGAGAGGGGAGAAATGCGCTCTTTAGAAAAATTCGGGTGGCTTCAAGGAGGAGGGGAAGTTTAAGTGGACAGTGAGAGGGTTGAGTGTGGCTGGAAGTGGAGATAGGGGAAGAAGGAGCAAGAGGGATTGGAAGAGGGCTCTATCACCCAGGCCTTGTATTCCAAGCCCAGGCGTGCACATGTCATCCCACTGGCAGCTGGGAGTCATGGTGAGTCTTTAAACAGGGGGGTGAGCTAACCCAGCCTTCACGGAGGAGGTGACATTGGAGCATGTGGTAGTGGCAGCCACAGCAGCTGTCGCTCAGGGAATGGAGGAGGTTTTAGGAGGAGAAGTAGCAAATGCTTCCAGAGCTGTGTACTTTTCCACGGATCATCTGGTAAATATCCCAGGGAGGTGGATTTCAACTTAGTGTAAGAAAATGCTTTTCCTCAAAAGGGAGCTGTGGGAAGGCAGATCAAAGTCCTTTGGCAGCCTAAGGGGGAAAGCCCAGCTCCACCAGGCAGGAGCTCTGTGGCCTCGGGCAAGTCCCTTAACCTGCCTGGTGCCTCAGTGACCTCATGTACAAAATTGGCATTAATTAATTAATGTGAACATTAAATGATATAATGCTTGTTAAGTAGCATAATGTTAATTGGTGAATCTAGGCAAAAGGTGTTTATTGTACTATTCTTTTTTTTTTTTTTTTTTTTTTTTTTTTTTGAGACGGAGTCTCGCTCTGTCGCCCAGGCTGGAGTGCAGTGGCGGGATCTCGGCTCACTGCAAGCTCCGCCTCCCGGGTTCACACCATTCTCCTGCCTCAGCCTCCCGAGTAGCTGGGACTACAGGCGCCCGCCACTACGCCCGGCTAATTTTTTGTATTTTTAGTAGAGACGGGGTTTCACCGTTTTAGCCGGGATGGTCTCGATCTCCTGACCTCGTGATCCGCCCGCCTCGGCCTCCCAAAGTGCTGGGATTACAGGCGTGAGCCACCGCGCCCGGCCTTATTGTACTATTCTTGCAACTTTTCTGTTGCTTTAAATTTTTGCAAAATAAAAAAGGGACGGAAGACTGACAATTCTGCCCTGCAGAGAATACTCAGAAACTGATAGAAGAGGTGGCCACTGGGGAGGGGAGCTGGGTGGTTGAGAGGTGACCTACTTTTAATTTTCATTGCAATCCCTTTTGTTTCTGCTGAATTTAGTATTGTCTGCATGTACAACTTGTTTAAAAATATATATATACATACATATATATATATATATATATATATATTTTCTTTCTTGATGTCCTGCCCATTCCTCAAGGCCACCTCCCTTAAAGTGCTCAGCATGTTCTGCTCAGGTCAGTAGGCACATCCAGCACCTGCACTGGACTGGAGGGGTCCACAGTAGGGGCGCAAAGAAGAGTTTCATTCAGCAACTCAGAGGCAGCCTGCCCGGCAGGAGCCCACACTCAAGCAAGTGGAGACAAACAGAAACAGGAGACAGAGAAGTTCAATCCGGGGTGTTGTGGGGGCCCACACAGGGGCACCCAGCCCCGTAGGCAGCTTCAGGGAAGGCTCCTGGAGGAGGCAATGCCTAGGCCGAGTCTGGAGCTGAGTAAGACCCAGCCAGAGAAGGTGAAGGGAAAGACACGTCAAACTGGGGCACCAATTATAGAGTCTCAGGCCTTGAAACCAAAGGGTGTGTTCATGAACAGAAGCAGCTTTCTATCACTGGGTAGTTCAGAGAGGCAGGAGTGACCAGCATTGAGAGGCACTGGGAGGAGTAGTGGATGGTGCAAGCCTAGCCTCTTCAGGGAGACAGGTATGGTTTTTGTTGTTAATACTATTTCATCTCCATTTTATAGAAGACACACACGAGGCTCAGGACATATCAGGAACTTGCCTGTGGTCACAATTATAGATCCTACAAGTGAAGATTTGAGCCCACACAGGCCAGCACCGGAGCTGCCTGGGCCAGGGGCAGTCATCAATTTTGAATTTTTTTCGGCTGAGCACTTAGGTAAGGGCTGCTGATCTGGAGAATGAATCAGGGGCAAGGACTGAGAGAGCTGCAGAGGAGAGAGGGTAGCAGCCTGACTAGGATAGGGTCAGTGGGAGGCAAGGGAATGAATTTGGAAAATGTTTAGGAGGTAGAATCAATTAGTTGCGCTCCTCTCCAAAACCCTCACGGTAGAGTGGGGTCTTGGTTGCTACTCCATTTCCCCTGTCTAGTTCAGTGCCTGGCATAGAGCAGGGGCTCAAAAACACCCCATGGGGGTGCAGTGGCTCACACCTGTAGTCCCAGCACTTTGGGAGGCCGAGGCGGGCGGATCATGAGATCAGGAGTTCGAGACCATCCTGGCTAACACAGTGAAACCCTGTCTCTACTAAATATACAAAAAATTAGCCAGGCTTGGTGGCAGGCGCCTGTAGTCCCAGCTACTAGGGAGGCTGAGGCAGGATAATGGCATGAACCCGGGAGGCGGAGCTTGCAGTGAGCCGAGATCGTGCCACTGCACTCCAGCCTGGGCGACAGAGTGAGACTCTGTCTCAAAAAACAAAACAAACAAGAAAAACACCCCATGGGTGAATGGATGAAAAGTCATCGTTCCACCTTGTATTGTAATATCTCCTCCACCAGATTATGAAATCCATACCGACACAGTCTGTGTCTCATAACCTTGGCTTCCCTTTCCAGGGGCCTAGAACAGCACTTTGCATGAAGTTCAATACTCAGTGTAAACATGTAAAGATTCACTGGGCTGTATGCTTTTTTCACTGCATTGTGTACACCTCAATGTATATTGTTTATCTCAAAAAAGCAAATAAGCAAGCAAGCAAGAAAAGGCCGCTCAGGTGAGCCCCAAATGCAGGTAAGTCTTGATTTGTGGCTCTGACTGCCATCCTGGGAAGTTTTCCCTGTGTCCTGTTAGGGAGCAGAATTTACACACAGATACCCAGAGGTAACCACTATTTTGATCTCCATCACCATAGATGAGTGGAATCCGCTGCGAGCTATGCCTGGCTCTTCTCATTCAACAGTATGCCTGTGAAATTCAATCCACACGGCTACTGTATATATCAGTACTTCATTCTTTTTCATTGCTGCCTGGTAGTCCCTTGTGTGGAAATACTACAATTTATCTGTCCATGTTCCCGTGGATAGACATTCAGGATGTTTCCAGTTTGGGGCCATTATGAATAATGCTACGAGTATCTTCGTGCTTGTCTTTGGTGGACATAAGCACTTCTTTCTTTTTTTTTTTTTTTTTTGTTTGAGATGGAGTCTCGCTCTTTCGCCCAGGCTGGAGTGCAGTGGCACGATCTTGGCTCACTGCAAGCTCCGCCTCCTGGGTTCAGGCCATTCTCCTGCCTCAGCCTTCTGAGTAGCTGGGACTACAGGCACTCGCCATCACGCCCGGCTAATTTTTTTTGTATTTTTTTAGTAGAGACGGGGTTTCACTGTGTGAGGATGGTCTCGATCTCCTGACCTCGTGATCTGCCTGCCTCGGCCTCCCAAAGTGCTGGGATTACAGGCATGAGCCACCGCGCCCGGCCAAGCACTTATTTCTATTGGGAATACCCAAGACTAGGGATGGCTAAGTTTTGGGAAGTGAATGTTTAACCTGATGGGAAACTGCCAAGCAGTTCTCCACACCTGAGAGCTGGGCTCTCATCTCGCCCTTTTTCTGCTAATCATTGATAATAAAATTCATCTGGAGGAATGTGTGAATGCTACAGGTTTCCAGGGCCTCCCATGGAATTGTGTATCTGTTGGAGTGCACGAATCTATTTTGTCATTGCTATTGAGACAGGGTCTTACTCTGTCGCCCAGGAGTGCAGTGGTGTGATCTGGGCTCACTGCAGCTTTGACCTCCCAGGCCCAAGTGATCCTCCTACCTCAGCTTCCCAAGTAGCTGGGACTACAGGAGTGTGCCACCTTGCTTGCTAATTTTCCTGTAGAGACAGGGTCTCACTATGTTGCCCAGGCTGGTCTCGAACTCCTGGGCTCAAGAGATCCTCCTGCTTCAGCCTTCCAAAGTGCTGGGATTACAGATATGAGTCACTGTGCCCAGCCGAAGAATCTGTTTTTAAAATATTTCTGCTAGGCAAGTTTTGGAAATAGTGGGTGGAGCTGTGGTTCTCAAATCCTGGAGGATTAAAAAAATTCCTACTCTGGAGGCTGGGCGCGGTGGCTCAGGCCTGTAATCCCAGCACTTTGGGAGGCCGAGGCAGGTGGATCACTTGAGGCCAGGAGTTCGAGACCAGCTTGGCCAACATGGCAAAACTCATCTCTACTAAAAATACAAAAATTAGCTAGGCATCATGGTGCAGGCCAGTAATCCCAGCTACTAGGGTGGCTTGAACCTGGGAGACAGAGGTTGCAGTAAGCCGAGATTGTGCCACAGTGCTACTACAGCCTGAGTGACAGAGCTAGACTCTGTCTCAGAAAAAAAAAAAAAAAAGGATTCCTATTCTGGTCCATTTCCAGATATTCTGATTTAATTGGTGTCTGTAAAGGCTACTTGGAGGATTCTCATAACCACACAGGAGTTGGAACCACTGGATAAAGGAGGGTGGAAAGGCGAAGGCTCTGGTGTGGTGTGTCTCAGCCAGCTATTGCTGCAGAACCACCCCACCCCACAAAGCAGAGTGGCTTGAGCACTATTTTCTTGTCTCTCTGGTTCTGAGAGTGGACTGGGCTCTGCCCGGCAGTCCTGCTGGTCTTGCTTGCTGTAAGTGTGGCTGCATGGTAGCTGGGTGAGGTCACTGGAGGCTGGACTGAGACAGGGCTGGCTGGACCTTCGTCCTTTCCTTGCAGCCTCAGAGCCTCTCCTTTCCCCATGGCTTCCCCTTCTGCTCTGCGTGCAGCACCTCAGTGTTCCCCAGAGCAAAGAAGCAGAAGTACCCATCCTCCTTAATGCCAGGCCTGGCACTCGACCGCATGCCATTAGTCAGCACACGGCACAGGATGTCCCAGACTCGAGGTGGGGGGCCCACAGAGGCGTCAGCCCCAGGAGACGTGGTTCACTGGGGCCACCATTGAGACTAGCTACCATAAATAGTAGCCATGTCATACGAGTATTGTGAGGACTAAAGAAATTTATATATGTGACGTGCTTAGAACAGTCCCTGAAACACGGTGTGAGCTCAAGAACTATCAGCATGTATTAGTATGCCTATAACCCCTATGCCAGGGGTTGGCAGATTTTTTCTGTAAAGGGCCAGATACTAAATATTTTAGCCTTGTCAGGCCATATGGTCTCTGTCGAAACTACTCAGCTTTGATATTGTCAAGTGCAAGCATCCATAGACATTACATAATGAAGGGGCGCAGCTGTGTTACAATCAAACTTTATTTAAGTAGTAAGTGGCGGGCTGGATTAGGCTGTTTCTTGGGTCCCCTCTTTTCCTGTTGCTCGGGCCTCCCTCTCCTGGACAGTCTCTCTGAAATGTTGGTCTCCCTGTCCCAGACAGCACCTGTCAGCATTCAAGAATTCACAACCATCGAGCACTGACAGTGTGCCAGGCTGTGTGCCGTGTGCTGGGCATTCGTCACGTCGAATCTCACTAAGTCCAGCTGTCATCATTTGAAATTAGCTCTGGCAGCGCTGGTGGTGTCTGATGGGAGTCCTTAGTGCCCACCCCCCATCATCCATCAATCCCCTGAAAGCCACCCCAAATAAATATATACTTTGTTAATGTAGCTTCAAGAAAAATCTCCTAACCCCTTTCCAGTTGCCACCCCAGAATTAGTATTATCCTCAGCTTACAGATGAGAAAACTGAGGCACGGACAAGGCAAGTATTCAAGGTCATACAACAGTAAATGGTAAGCCTGGGATTCAGACATGGGCAGTATCTTCGTGAGCACTGCTCTACACAACCTCCAGCCCAGGGAGCTGCACGTGGCCCTGACAGCATCGGGGGCTGGGCCCCACCCTTCCCTGGAAGCAAGACCACAAGATCTCGGAGGCCCTTTCCAGCTGTGACGCCATGAGGCTTTTCTACAGCAGGCACCAAATGACAATAGTCTCCAGATGTGCACTAGGAGAGAATGTAGTGCACTTGACACAGAAAGTCCACCAGAAGGGCAAGTTGGACATGTTATTTAAATTTTAAGTCTGTGACCACTTTGACATAGTGATTCCACTTCTAGAAAGATAGGTTGTAAAATTGCTCACACAGGTACACAGATATTATGTACAAGGATGTTCATTCCATCATTGTTCTTAATAGCAAAAATTGGAGATACTCCAATTGTCTATCATTAGAGGATCGGATGAATAAATTATGGCTCTTTGATACAGGGGAGTACCATGGGGCTAGTTGTTAAAGACTGAGATAGTGTTGACGTGGCCATCCATCTCAAAATATGGTGAAGTGAAAAGCTGTTGGAGAAATGGTGTGCATTGTAGTAGCTCATCCTTGTTTTAAGAGTGTGTGTGTTAGCAATATTCACAGTTAGTGTTTACATGGAGAAGGTCAGGGGCACATACACCTAACCGTTCATTGCAGTTAACCCTGGGAGGTGAAAGAATGGGGACTCACACTTAAGCTAGAGATTTATATCATGTTTAAAATTTTTAATAAAAGCTTTTGTTTTCTTACTAATATAGAGAAAATCATATAATGAAGGTGGATGTATCCATTACCCAGCTTCCATATCAACTCAGGACAAGTCTTGTTTCAACCATACTCCCTCATCTACTGTGTGTGTCTGTAAAAGATAAGAACTATTTTCAAAAAGTAGCCACAATACCATTATCATACCTAAAAAAACAATAATTCTTTAATATCATTAAATGCCCAGTGAGTGATTTCCAGTTATCTCCTAAAAACAGAAATTATTTTTGTAATAAGAAAAAAAAGGCTGAAAAAGATAAAATTGTCAATCCAAAGAGCAGATTAGTACAAGTTTCCTGGAGCTTTGTTTAGTGATACTTATCAAGAGCCTTAACAATGTGCTTACCTTTTGCCCTAGTAATCCCAACCTGTGAATTTATTCTAAGAAGAAAAAAGAACATTGAAGAGGTATACAAACATTGTTCACTAGAGTGTGCAGTGTCTGTTACAGAGAAGTTGTTTGAAAACTATTTGTTGAGGCCAGATGTGGTGGCTTACATCTGTAATACTAGTACTTTGGGAGACTGAGGCAGGAGGATTGCTTGAGGCCAGGAGTTCCAGACCAGCCTGAGCAACATAGCAATACCCCATCTCTACAAAAACATTTTTTAAAAATTAGCCAGGCATGGTGGCTCATGCCCATAATTCTAACTACTTGGGAGGCCAAGACAGGAGGGTTGCTTGAACCTAGGATTTCAAGGCTATAGTGAGCTGTGATCACATCACTAAAACTCCAGCCTGGATGACAGAGCAAGACCCTATCTCAAAAGAAAAAAAAACAAACCACAATTTTTTTTGAATTTGAAGTTGAGCTCCTGCTGTGGTTTGCAGCTTTGTTTGTAAAAGAAAAGCTGAAAGTCATGGAAGTGTGTGACATTAGGGTACTGGCTAAATAAATGAGGGCAGATCCATAAAATGAAACATTGTTCTGTCATGTAAAATCAGATTCTAATAATACACATAGATAACCACCGCTTCCAAGAGGCAGAACTTCATCCTCATCCTCTAATGGACTATGGAAAGAAGAAAAACAGTCCTTTTACAGTGAAGAAACTCAGCAGATGCTCCCTCAACATCGCTGGTGGTAAGTCTTGTGGCTACTGGGTACCCCCTGATACAATGACAGGGGCACCTCACCTCTGTGATCTTTTACCCAAAAACTAATAACCTCAGTCTCATGAGAAAAACATCAGACAAACTCAGATGAGGGGCATTCTACAAAATACGTGAGCAGCACTCTTCGAATGTGTCAAGGTCGTGAAAAACAAGAAAAGACTCAGAACTGTTAGGGACCAGAGGAGCCTCAGGAGATGACGGAGACTGAATGCCATGTGGGATGCCGGATGAGATCATGGAACAGAAAAAGGGCATTAGTGGGAAACTGGCGAAATCCTAATAGAGTCTGTCGTCCAGCTAATAATGTTTTACTAATGTTAACTTTTTAGTTTTGACAAATGTAGCATGATTATGTAAGATGTTCACATTAGGGGAAGGTGGGGGAAGAGTATGGGAACTTTGTGGAACTTTGCTGTAAATCTAAAATCACTAAACAAAAATTATTCAAAAAATCAGGGTGTAGATATTTATTAGTATAGAAATGTATTCACAACATATTAAGGGGAAAGTATGTATGGCCTCACATAGTTTTTGCTGAATGAGACCGTATTTGTAAAAACTCTAATAACAAGGTGTATGTCTACATGAATGTGTATATATGCACATGTAGGCTGGGCACGGTGGCTCATGCCTGTAATCCCAGCACTTTGGGAGGCCAGGGTGGGCGGATCACCTGAGGTTAGGAGTTCGAGACCAGCCTGGCCAACATGGTGAAACCCCATCTCTACTAAAGATACAAAAAAATTAGCCAGGCATGGCGGTGTGCGCCTATAATCCCAGCTACTCGGGGGGCTGAGGTAGGACAATCTCTTGAACCGGGGAGGTAGAGGTTGCAGTGAGCTGAGATGGCGCCACTGCACTCCAGCCTGGGTGACAGAGCAAGACTTCATCTTAAAAAATTATATATATATATATATATATATATATATATATGTATATATATATAATGTACATGTGCATACACACAGGGACACAGGGCTGCATATGTATGCGTATGTGCGTATCTAGCCATTCATGAACAATGTTTGTGTACTTTTTAAATTTTTTTTTTCTTAGGATAAATTCATGGGTTGGGATTGCTAAGTCAAAAGATAAACACATTGGTAAGGCTCTTGATAAGTATCACTAAACAAAGAGCCAAGAAAGTTGTAGTAATCTGCTCTCTGGATTGACATGTTTTTCTTTTTCAGGACATGCAGGGAAGCATGTAGTTCCAGGGTTGCACACTCAGAGGCCTCTAGGGCCAGGCAGGTGGCAGCAGTGGCCTCAGTGATCTGGGGTGTCCATGCTCCTACAACAGGCAGCAGCTCCATGGCCTCGGTCGTAGCCGTCTGTCCTACAGGATTTGGGCCTGGTCGTGATCGATCTTTTAATTTTCCAAAAGAAATCAGAAATCGAGGTTGTTACACAAATTGTCAGGGCCTACTCAGCTGTGGGGAGGGGGCCTTCAGGGTCCCACAGCCAAGAAGAAGAGGCCTGGGACTCAAGAGGCAGGCAACACAGGCCACAGGCTGGGCTGTCCCTGCCCTGGCCCCACCATCTGCACCAAGCCTGGAGGACGGCCAGCTGGCCGGGGCAGGGAGAGGCGGCAGCTCTTCCGGCCTGCGTGCCTGCGTGTGGCCAGGCTGGGGAGTGGAGGTTTGCTCAGAGTCCACAGGAATGGGGGCTGACACTTCTAGTTCACCATATCACTTCAGGGGCTGTGACTCGTGGGTGTGTGTAAGAGTCATTGATATATCATCTCCTTATGTGTCTGTGTCTGTGCATGTCCAGAGGGTGGTCTGGCTATCTCTGAGGGTGTTTCTGGGAATGACCATGTTATGTGTCTACATGCATGTTGGCCTGTTTATCTGGGGGTCTGACCTGCATCTCTGACTTGTGAATATGTGTGTGAATTGTACAGATGCATCCATCTTTGCATGTCATATGATCTGTGAGATGATGGTACATATTTATGTGTGTTTGTGGGCAACTGGGCTATCTGGCTGGCCCCACTGCATATATATCTGGGCTTCTATGTGATTGTCTGTGAGTGTCATTGTGTGTGTGTATTCTGTCTGATTGAGCTGTATATGTTTGCATGTCTGTTTTATATATGCAGGTCCATGTGTCCATATCTATGTGCATGTTTGGGCTTGGCAAGTTGCCTCATACCTATAATCCCAGCACTTTGGGAGGCTGAGGCAGGAGGATCGCTTGAGGCCAGGAGTTTGAGACCAACCCGGACAGCATGGTGAGACCTCATCTCTACAAAAAAATTAAAAATTAGCTGGGCATGGTGGCACACACCTGTAGGCCCAGCTACTTGAAAGACTGAGGCGGGGGGATCGCTTGAGCCCAGGAAATTGAGGCTGCAGTGAGCTAGGATGGCATGACTGCACTCCAGGCTGGGCGACAGAGTGAGAACTTGTCTCTAAAAATAAAATAAAAATAATAAATAGAATAAGGTAAGTGCAGTCTGTGCCTATGCCTCTGCACAAGTGCGTGTCAGCATGCATAGTTGTGTGTTGTGTCCGGCTGAGTAGGCACATGTGCATGCGTGTGAGTGTTGGATGCTGGGGCAGTCAGGGTTCGAGTCACTGACAGTCAGCACCCACTCCTCACTTCCTCATGCCTGGTTCCTACAGGTCCCCACAAGAAGCATGTAGGGCCCAAGCACCCCCTGCCACCTCTGAACCCCAAGCACAGGCACGAGAAGGTAAGGGTGGCCGACTGCAGGGCCCAGGCTTGGAGGACCCTGGAGCCGACTCCTGGTGCATGTACCACGACTGCCAGCCTGCCTTGGCCTGGCTCCTGGGAAACACTTGCCCTTGGCCAACTGGAGAGCTGTCGATTTGGGACACAGCCCCACAGTGGCCACCACTTTATCCCACCCTCAAATACTTCCTAAGGCCATTTGTTGCTAGGAGACGGGTACAGGCAGCCTGCTTTGATGGCTCTCTAGACACAGGCTCCAGGGACAGGAAGCCTGTCTGGCCCCTTTCCTATGAAGTGGCTGGGGAGACTGGGGGTGGGCATCGGGGATGAAGGATAGACGGGGCAGCTTGGACAGAGTAAGCAGCAGGAAGTCTCAGAGCCTTAGGAGCAGAGGGGCCCTGGTACCCCTTGGTCAGGATGCTGAGCCCAGAGAGGGCAAGATCCTGACTTAGGTCACACAGCAACAATCCCCGGCAGAACTAGCATTCCTTTTGGAGAAATTCAGAGTTCATGGCCCCAGGAGTCATTCATTCACTCATGCATGCATTCATTCATTCATTCATTCATTCATTCATTCATTCAGCAATTACATATTAAGCATCTACTATACGCCAGGCCCACTACTAAGCCCCGGCATACAGCAGTGGAAAAGACGGAGGCAATCCTCACCTCACAAAGCTGATACTCTCGTCAGAGAGACAGAAAACAAGTGAAGTTAAGATCACGTCACTTTGTGCTAAGGGCTAGTAAATAAAATTACACCATGTAGAACATTGGAGTCGCTCTGTCCAAATGGTGGCCACTAGCCCCATGTGGCTATATGAGTTTCAAGTAATTGGAGTAATTGAAAATTAAGAGTCCAGTTCTTCCATTGCAGTAGCCGCATTTCAGGGGCTTGTTAGCCACACGGGGCCGGTAGCTTCTGACAGAGGCTGGTGACAGTGGACAAAGAGCACTTCCATCACAGAAGGAGCTGCCGGACAGGGCTGGTGTGGGGAGTGGACAGAAGGCTGGGGGCCAGATGGCCGAGGACAGCGACATCTAGGCTGTCCTGCTGAGAAGGGGCGGCCACATGGTGATGCACCCGGGGGACAGGACAGCAGGTGCAATGCTGGCCAGGTGGGGATGTGCTTGGTGTGTTCAAGGGACAGAAAGGACAGAGGCAGTGAGGGGAGAGGAGAGAGAGGTGGGGTTGGGGAGGTCAGCGGGGGTCTCTGGGGCCTGGGTAAGGAGTTTCTGCTTTATGTGGAGGGCGTCAGGAAGCCATGGGGGGAGGGGTTAAGCAGGAGAGTGGCATGGTTTTAACAATATATGGAGAATGGATTTGTGGGGGCAAGAGTGGAAGGAAGGAGCCCTAGGGAGGAGGCTGTTGTGTCACAGAGAGGAAGGTGACTGAGACCTGGGTGATATGGGAGTGGGGGTTGGGCAACAGCCATCATAGCCCAAGCCTCAGGGTTATGGATCCAGCTGTGCCTGAAGCTACGGCTTGCTTGACACCCCCTCTACCTCCTTCCTCCTCTTGGTTGCTGGGCACTGACTTGAACACCCCTCATTACTACCACCCACCTATCCCCTCCCTCACAAAACCCCCGACTGTCTCTCCTCCTATCCCTGTGCGGAGCACTCAGACGGGACCTAGGCTTCCCTCAGTGCCCTGGGTCCAGTTTCTTTTGCCGGGCTTTGCCCCTCTCATCGCATCCCAGGGTTGATAAGCTAGCCCTGTCTAGTCACATTGAGGTCCTGGGAAAATACCTTAGGCCACCTGGTGTTTCACTGACTTTCCCCACCAGGACGCTTTCCTGGAGCTGTGAGCAGGATGCAGGAGGAATCAGCTGGCTCTGGGTCTGGGGGGTGGGAGTGACTAAAAGAGAAGGCTCAGCTTCAGTTGCAAAGTCCCCCAGAGGGACTTTGGTTTGTTTACGGGAAGAACTTCCCCTCTATAAAAGGGCCGATGTCATCCTTGTGCATTCGTGCATTCACAGTGGAGGGGATCCCCTAGGACCCTAAAAATGAGGTGGAAAGCCTTCTCCCTAGGGCAGGCGTCCAGAGGCCGGCTCTGCTTCTCAAACGCTGGGCACTCATTCCTCCTCAGGATCTTTGCAGCTGCAGTTCCCTCTGCCTGGAATGCTGTTCCCCTAAGACCCCAGGTGGCGTCTCCATCTGGCTGCCAAGTCTCCTCCTGAGCGATTATGCGGATTACCTGATGAGCACGGCTTCCTCCTTGGAAGCACCTTGTTTTGTCTCCGGTACTAGAACGCCAGCTCCACAAGGGCAGGGCGGTTGTTGATCTTGTTTTTCTCTGTCCCCTCCTGTCTGACACTATGCCTGGCATATGGTGGATGTTCCCAGGAGGTTTCTGGAATGAGCAGATGTCTGGGGTGAGTGTGGGCAGGTGGCTGCCATGCATACAGAGCCTGCCAGGCCCCAGGGGGCTCAGACTCACCCTCTGACTGCACCCTCCCAATGGGGATCAGGACTTTGAGGCTTGGAGAGGTGAGGTCACTCACCCGAGGTTGCACAGGCAGTATGTGGTGGGCCTGGTCTGGAGAGGCCTGGAGGGGACTTGGGGGTGTTGGAGGCTGGGCCACGGCCTGGGGACACACTGCCTTTCCACATGACAGCTCTCCATCCGTCCACAGCCCCTGCTTCCCCTGCCAAGTCGCACCTGGGGCTTCCCTGGCCACCTTGGGTCCTCAGGTACAATTGCACTGCAGGGCACTGGCCTGTGGCACACAGCAGCAGGCCCTGCAGCCCAGATTCACACAGCAAGCGAATGAGGCATAGCTGAAAACCGTGCACATGGTGGCCTCAGTCCACACAGGGTGGACCCAGCCCTGGACAGGCATGTGGCTCCACCCAACACTGAGCAGGCAGCCCTGCCTCCTGAGTGCACCTGCCACGCCCAGGGCTTACGTCAGCTGGGGGGACTGGGGCAGCCTCTCTGAAGAATGCAGCTCATTGTCAGCGATGGGGCAGGATTCCTTCGCAATGGCCACACCCAGAGGCAAGTCTGTCCAGGCGGACAAGGGCAGCTGAGTGAGGCGCCCTAGGAAGTCTGACCCCCTCTGCCCTGTGATGGTCCAGCAGCTCCAGGAAAAAGGACCAGAGTACCCATTGCCACCTGACCTTGCAACCACACACACGTGTGACTTTTATAATGAGAGAAAAAAAAAAACATGTTATAAAAACAACTTCTGTATGACTTGCCCAATGCCAGGATTATTCTAAGCATGGACTCTTTTTTTCATTAATTTTAAAAAAATGTTTGAGATGAGATCGTGTTCTGTCACCCAAGCTGGAGGGCAGTGGTGTGATCATAGCTCACAGTATCTTGGAACGTCCAGACTCAAGGGATCCTCCTGCCTCAGCCTCCTAAAGTTCTGGGATTACAGGTCTGAGCCACCACACCCGGTTTAAGCTCATATCTTGATCCTCACAACAACTGTCTGAGGAGGAAGTATTATCCTTACTCACACTTTGTAGTTGGGGAAACTGAGATCTGGGTAACTGGCCCACGTTCACACAGCCAGGAAGTGGGGGGCCAGGATTCACACCCAGTGTGGCCCAGTGTCCTCCTGGCTCCTGAGCAGCACCGCACACAGCTTTCAGAATCGTGCACACAGCCATCACTCTGGAACCATAGGGTAGGGCTGAGAAAACTGGGCATGAGGGTTGAGTTCCACCTACCCGTCCACACGCCTGGTCCAGAATTTGCTCAAGATCTTTATTGAACAGACGACACCACATACCATGATGGCAAAAAGGCCAGGCTCTGGTTGAATTTCAAGAACAGGCAAAGGCAGGTGTGGCAGCTCACGCTGGTAATCCCAGCACTTTGAGAGGCTGGGGTGAAAGGATCTCCTGAGCCCAGGAGACCAGCCTGGGCAACATGGAAAAACCCTGCCTCTAAAAAAATACAAAGATTAGCTGGGTGTGATTGTGAGCCCCTTGTAGTCCTAGCTACTTGGGAGGCTGAGGTGGGAGGATCACTTGAGCTGGGGAGGTTGAGGCTGCAGTGAGCAGTGATGGCACCACTGCACTCCAGCCTTGGCAACAGAGTGAGACCCCATCTCAAAAAATAAAGAAATATATACATACATATATAAATAAATAAATGCTGGCTGGGTCCAGTGGCTCACGCCTGTAATCCCAGCACTTTGGGAGGCTGAGATGGGTGGATCACAAGGTCAGGAGTTCAAGACCAGCCTGGCCAACATGGTGAAACCCCCTTCTCTACTAAAAATACAAAAATTAGCTGGGCATGGTGGCACACCCCTGTAATCCCAGCTGCTCTGGAGGTTGAGGCAGGAGAATCGCTTGAACCTGGGAGGCGGAGGTTGCAGTAAGCCAAGATTGCGCCACTGTGCTCCAGCCTGGGAGACAGAGAGAGACTCTATCTCAAAAAAATTAATTAATTAAAAATAAATAAATAAATGTTATTGTGTATATTTAAGGTATAAAAGCTATATTATATATAAAGATAGTAAAAGTATAACTATAATGAAACAAATGAACAGATCCATCATCTGAGATATTAACAGTGAACCGTAGTTTTGCTTTTGTGGCAGGAGCAGCTAAAATCTACTTAACATGAATCCCATGCACTGTGCAACTTTCTTACCTGTGGTTCCCATGCTGTACATTAGATCTCTAGGCTTGTTTTGTTCTTTGTGTGTATTTGACTTGTTTTCTTTGATTCCACACATAATTTCCTCTTCTTTTTTTTTTTTTGAGACGGAGCCTCGTTCTGTGGCCCAGGTTTAGTGCAGTAGCGCAATCTCGGCTCTCGGCTCACTGCAACCTCCGTCTCCCTGGTTCAAGTGATTCTCATGTCTCAGCTTCCGAGTAGCTGGGACTACAGGTGTGTGCTGCCACACCTGGCTAAGTTTTGTACTTTTAGTAGAGATGGGGTTTCACCATGTTGGCCAGGCTGGTCTCAAATGCCTGACCTCAAGGGACCCTCCCACCTCGGCCTCCCAAAGTGCTGGGCTTACAGGTGTGAGCCACTGTGCCCGGCCTAATTTTTTTTAATGAATAAGAAATGCAGGCTCTGGAACCTGGCTTAAATCTCTGCTACTTTTGGCTGGGTGACCTTGGTTTCTCTGCTTCCGTTTCATCATGTGTATGTTTGGGGGTGATCCTACTACTGTAACAACAATGGATTATCCAGAGCAGAAATGAGGTGCCAAGCACCCAGCGCCGTGCCTGGCACATAGGAAGTGTCAATGAATTGGTACCAATGATTGATAGTGAGATTTACACCATGAGCCACGAGACATTTACCTACAAATATTAGCCAAGCACTGCGTGTGCCAGACCCTGGGCTGGGCTCTGGGTATAAAGCAGGAAACAGAACAGACCCAGCCCCTTTGCTCAGGGAGCTGACATTCTAGCGCCTTTGCTGTCAGCAACAGCTCACTGTGACTTGCCCACAGCTGCACAGCTAGAAGTGCTTCAGGGGACCCAAGCCTGACCCCTCTGTGGGGGAAGCATATGCTTTTGCTGCCTGTGCTTGGGGTATTCCTGAGGTCCTGACAGACAGTCCCTGCCCAGCCCAGGGATCCTGTGCCTGTCACCTCCAGAGAGGTGGGACAGAAATCCCGGGAGCTCAGAGCAATAAGGGCTGTGAGTTAGTGAGTGACACCCACTACTGGGCTCCAGGAGGGAGAGTACAGGGTGCTGTGCCTCTCTGCAGGGTCTCCAGGGGAGCCAGGCCCACAGCAAGGCCCCACTCACTAACATAGGTCACTTTGGCCTCCCTCCCTCAGGTCTACCTCCTCCCTCCTCTATTGGTGTTTCCTGGGACCATATGTCCCCCAAAACAACTTGTCCCCAACCCTATGTCAGAGCCTGCTTTTGAGGGTGCCCCTTAACAGAGCCAGCCATGGGCCATGTGGGGTGATATATCAGAGGGGGTGGGGATGCCCCTGGCCAGGGGTGTGGGCCCGGCTGCCCTCTGGGACAGCTAGACAGGAGCCCTGTTCTTTCTCAGGAAGGTTCTGCAGAGAGCAAGTGGTCTGGCTGTGGATTCAGTCAGCTCCTGGCTTTTGGAGATACTCCTGGCTGCTCTCCCAACCCTGAGTCCCTCGGGAGGCCATGGTCACCGAAGGGAGGGGGCTGGCTTTCAGCAGGACCATGTGGTTGGCCCTGACCCAAGGGAGAGGGGCCTACCCATGTGGGGCATGGGGGATGGAGTCAAGTACTTCCCAACAAGCCTGGCTGGAGCCCTGCTCGAGGAATGGGGTGCCTCAGGGTCTCCTGCTTCCCACCTGCCCTGACCTCTGGCACCAGGCTCTGTCCTTACTAATAGCCTCTGGACAGCAGGCGGAAGCCCAGAGCTGTGTGGCCTTCCCCGAGCTCTCCGAGGCCTGCCGTGGCTCCCCCTGCCCCTACAGTTTCTGCCTGTGCTTTGTACTTGGGATCTCGGGGGCTTCGTGGCACCAAGGGCCTACCAGGCTTTTCGGGAATTTAGCACTGGGGGCCACAGGGCATAGGGTAGGTAGGATCAGGCACCCAGGCGGGGAAAAGAGCCCTCTCGGACGGCCAGGAAGATGCTGCCAGCCTGGATCCCAATGTCGCGGACGCTCTCAGTTCATCCTTCTTGCCACGAATCCCCCAAATGGCATCAGTAGCCACAGCAACAGGAGCAATAATTATCTCTCTCTATGTGGAGATGGGCTCTTTACAGAGGTCATCAAGTTAAACTGACGTCAGTAGTGTGAGCCCTTATCCAGCATGACCCGTGCCCTCATAAAAAGGGGAAATTTGGGTCCGGGCATGGTGGCTCACGCCTGTAATCCCAGCACTTTGGGAGGCCAAGGCGAGCAGATCACAAGGTCAGGAGTTCCAGATCAGTCTGGCCAATATGGTGAAACCCCGTCTCTACTAAAAATACAAAAATTACCTGGGCGTGGTGGCGGGTGCCTGTAGTCCCAGCTACTCGGGAGGCTGAGGCAGGAGAATCACTTGAACCCGGGAGGCGGAGGTTGCAGTGAAGCCAAGATTGTGCCACTGCACTCCACCCTGGGCAACAGAGCAAGACTCCATCTCAAAGAAAAAAAAAAAAAGGTGGGGGGGAATTTGGACCCAGAGATGTGCATAGAGGGAAGACAAGGAGAAGAGACATGGGGGGAAGACAGCGCTACCGTGCCAAGGAGACAGTCCCAGAACAGAGCCTTCCTGCACAGCCCTCAGAAGGCCCTGTCCACAGACACCTTGATCTGGGACTTACAGCCCCCAGAACTCTGAGAAAATTGCTTGTTTTAGCCACCCAGTCCATGGTATTTTGCCACAGCAGCCCTAGTAGACTAATGCACATTTTTATTGCGATACAGTCCACTCGCCAGGCGTGGTGGCTCATGCCTGTAATCCCAGCACTTTGGGAGGTCAAGGCAGGTGGATCACTTGAAGTCAGGAGTTTGAGATCAGCCTGGCCAACATGGTGAAACCCTGTCTCTACTAAAAATACAAAATTAACTCGGGTGTGGTAGTGGGTGCCTATAGTCCCAGCTACTCAGGGGGCAGAGGTGAGAGAATCGCTTGAACCCAGGAGACAGAGGTTGCAGTGGGCCTAGATTGTAACATCGCACTCCAGCCTGGGTGACAGAGAGAGACTCCATCTTAAAAAAAAAAAAAAAAAGAGAGAGAGAGAGATACAATCCCCATGCCAGAAAATTCATTCATTTAAATTGTACAATTCAGTGATTTTTTATTCTAGTAAAATAGTTGTGCATCCATCACCATGACCTAAGTTTAAAAGATTTTCTTCACCCCAAAAGGAAGCCCTGTACCCACTAAGTGGTCACTCCCCATCCCCTCCCCGCAGCCCCTGGTAGACACTCGCCTGCTTTCTGTCTCCACGGATTTGCCTGAGCTGGACATTTCAATACATGGGATCAGACAATCTGCAGCATTTTGTGTCTGATTCCTTCACTCAGCATCATGTCTTCGAGGCTCATGCACACCATGGCAAGTCCACACATCATTCCTGTCTGCGACTGAATAACAGTCCATTGTACTGATGATCCGTTCATCAATTGCTGTGTCATACAATTTTGTTTTAAAAGGAGGATCTGAAGCATGGCAAATGTTCACATGTGTTAAATCCAAGTGGTGAGAACATGGATATTTGGTATTTTTCCTTATATTTTTCTGGATGTTTGAAAGGTTTTATAATTTTTATGTTAATAAATATCATTTCAAAATATGTATTGAAGGAGAAAGAGGAATCTCCAGGCGCAGAAGGGAGGGGAGTTGTTGACATGCTAAAGAAAAAGATGGGTCTGGTATTAGGAAAACAGCAAAGGATTCCTGAACCTTCTTTCTTGACTTCCTGTTCCGAGTGTCACAGGGACAGGGATGTTACTTAGCAGCCTCAGCCTATGAGCCCCACAAGGGTGGGGACCAGTCTGTGGTATTCTCAGCTCCCTTCCCAGCAGGGCCTGGCCCAGAGGCAGTGCTCAGGGAAGGTGTGGGATATTCCCTGAGAGTGGGAAGGGGCCACCAGGCTGCTGGGTTGGACCTGGCTCCCCAGCCACTGCAGCCTTCCCCTCTCCCAGCCAGCAGGCTCAGCTCCAGCCCCAGCCCCACTTCAGTAACCGCCACGCGCATTGATGGGGAACTCACTGCCTTAGGAGGTGGTCACCCCACTGCTGACCACCAGGGAGGGGCGCCCATAGCCCCTTCTACTTGAGAGATAGTCCAGTGGCAAGCCCAAGGTGAAAGGCTCAGAGGACAGATGTGTCTGGGGACATGGAGTGGTCTCACCTGTCGCCACTGACCCTGTGCCTGGTACTGGTCCTGGGCTTTCCTTGTGTTTCATTCTCCCAACAGCTGCAAGAGAAGGACTCTAATGATCCCATGGAAAGATGGGCTCCAAGGGGCACAGTGCTGGCCAGATGTCCCATGGCCAGGACCCGAGCTCATTCTGCACACCATGCCCTCCTTATTAACTCATCACACCCAGCAGCAGACCCAAGGCCCTGGGACTGAGACCTGCCTCTGCCCAGGGACTCCCAAGCTCACCTGGTCATCAAGCCTCCACTGCCCTAGCCCGGGGTGGGTTGCCTGCATGGCACCCCGGGCAAGGAAGATCTGGGCCTACCGGATGAGCTAGGTCTGTCAGCCCTTTTGTTTATAGAAGCTTTTGGGGGGCCTTGTGGCCAGGTGTTGAAACAAAGGTGTCTGTGTCTCCATAAGTCCATTTGGATTTCATCCTACTTGCGTAGGATGAAAAATCTACATTTTTCACCCAAGATGATGCCTTATCTGGCAAACACTGTGCCGTGATGGGTTTATAGGCGCTGTGGCTGAAAGGCAACCCTAGCCCTAAAGGAGAGGCTGTTTCAGATTCCCCTGTGAGCTGGAAGTGGTGGGAGGAGAGCAGGCTTCCTTATCCCAGTGTCATGACCAGGCCAGGCCAGCCCTGCACCCTCTTCACCAAGGTCCTGCCTAGCTCTGCTCCGGGGCAGGCTGAGCTGGGAAACAAGTCAGTAAGTCCATAGTACAGCTGGGGGCCCCTCCTTCAGTGAAAAGGCACAATCGTGCTTCTCAGGAACCAGCTTCAGATGGAGCCCAGAGGGGTGGGAGGGAGGGGACTGGTCTCCCCTCCTACCACACTGGCATTCTTTCCTCAAAACCTTGCAAAATATGACTGTGCGGCTCCCTGCTGTGGCACGGCACTTGTGGCATCATCGAAATGCCAGTAGGGGCTGGCACCGGGCTGCCCACGGCCCCAGCAGGCACTGTCCCCGCTCCCCTGGGCTATGAGGAGCTAAGCGGGTGGGCCCCTCCCACTTCGTCTGAGGCCCAAGAATGCTGTCATCTGGCCACCCACAGCTTTATCAGTGTGGCCTTTCTCAGGATTGCTGGGACAAAGGGCGTGGGTGTTTTCAGGACTCCGGCGGATTCTGGGAATGTCTCTGCCTTCCCAAATCGCCAGTTCCCGGAGGAGGACAGGACCCTCACCCACCTCCTCACTAAAGGAGAAACTGAGGCCCAGAGCAGGGTAGGGACTTGTCTGAGGTCATGCCTGCTTTGTTGGTGAGAATCGGACCTTACTTACCATTTCTGGGTCACAGGCTCCTTTGACAATGTGAAGGAAATTCTAGACCCATTACTCCAATGCCCAAGGGCCAGGCCTGCGGTGTTGATGGCTGGCATGGTCTGCTCGGCATGGGATTTGTCTGGAGCCCATGTCCCCCACCTCTGGCTCACTGTGGCCCTGCAGGGCACCCGGTCGTCCAGTGTTTCAGAGGAGCCAAAGAGCCATCTTTCTGTGTGAAAGCTACTCATGTTCAAATGTTGGCAATGCATTAAAAATGTAAAACTAGACCGGGCACGGTGGCTCACGCCTGTAATCCCAGCACTTTGGGAGGCCAAGGCAGGCGTATTACGAGGTCAGCAGATCGAGACCATCCTGGTTAACATGGTGAGACCCTGTCTCTACTAACAATACAAAAAAATTAGCCGGGTGTGGTGGCGGGTGCCTGTAGTCCCAGCTACTCGGGAGGCTGAGGCAGGAGAATGGCGTGAACCTGGGAGGCGGAGCTTGTAGTGAGCTGAGATGGCGCCACTGCACTCCAGCCTGGGCAACAGAGTGAGACTCCGTCTCAAAAAAAAAAAAAAAAAAAAGGTAAAACTATATATTATGTCAGCCCAATTAAACATCTGTGGGCCAGATGCGGGCTGAGGACCACCAGAATGGGACCCTTGCTCTCGATCCTCTTCCTGTGAAAAAGCGCACACCATAGCATGGGCCTGGGAAGCTCATCACCCAGGCAAGAGGCCTGTCACCTGAAGCTGGTGGCCATGCGGTTTCCGTGACAGGCACTGGTGGAGTTGACAGAGTTCTGGACAAGGAGTCGCAGGCTGGCCGTCAGGCTGGCTTGCCCAGACTTGCCATGAGGAACTCCACAAGCATCTCTTTCCAGTTGAAGAGCCTGGAGCCCAGAGTGGCCGAACAAGCTGGCCAGGCCCCCCGCCGAAGGAGTCAGGGAGCTGGGAGGAGGTGAGGTCAGAGCGGAGGTGGCTCATCACTCCGGGCCGTGGCTTGAGGAAGCAGAAGAGGGTGGGATCCAACTTTGTTCCTGCACTTGGCCCTTAATTTGTTGAAGCTCAGTGGTCAGTTCACATCGGGGGTCAGAGTGACTCTGGGGTGCGAGATGACTAAGTACCCACAGGGCCCAGGCTGGGGACACAGCCTTCCCAAGGAGTCAGACACAGCCAATTCTCACTCCTGGACAGGGAGGTGAGCACAACATACCAATAACAAGCTCTGGGGACCCTGGATAGGGGGCTGGGCCGCCTGGCCTTTCGCCTGCTGCCCAGTTGTGTGTGAGAGGCAGTAATCACCTCCCTGGTTCAATTTCCTTCTCCCTTCCCACCCAAAGTTTCTTACCTGACAGATTGGGGGCAGTGTGGGGTGGTGAGAAGAGAGCAGTCTGGGACCAGGTGCACCTGTCTAGGTACAATTCTGGGCCAAGGGACCTTGGGCCATTCCCTTCCCTTCTCTGAACCTGTTTCCTGAAGTGTTAAGTGAAAAGGGGCAGTGGAGAGTGGGGCACGAGGTCACCAATGGAAAGCCACGTCTGGGCCACTTCACGCCCTCTCCCCTTCCCAGGTGCCCTGCAGTGAAAATGGTCACATCCCAGCTGTCGCTCTCCCTTCCTGTGGTCCAGATCCCAAGTCCTGACTGCAGAGTCTGCTAAAAACACAAATCGAGTCTGGCCACCTTCCACCTCACCCTCTCCTCTTGGCTCCTCCATGCCCCCAGAACCACACTTGGTTGCCCCCATGGCTTCCTGGCCCTGAGGCCTGCTCCCCACCCCCGCTGCCATGTCCTTTCTCCCCACTGCCAGCCTCTGTTCAGGACCTCAAAATCCTCATTCTTTCCTGCCTCGGGACCTTTGCACTCACCATGCCCCAACCCAAGCTAGTCTTTGTAGTCCGCCCCCTCCAAGCCACCTTCCCCACTCCCCCAAAACAACCTCCTCTGTCCTTGGCCCTCAGAGCTGCCCATGGAGCTGCCACCATCCCCCTGCCTTGAGTTCCCATCTCCCTGTGTGCCCACTTGGTTCTCATCTGCCCCCTGCCCCACCAGGATGGAAGATCCATCAGATTAGGCAGCAGACCCCTCCTGCCCGTCCCATGTCCCCAGCTGAACTGGAATGTTCAGCAACCATGAATGAATTCTGGAATCTATATTGGGCCTTAGACAGGCCAAACACTCTGTCCTGGGCTGTGGCCCTGGGCAAGTCTGGTGTGAGCCCTGTCTAGGGAGGGGCCCTGGAGGGGGAAAGCTGCCTGATGGTCCTCGCCTGAGGACACCTGCCCCTGAGCGTGGATATGGGCCCTGAAGCTCTGTACCCGGCCAGACAGGTTCGACAGGATTGCTGTGGACAGAACTCACTCAGCCTCTGTTCAGAACAGCGTGTCCCTCACCTGCGGGAGGTCTGAGGGCTCCTGGCCCAGGAGGTCTGGCTGAGCCTCTCTCTCCCTGGCCTGGGGACTCTTCCTCAGCCTCCCTGGCCTTCAGGGCCCACCTCACCATCCTCCAACAACACCTACCAGGAGTCTGCGATGCACAGGGGCTCTGCCTGGAGTTGGGGGTTCAGCGGTGAGCAGGAAGGATGGATCCCAACCTTTTGTGGGAGTCATAGTTCAGGAACATCAGGTGACATCGAGTGGCTAGGGCCTGAGAGTGGGGATACATGTATGTCTCTGGGAAGAGCCCTGGCTATGGTGGGCTCCCCCGACCTGAGAGGAGGATCTGAGCGTATGTGGAGGGGTCCAGAAAACACCAGTTGCTGAGTCAGGAAATGAGGCAGGAAGTGAGGCAGGCAAGAGAAAGAGCCGAGGCAGGCTGTGCCAGGGAGCACTCTGGGCACCTGAACCTCCATCCCTGGGGGAGGATCCCTTCCTGGCGGGGTGGAGGGGGTGACAGGGAGCGCTGTGGGCACATGGAGCTCCCTCCCTGGGGGAGCAGAACATACCTCAGAGGCTCCCCAGCCCGGCCAGCCAGCTGGGGTGTTGAACCCAACTCTCACGGGCATTGGCTGCCAGCAGTTCTGGGTTGATGGTGATGGAGCTGGTTCTGCGGTTCCCCGTGGGGTGCAATGTGTCGCAGAGAAAGCCCCAGGCAGCCAGAAGCACGGCCCATATCCTTGTGGCCGGGCCTGGGGTGTGGGTACTGGGAAAGCTTCTGCCACAATCTCTAAGGCCCTTTTCATGGCCATGGAAGGAGTGCTCACTCCCACATAGTCACATCTCTCACCCAGTGCCACGGCCTGCCTGCTAGAAACACCATGGCCACCACAGTGTTCCCAGGTACACTCAGAATAAAAGCCTGTCAGACCAACGAGCAGGATCCCACCTGTGTCCAAGCCATCCTGCCTGACTGCTTTGGCTCACTCTCTCTGTCCCAGCCAGTCTGGAGCCACACTTTATTGCAGCGCTTCGGCTCCTTCCAACTGCACGGCCTTCCCTGGGCCACTTCCCCTGCCTAGAAGGCTCTTTGCCCATTGTTTCCATTTCTGCCAGGTCTTGGTTACATGGTCTTGGTTGGAGGATGGTCTCTCTGATCGACACCCCTGCCCGTGGGACCCTCTCCCTGTGGCCTCCATGCTCAAAATGCTCATTCTCACCTGCCTCAGGGCCTTTGCACTTGCCATGCCCCAACCCAAGCTAGTCTTTCCAGGCCATCTTCTCCAAGCCACCTCCCCACTTCCCCAAACAGGCTCCTCTGTCCTTGGCCTACAGGGCAGCTATGGTTGCCTTTGCATGTGGAGTTGGTGCTCACTATGGCACAGCCCTGCCTGTAAGCTGGGGAATCCAGCCATTGAGGAGTGCTTGCCAAGAGAAAGAACGAACCCTCAACAGTGATTCAGAAAGGGTCTCCTGGACCCACATGTGTCCCCCAACACAGTGTGTGACCTGGGACAGCTCCCCCTCTGCACCGCATCTCCTCTGTCCACTGTGGTGATTGGTCCCCAAAATCCCCAAGGGCCCTGCTGGCCCTGGCCTTTGAAGCTCTGGGACACAATTATCAAGGGAGACCCACTACCTACACTCCCAGAGCTGAGAGCCCAAACAAGCTCTTAAATCAATCAGCGACATCACCTTCCAAGTGAAGAAAACAGGACCTCTGGCCTAGACATGAGGACAGGGCGGAGGAGGCTGCAAACGCCCCTGAGCGAGCTGGCTAGGAAGGGTCACTAGTTGCCTGGACCTGGAAGTTGAGGGACCCACAGAGAAAAGCAGGGAATCTCAGCTGGAAGATGGGGACGACATCAACTCAGACCCTCAGACTCAACCTGGTAAGGGAGAGTGGATACATCAAGACTCCTCACACCATTGAAATCAGCTCTGGCTAAGTCTAGCCAAGGCAAAGCAAGCAAGGAATGTGCTGGGAGGTTATAGGTTAGCTCACAAAACCAAAAGAAGAAGTAAAAAACCACATCCTGGAAAGGACTGGTTTGGATATGAGTTTTAGGTAGCCGAACGGGAAGCCCTTGGATGAATGAATTCTCTCTGCTTTCATCCTCAAGTCACTCTACTCAAGATCCAAATTTCCTTAATATATAAAGAGCTCCTAACAATCAATAAGACAAATAAAACTTCAATAGAAAAAACTTCCACAAGTATGGACATGAACAGATAGTTCACAGAACAGGAAGTAGAAATGGTCCTGGAGCTTATAAACAATGTTTAGCCTTATTTATAATCAGAGAAGTGCAAATGGAAACTAGAGTTCAAGACTATTTTTCAACTATCAGATTGGCAATCATCCAAAACTGTGATAACACTGTGTCACCGTGGGTGTGGGAGACAAGCTCTCTCACACATTACTGGTGGGAGTATAAACTGGTAAGGCCACTATCAACATTTTTTTTAATGCACATGCCTTTTGATCTGAAAACTTACTCCTAGAAATGTACAGGGACACTTGCAAATGTGCTGATGGCCCTAGTACAAGGATATTTATTGTGGCATGTTTTTCTTGTAATAGCAAGATTGGAAACAATCTAAATACCCATCAATAGAGGTTGGTGAGCTCCATAATAACGTAGCCACTCAGTGAACTCTGCAACTGTGAAAAAGAAGAATGAGGTAGCTTTACATACTGCAGCCTGGAATGATCTTCCAGATAGACTATCCCATGAAAAAGCATGGTGCATGCATATTTGTGAAAGCCTCCATTTCTGGTCTCTGAATTCAGAACGCTCACTTTTGTCTTGTGTGGCTACTGTCCACTCTCCACCAGCAGGTCACAGAAGCGTGACCCCTCGCACCTTCACATGCACCCCCTTCCTGGCCTGAATGGCCTTGGTTTCCAACTGTCCACACCTATGACTCTTTGCAGCGAGACTGTCATCAGGCTATTGGAGCCTCTTAGTCCTTTCTGCAGAGAGCTGGAAGTGTCCCCCTGCCGCAGGATGGCCCTTCACTAATGACTGACATGTGTATCCTTAGCTCAGGCTGGGAAACAGAGATGTGACTCCACTCCACAGTCCCCCGAGGGACCTGCTTCTGTAGGATTTTGCCTGGGGCCACAGACTTGCATGGCTTTTCCCCTCTCTGTCTGCTACCCCCGTTCCCTTACTGCTCTCCTTGGGTGCCGTCCTTCATCAGTCACTGCCATAACAAATCAGGGTCTGCTTCTGGGGAACATGATCAAGATAGCTGCCCCCTTACCCTGCTCCTTGCTTTTTTGCAGGTAGGATGTGCCTGCATATGCAAGTGTATGATGCAATGTGGGCACCGTGGTTCTTCCCGTTTCACAGGTGAGGGACCTAGAGCTACACGGCTCGCCTTAGGTCCCAGGTAGGAAGTGGCAAGCAGCTTTGAAGCCAGGTAGTCTGGCTCCAAGAACAAACTCACATCCACTGAAAATATTGAAAATAGCCTAGAGAAGGTAAGCTCCAAGTAAAAGGAAAATCTGCATTGTCAAAGCAGGCCAAGCATGGAAGAACGCTCATTTATTTTCCCAAAAGATTATTTTCTGTGGTCTTCCCTTCATAAACACACATCCCACTCTCAGATGCAAATCCTAGAGCTAGAAATGGGGCATTCAAGGTAGACAGAGCTCCTGGGAACAGCACGTTTGCAGAGATGGGAAGGGAACCTCCCACTGGTTTTGGTTTCTCCATGGCTACAGGCAAAGCCTGCCTGCTCTGCATCCGGGGATCTTGGTCAGGTGTTGGAATCGGTGGGTGGATTGCCAGTACATTTGCACCGTGTCCTAGAGAGCCTCTATGCATTTCAACTCTGATTCTCCTTCACCATCTACGCGCAGCCCACAACCGCAGGACCCCACCCCTGGCTCTGAATCTCCCATGTCCTGGCGCCAAGCAGGTGAGTCAGCCTAGGAGGAGGAAGGGCTTCCGGAAGCCAAGCCCATGCTGGGGTGGTGAGAAACAACTTTCCTATGCAAGGAGGTGCCTGAGCACCCCCTGATGATCAAGCTGGAGCCCCCTCACCTCCCCGAAGTGTGCTGGAGGAAAGGCCAGAAAGAGGCAGCAGTCTTCACCCACTGAGGCTGAGTTTCTCACTCATGCCAAGTTTTACATAAGCTGGGGACCATGTGCTTCAAGGCTAGAGGTCTTGGTGGGCCCAGGGCCTTGGAGGGGCCTGGATGACCAAGGGGTCCGTGGCTTAGGCCCTGGCTCTGCATGGGGAATCTTGGGAAGGTTGGAAGCCCACAGCCCCTACTGAGAAAGGAGCCACGGGCCAGATCTTTTGCACAAATCCTGCCTGTGCTCCTTGACTGTCTCTCCCCACCGGGGTCACGGTGACCAAGCAGGCAGGAGACTCCATCCGTTCACAGGACTAGCATCCTGGGAGGGCCCTGGCCTGAGCGAGCTGCTGCAGGGGACCCTCATGCTGGATGGTTGGCCACTCAGCACCCTTTTCTCTGTGGAGCAGGGATGACATTTGAGAGCCACCAAAGATGGGCAGGAAAAACAAAGGCCACCACAGAGGAAGCTGAAGGCAGAAAGAGATGCAGAGAAAGTGGGAGAAACTCGGCTGTGCTTTGTGGGGGCCCTGCAGGGACATCAGCTCCTGAAGGGGTGAAAGAAAGGGTCCCCTGAACTTTGACACTGTTCTTCTCGAGGCCTGGCCAGCCCTGTGGCTCCTTAGAGGAATCTGGGTGCCTGCTGTCCCTAGTACCTGACAAGCCCCAGGTGAGAAGACCTGAGTTCACCTGCGCTGCCACGTGTAACCTGATGGCCCCGGCACCCTCGCAGGGTTTGAATAGCTGCCCTTTCCACCTGTTTCCCGGATTTTCCACACCACCCAGAGGCTCATATTCAACCCCACAGCCTACAAGTCAGCCAGGGGCCTTTGGCCACATGTACTGATGATGAGAATCACTGGATTGTAAGCTGTAAAAGCACAAGGATGGTGTTTTGTTCCCCGCTACCCCCTGCACCTGAGGCCCAGCGAGGATTGCTGCTCGGATGAAGGAGAGCGAGTGTTCGTGGAGCTCTTTGCAGAAGCCACGGGAAGCCCTTCCTGTGCCTTCTCAGGTTTAGTCTCAGACAGCCCCACTTTCCAGATGAGGAAACAGAGGCTAAGAAAGGAGAATAAACTTGTCCAGAATCAGTGGTGAAGCTGGGATTTGAACCCCATCCTGTTGGACTCAACACTTCCTCTGAAAAGACAGGATAAGGGAGCTGCCTACTTCTGGCTTTGGGAACCGGCAGAGAGGAGCAGAGTTGGGCCAGACGCGTCACCTCCCAAGCTCTGCGGCACCCAAGGGTTCCCAGGGTCCTCTTCCTCCATTTGGCTCTTTTCTTCTCTGGACTCTCCCACCTTCGAGGATTGGACTCCTTGCAGGGAGAGCAAAGCAGAGAACAGAGGAGGCCCATCTGAGGAGAGAGTGCTGGAGCAGATGGAGCACAGAGAGAGCCCCCAAACCTTAGCCTCACCTGGAGAGTGGCTCCCTGCAAGCTGAGCCCCTGTGTGCCCAGAAGTGACATAGGCATTCAGGAAAGGGACTGAGGGAGGAAAGAAGGAGCCATTCCTCTTCCCAGGGGCGCCTGCCCTGGGTTCCTGAGGGACGCTCCATGTTTACATCTCCAAAGCCCAGTCCCAAACACGCCAGAGTGCAATGCCCTCCCTCAGACCCAGGGCCATCCTCAGAGCAGCCGGGAGGCAGCCTGTCCACCCTTACCACAGGCAGGTCGCCCAGGCAGCCTCCTCTTAGAGCTCCTGAATTCTGGAGCATGAAATAGAAATGTGAAAAACAGGCTGGCGTGGTGGCTCACACCTGTAATCCCAGCACTTTGGGAGGCTGAGGTGGGCAGATCATTTGAGATCAGGAGTTTGAGACCAACCTGGCCAACACAGTGAGACCCTGTCTCTACTAAAATACAAGTAAATAAGCCAGGCATGGTGGTCCACACCTGCAGTCCCAGTTACCTGGGAGGCTGAGGCAGGAGAATCATTTGCATCCAGGAGATGGAAGTTGCTGTGAGCTGAGATCGCACCGCTGCACTCCAGCCTGGGCAACAGAGTGAGACTCTGTCAAAAAAAAAAAAAAGAATGAGAGAGAAAATAAATACTACAAAATGTTAACAATGGGTGAATGTAGGTGAAGAGTATGTGGCAGGGTGTTTTTTATTCTCGCAAATTTTGTGTAGGTTTGAAGTTACCACAGAATAGCAAATATAAGAATGATTCCTGCAGACACACGAGTGATTTCAACTGTTCACAGGGCTCAGGCAGGAAGCAGATCTCTTGCCCTCCCTCTGATCCAGGTCACTTAGTCCAGTCCCTGAAAGCAGTGGATGGACAACCATGCCACCCTCTTTCTTCCAATACACCTTATTTTGTATCCTGCCCTTTTTGTGTAGCATTAGATCATGAGCATTTTCCTCTGCTATAAATGTCCCCTCAAATATGTTGTTTCTTGTGACTCCCTAGTGTTCTACCCACGATTTCCTCGGCTGCTCCACCTTGGTGGAATTCAGTGATTCTTCTGCCTTTTCACCATTGTAAGTGATGCTTTGATGAAAAGCTTTGTAGGTTTATCTGTGCTGCACCTCTGACCAGTCTTTTCTGGAAGACTCTAAGGAAGGAGACAGGGGCATGGACCACTGGCTTTTGAAGGCATTCGGTGGGTCCTGCCATGCCGCCTTCCCACATTCCAGAAGGGTGGTCCCAGTGAACAACCCACCAGCACGGGGCCCCGCTCCATGGTGCCCCAGCAAGGCCAGCGTCCCTATACAGGAAAATTAAACCATTTGCCAATTCAAGGCACTCCAGATGGATCTCTCTGTTTTCTTTGATGACTGATGTGTCCTTTTTTGTTTCCTTCAGAGCACTAAGACTGTGCATTTTCCCAGGACTGTCAGGGTGGTTTTCTTACCAATGTGTGGTGGTTGTGAGGGTTCAATTGAGTCGATGCCTGCAAAGTGCTGGCCCAGCACAGGAAAAGCACCCAGTGCTTGCTGGCTGTTTGCTGTGCCACAGCCCAGGTCACAGGCTGGGTCAGCTGCTCACTGGCAGTGCCACTGTAGCCAGGCTGCTCACCTCACTGAGCCTCAGTTTCCTTCTCTGTGAAAGGGGAGCACCTTCCTCACAGGGCTGTGGTGGAGTGAAGGCAGGTAAAGCACTTAGGAGGGCGCCCTCCCATGCTTGGCACTCTGCAAATGCTACTGGGATTTGCACAGGAAGGAAATTGACCCTTTGTCCTATTTATTACCCATAGTTTCCTTCCGGAATCCGAAAGTGGAGTGTGGTGTGGCTGGCAGAGCAGGCTGCCCAAGGGAGCCAGGAGAGGGGAGGACGGAAGGGGTGGGAGCCGTCTTCTCCAAGGCTGCTGTAATGCTGACCTAGAGAAGACCCCCAGAGTGGGGCATGTCCCACACTCAGCTGGCCCTGCTCCTGCCACCAGGCCTGGCACACATCGGATGCTCCCTGAGTCATGTCGAGGAAGGAATGTCTAACACTTGAAAATATTCTAGAGCCATAAAGATAGTCCTGGTTGGACCCAGACCAAACCTCAAATTGGTCCCAAGGAAGATTTCACAACTTCCTTTGAGAGATGCCTCTCAGTGTCGCCTGGCGCGATTCAGGAAGTCCTTCTTGAGAGCTAACCTAAATCCTTCCTGCTCGCCCTCCTCATGCTTGGGAGAGGAGGCAGCAAGGAGGGGGGGACAGGTGGGCCTCTCGCCTCAGAGCCCATATGAGGTCCCGAGAAGGTGAGGCTGGGCCCTGACTCAGCTTCAGCACACACTATTTCCATTCCCTTCCCGTGACTCAACAGGGGAGGGGCCCGGGGGCCACTCACCTCTGTCTTCTCAACCTGCAACTCCCCCCACCCCTTCCTGGATTCCTGTGACGCAGGAATCCCTCTGGTCTGTGTGGAGGAACCCAGAGCAACTTGAGCCAGAAGTGGATGTCCAAGCCGGCATGAGTCACCCCTCAAAATCAGGACCAGTGAGGGCCTGAAGAGGCCACACAGCCTCCGGCAGCCTGGCCGCCGCTCACTTCTCTGGGAAAGTGGCCTGGAGCTCGCATGGCATCTGGGCCCAGCCTCTGCCTCTGACCTGCACTGACCCCTGTGTCACCCGCCTCCAGGGTGACCCTCCTCCTGGCATTCAGACAGCTCCACTCACTGCTTCGCACAAACCTGTGCCACCCTGGTTCAAACATTAACCAGCTGTGTGACTTTTTAGAAGCCCTTCCCATGTTTAAAAACCAAGCTGGGAGGATGCTGCACCACTGCCATCATGGTTCTCACTGAACCGTCGCAGGAAAAAGCATTTCTTGCGCCATGGCTGTGTGCAGAACAGGCTTCCCACGGCTGAGTCCCCAAGCCCCCCACAGACGCTGCCAATGAAATGCCGTCAGCCTCAAGCATGGTTCTTGGTACCCAGCCCTGGTAAAACCACGTGTCTCAGGCCTTCTGAACCACAGTGCCCAGAACTCTGGCTGGGCTTTGTCCCAGAGGACAAGACTGGCCAACCCCCTGCTGAGCTGGAAGAATAGCTCCCTCAGCTGGCAGGGACCTGCCCCTGTTGCAATTTGGACTGAGTAAATGCTGACAGGAGGAGACTGCGTGTCAGGCCAGGATAGACAGAGGCAAACTCTGTACCCTCAGAGAGCTTAGAAGCTAGGGTTGGAAAGCATGGGAAAGGGTCAGACACCCAAGAGAAACAAGTGCTGATGTCCACCAAAAGAAAACTTACTGCATTCTATAAACTAAAAACAAACAAATGTTCTCCTGCATTGCATAGCAGAGGAAAAGACCAAATGACTCTTCCATGCAACAAGTTAGATGAATCTCGCAGATAAAGTCAGACAAAAGAATCCAGACGCAAAAGAGCATGCACAGTATGGAGGTCAAAAACAGGCAAGGTTGGGTGCGGTGGCTCACGCCTGTAGTCCCAACACTTTGGGAGGCTGAGGCAGGTGGATTACGAGGTCAGGAGATCGAGACCATCCTGGCTAACACAGTGAAACCCCTTCTCTACTAAATATACAAAAAATTAGCCGGGCGGGGCGGCGGGCGCCTGTAGTCCCAGCTACTCACGCGCTGAGGCAGGAGAATGGCGTGAACCCGGGAGGCAGAGCTTGCAGTGAGCCGAGATGGTGCCACGGCACTCCAGCCTGTGTGACAGAGCGAGACTCCGTCTCAAAAAAAAAAAACAAAAAAAAAACAGGCAAAAGTCATCTATGGAGACAGAAGTCCTGGTGGTGGTTTCTTGGTGGGGCTGGTGGAGGATGGGGTTATTGACGGGAAGGAGGCACCAGGGAGCTTTCTGGGGTCCTGGAAATGTTCCATGTCTTCATCTGGGGTGTGATGACGGGGTGGACACATTTGTTAAAAGGCATTGATTTGCACACCAACATTTGTGTACTTTGCTGTAAATTTTCCCACACTTTAAGAAGAAGAGGAGGGAAGAAGAACCCTTGGGGAGACCAGCTGGGACCCCCTGCTGCTGACTCGCGGGCGTTGCTTCGTGCCCCATGATTGTCAAGCCATTGAGGCCTCCTGGCAGCCTGGTAGACCTAGAACTATCTATGCCAATAAGACACAGATTGTTGGCTCCACCACCAGTTTCTGAATCAGGAGGTCTAGGGGGGCCTTGGAATTCACATTTCCTGCAGCCTGCAGGCCATGCTGGGGCTCTGGCCCAGGAACTGTGCTTTAGAAGAGACGGTAGAACATGGTACTGGCTACAGAATGTGCTGTGAGATCCCTCCAAGCTGGGAAGGACCCAGGTAAGTTCACAGAGGAGGTGCCCTTGAAAGATCAGTAAGATCTGAAAACGCCCAAATAAGCAGGAACTGCTGGTTCCAGGGAGGGAAGTCAGTGTGAGGCAAAGTAGAGAGGCTGGGAAGTGCAGCGAACGGCATTCCAGCCCTCAGGAGGGCAGGGCTGGCAGACAGATGTCTGAGTCCATTTCGTGCTGCTATAACAGAATACCTGAGACTGGGTCATTTATAATAATCAGACATTTATGTGGCTCATAATTCTGGAGGCTGGGAAGCCCAAGGGCATGGTGCTGGCCTGAGCCCAGCATTTGGTGAGGGCCTTCTTGCTGCCTCATCCCATGGTGGAAATCAGGAGGGTAAGAGACCAAACTCACAGTCTCAAGGCCTTTTATAATCAGCATTAACCCATGCGTGACGGTGGGCACCTTATAACCTAAACACCTCCTATTAGGCCCCAGCTCCCAATACCATTGCACCGGGGATTAAGTGTTGAATACACGCCTTTTGGGGGACACATGCAACCCACAGAAAGAGGACATTGAGGCTTCTGCTTAGAAGGTTTTGTTCTGCATGATAAAGCTTGAAAATAGGAGGAAGCTCCAGAAAAATGGCCCTCCCCCACCCCTACCAGGGGATTATGTTCCAAAGTCAGAAAGTGAGGCACAAACCACATGTGGTCATTTACCTGTGACAACCTGTGATTGGCCTATGAAGGTAGATAGCCTAGCTCAGTGCTAAAGGGCCGGAGCAGATGCTGAGTTCACTGGCTGAGTGCCAGGTAAAGCCATCCGTGTGCACTGAGTGCTCATATTGGATGACAAACCTGGACAAAGAGCCCTCCAGCCCTTCCCTGTAACAAGCAGGAGCCGGGGCAGAAGGGCAGAGGTGCAGCACAGCTGGGTCTAATGTGGGGAGCAATGTGGGGCAGGGGCAGGGCCAGGGCCAGGAAAGGGGCCTGCAGCTGTTGGTAGGCTAGCGGGTAAACAAACCCATTACAGTGGAGGTGTGCTGCTGACCGCCTTTCCTACAAGCTCATGGGCCGCCTTCACAGCACTTCCCCTGCTGCTTTTTCAGTGTAATCTTACAGCTATTCTGTCAAGACACCATGTTAAACACTAGTGGAAAAGTCACTGTGCAGAATTACCATATAATCTAGTAATTCCGCTTTTGGGTATATACCAAAAAATACCCCAAAAATAATTGAGATCAGGGTCTCCAACAGATGTTTGTTCACCCATGTTTATAGCAGCATTCTTTTTTTTTTGAGACGGAGTCTCACTCTGTTGCCTAGGCTGGAGCGCAGTGGCGTGATCTCAGCTCACTATAGCAGCATTCTTTACAACAACGAAAAGGTGGAAGCCACCCAAATGACCATCGATAAACAAAAATGTGGTCTGTGCGTACAATGAAATATTATTCAGTCTTACAAAGGAAGGAAATTCTGGCACATGCTACAATATGGAAGAACGTGAGGGCGTAATATTCCGTGAAAAGACAAACTCTATATGATTCCACTTATACGAGCTAAGGGAAGGGGAATGGGGAGTTACTGTTTACTGTTCATTGGAGACAGTTTCAATTTGAGGAAGATGAAAAAGTTCTTTTTTTTTTTTTTTAAGAGACGGAGTCTCGCTCTGTCGCCCAGGCTAGAGTGCAGTGGCCCTATCTCGGCTCACTGCAAGCTCCGCCTCCTGGGTTCACGCCATTCTCCTGCCTCAGCGTCTGAGTAGCTGGGACTACAGGCGCCCGCCACCACGCCCGCCTAATTTTTTGTATTTTTAGCAGAGACGGGGTTTCACCGTGTTAGCCAGGATGGCCTCGATCTCCTGACCTTGTGATCTGCCCACCTTGGCCTCCCAAAGCATTGAGATTACAGGCGTGAGCCACCGCACCCGGCGAAAAAGTTCTTGAGATGGACGATGGTAATGGTTGCACAACAATGAGACTGTGCTTAGTGCCACTGAACTGTGCATTTCACGATGGTCAAGATGGTAAGTTTTATGTGGACAAAAAGAACACGCTATGTGTGGAGGGGTGCAGTGGCTGGAACCCCAGCACTTTGGGAGGCTGAGACAGGCGGATTACTTGAGGTCAGGAGTTCGAGAGCAGTCTGGCCAATGTGGTGAAACCCCGTCTCTACTAAAAATACAAAAATTAGCCAGGCGTGGTGGCGCACGCCTGTAATACCAGCTACTTGGGAGGCTGAGGTGGGAGAATTGCTTCAACCTGGGAGGTGGAGGTTGCAGTGAGCCGAGATTGTGCCATTGCAGTCCAGCCTGGGCGAAGAGTGAGACTCCGCCTCAGGAAAAAAAAAAAAAAAAAAAAAGAACATGCTATGTTTGTATTTAGGATCTAGGTTTAGCTACGTCTAACAACAGTGGCTTTAACAAGACAGAGGTTCATTTCTCCAGCACACTGTCTAGGGGTGGCAGGGCAGTTCAGGGCTGCGGTGGCAACTCTGCTCCATGCAGTTATTCAGGGATCCACCCTTCTCTCTCCCATCCCTAGGGTGTTTCTCTTGTCCATGTAGCTCAAGACAGTGCACCATCATGTCCACATCCTAAACAGCAGGGTTAAGAAAGTATGGAAAAGGGCTTGCCCTCCCCTTAATAATTTTTTTTTTTTTTTTAAGAGACTGGGTCTCACTCTGTCACCCAGGCTGCAGTACAGTGGCACCATCATAGCTCACTGCAGCCTAGCCTGGGCTCTAGCAATCCTCCCACCTCAGCTTTCTGAGTAGCTGGGACTATAGCCACATGCCACCATGTCCAGCTGAATTTTTTTTTGGTATTTTTTGTAGAAATGGGGTCTCGTTATGTTGCCCAGGCAGGCCTTGAACTCCTGGCCTCAAGTGAGCCTCCCACCTCGGCCTCCCATAGCTCTGGGATTACAGGCATGAGCCACTGTGCACAGCCAGCTCCCACCTCTCTTGAAGCACTGTCATTTGGGGCCTCTGTTCTAGAAGGGGGTGCAGTTGCTGCTTGGTGTGTTGTCCATCCCCTCCACAGGATGGCAGCTGCATTTAATCTCCCGTGGCCACCATGGAGGTGCTCTTCTCAGGTCGGCCTTCAAGAGAGAAGCCTCTGCAAGAAGTGCAGTCAGCTGACAGCCTCCAGCTACTTGGGGATCTTCCGCCACATTCAAATCATCCTGCCCAACCTGGGACCCCAGTACTGGCCATCTTTGCTCCAGAGACCCCCTGGGGCCGGGTGAGGCTCCCCCGCCCAGCTCTCCAGTGGCCCCTCTCCTTCACAAGCATTGTGCTTGGTGCGCTCCATGCTCTCCCTGACTGCTCTGCCCCTCGCCCCTTTCTCCTTTACAGCTCCTTCTCCTAACACAGTTCTTGTATCTCTAACTCCAACCTGTTGTCTACTTCCCAGGGGAGCTGAACTGACACCTTTGCCCCAGGCCATATCCCCAGCACACAGACAAGTGCCTAGCACATAGTAGGCGCTCAACAGAATTTCCAAGTGAGCACAGAAAACACAGTGGGCAGTCAATACATGTGTGTTGAACTCAGCAAATTGCACAGCAGCTGGGAAACAGCCGTCGCCGGCTCCTCTGAGCGTGGTGCTCCCGCAGCCCGTGTCAGCTGCGGTGCTTTGCCAATGCAAACAGGAGTGGAGAGTTAGACCCAGGCCCACTCCAGCTGCTGGGCCCCTTGCTCAACACAGCCCCTTCCTGCCACCTGCAGGGTGGGGTCTTCCTGAGCCCGCAGAGGGCACAGAAGGAAATACCTGCTCCCGGCCATGCAGGCCTCCCTGGCATGGGCACCCTGAGAGTCCTGGTCCCGGGAGCCAGGAATAACAAAGAGGCTGCCAGGGCCGGGCCCCTGGGACCTGAGGGCTGAGGGCAGAGCATGCCTCCCTGGTTTGCTGGGCAGGAGGCTGATTGGGCTAAATGGACTTTGTTGATGGTGACCCTTTGTTCCTCCATGGCGGCTCCGTCTGAGGAGAAGTTTTGGAGGCTGTTCATTCTCCTGCTTCCCCTGCTGCCACCCCAGAGACAAGGAGAGCAGCCTCCCAGTGGCCTGTTGGTTTGTAAAAGAGTCAGGTGTGGGAGGTTGCATCACGTGCTTCTCTGGACTCGTGGTCTGCAAGGAGGTGTGACAAGTGTGGCTGTAGGTCGATGAGCTGTGTGCGGCTTGGTAACGGGCAGTGGATGAGCCAGGGGGAGCAGCAGGTGGCCCAGCCCCAGGGATGAACATGGGGGAACTGGGTCCGATGTAGGCAGGAAGGAGACATCAGCAGCAGCAGCCCAGGGGCGTGGTGGAGGGGTGCGGGGGGGCCAGAGACAAGCCAGAGATGCCTGGATGATCCATTTTGCAGAAATAACAATCTCGAATCCAGGGCTGGGCCTGGCTGTGGCTTGGCCTGGCCAAGGGTGGTGAGCAGCAGGTGTGCTGATTGTAGTTAAGAAGCCATCGGTGTCAGACCAGAGTCCCCGGGCTCTGCACCTGAGGCTGCTGCGAGAGGAAAGCGATAGGGGCTCAGGCATGCTGAGGAGGTAGGTGGGCACGTGAAGGTGGGCCTCCAGGAAGGGGACATGAATACAGCAGGTCTTGGAGCTTTCTCCTTCAGGGGCAGGGGCAGGAGGACGGCCACCTGGCTTCACCACGAAGGGCCCGAGAGCATGGCATGGAGGGAGAGGCAGATCTAGAGAGAACACCGGCCAGTCTGCGGAGGGAGGTGGAGGAATGGGTTGAAGAGGGAAGAATTCCTGACACAAACTCTGAAATGACAAAGGAAAAGAATGACAAATCCGATTACACAAACATGAGCAACTTCCAAAGACCAATCACAAAAAACAAAACAATCACAAAGTCCCCACCAACATGGCTGAAAATAAAACAATTAGCTGAGAAGAAATATTTGTCACCTACAGACCATGGCAGACAGAAGATTTTATTTTAAAGCACCCTACAAATCACTAAGAAAAAAGCCCCAAAGAAATAGCAATCTGGAAAAGGACACAAAAAGGGAACGTGCAGAAGAAGTGCCAGCAGCTGCCAAACCCACGGTCCACAAAATCCTGGATCAAACAGGCAGGAGACAGCATGACAAGGTGCCACTCTCTGCCCATCGGGTCGGCACAGATTTAAAAACAAGGACCTGGTATTGCCAAGGATGTGGGGAAAGAGCCCTGTGGGTGAGGGTGTCAATTGGACAATGGCTGTCAACTTCTAGAATAATCATGTGTGCTTCCCTTTGATCCAAGAATCCCGCTGGGGGAAATTATTCCTGTAGAAATGTTTGCTCAGGTGTGCGAAGACACCTGCGTAAGACTTTTCATCTCAGCATTGTGTGTGATGCTGATGCCACAGCGTGGTGCCTAGACACCTCCTGGAGAGGACCCAGAAGGCCCGGCCACAGGTGGGGGCCGTGTTGCCATGGTCCCTGCCCAGAGGATGCCTGGCTGGTGCGGGGCAAGAGGGAGGTGGTCCTAGAGGCAGCCTTGCCTTGATCTACCCACAGGAGCGCACTGGACAGGGGTCCTGTGAGTGTGGGATCAGGGTCCCCCAAGCCCCATCTGCCCTCTGGTGCCCAGTGGCATTGAGCAGTTGTCTTAGCCACTCTGACCTCCACATCCTCCTCTGTGAAACGGGGTGTGACAGGACTACCTCTTGGGCTCCTGAGATCCTGGCATGCGTAGTGCTGTGTCAGGCGCAGTTCTAGGCCCTCTACCTTCACTGGGCCTAGGCAGCCTCCTACCAAAGGAGGATGAGAAGACACAGAGAGGCTGAGCAATTGCCTGAGGTCACACAGCTGCCCAGTGGCCGCAGAGGACACAGCTGGTGTCCCATCCATCAGTCACCCACCCTCCCCATGCAGGACTCGCCTCTTCACGTCTAAGCCTGGGACGCCTGAGCAGGATCCTTGGGCTGCTTCTCCCAGCTGCAAGGACGGGCAAGTTCCACCGCTGGAGGCCTGGAGAGTCCCTGTCCCAGGAGAGGGTCTCAGCCAACAGTGGCTGTGGGGGTGGCGGACAACTACTCCAGCCCCTTGCTCCTCAGCGGGGCAACCTCTGGGGCCTGCTCCACGCTGTCTCCCAGGGCTCCCCACAGCAGGGAGCCTGGTGCTTCCCTGGTAACTGCCTTGATAACACATACTTTACTGGCTTCTTCCCTTCCCTGCCTCTCGTGCCCTCCCCTGGGGCTTCCTGCATCTCCCCAGCCAAGCACTTGCTCTGGAATCCTTGTTCTGGGGTCTGATTCTGAGCCCTGCCCGAGACAGTGGCAAAGCTGGAGTTGGGCCAGACAGTCGGGCTCCAGAACCTACCTTAAAAAAGTTTTTTTTTTTTCCCCATCTACTCGGGAGGCTGAGGCAGGAGAATGGCGTGAACCTGGGAGGCGGAGCTTGCAGTGAGCCGAGATCGCGCCACTGTACTCCAGCCTGGGCAACAGAGCGAGAATCTGTCTCAAACAAAAAATAATTTTTTTTTTTTTTTTAAATAAAGAGACAACAGGGTCTTGCTTGGCTCTGTCATTCAGGCTGGGGTGCAGGGGGCAGGCAGCCTCGAACTCCTGGGCTCAAGCCATCCTCCTGCCTCAGCCTCTCCAAGCGCTGGGATTGCAGGTGTGACCCACTGCAGAATCTGTTCAGTGGGGCGGCTGGACTGGTTTCGACCCACTGGACTGGTTTGCAAAACCCCCCACCCGGCACAGTCTCTGGATATTTTCCTAGACTGTGACAAGCGGCCGCTGCCAGGGGAGAGTGAGGGACCCTTTACCCTCTGTGCCCCTCTGTCCCTGGGTCAGAGCCCTGACATTTATTGCACCCACCCACCCCAGGGACAAAGTCCTCTGCACAGGGCGGGCAGCCAGCCCCTCGACCAAGGCCTCAGGAAGGTAAAGAAGCCGGGTCCACCCGTGCTCAACACCTGACTTCAGTCCAGGGTAGGCGGCCCAGGGCTCCTCTCCGCCCAAACTGGCTCCTCCCAGCGCCACCCAGAACGAGGGGTGCCGAGGGGCCCAGCACCTAGGTCAGCGGCGCCACCTGCTGGTGACCATTGGGAGGCGCCGGCGCCTGGTTCTCTGCAACATTCCGGCTCCAGAACCTACTTAAAAATTTTTTTCAAATAAAGAGACAACAGGATTTCTCTTCGCTCTGTCATTCAGGCTGGGGTGCAGGGGGTAGGCAGCCTCGAACTCCCGGGCTCAAGCCATCCTCCTGTCTCAGCCTCCCCAAGTGCTGGGATTGCAGGCGTGACCCACTGCAGATCTGCATTCTTAACCATACTCTACAAAAGCCCTTCGCTGAGAGGATGTGGTAGGATAGCCCTCCCTACAGTGCCCAGCACTGGGAGCACCTTCATACACGAAGCTGCTACTGCTGCTCCTGTCTCCCAAGACCTTATGTGGTCCCAGGCAGCCTGGAGGGCATCCCTCCCTCGGCGAAGACCAAGAGTTCCAAAAGGACACAGACACAAGAGGCCTGGGTCTCTGAGGTCCTCCAAGGGCCATCCTTCCAGTCCCAACCCCTGCTTGTCTCACAATATTTCTCAGGAGTGGTCCTTTAGTCTCTACTTGCACACTTCCAGGGACAGGGAACTCATCAGCTCTCAAAACCACTTGAGCCAACATCTGTCTCTCACTGGCTTGGCTCTGCCATCTGGGAGTCAGTGAAAATCCTGCTGGCTTGGGAGAGCAGGAGGCCCAGGTGCTGCAATGCTTGAGCTGTCGCTGTCAGTCCCTTGGCCCTTCCTGGGCTGCTGCCCTCCAGGTGGGCTCACGCACAGCAACTTCACTTCTTCCTCCTCCGTCTTTTTTGCAGAGAAAAGATTTGAACATCGAATATTTTTAGGAAGAAGAGTTTCTGTTTGAAAAACCTGCCTTCCATGGCTGCACAGCAAATCTGAGGAATCTCTTACTGGCCCTGGGTTTCACATTTACATTACAAGCAGAAGGTTCACATTGCTGTTGCCAGAGAGTGGGCTTGTTCCACGATGGGGGTCACCCACGCTTGCAGCAGATGCTTAAGATCTGAGCACTGGACATACAGGCCCTGGAAAGACAGAGAGACTTCCTGCATGGAGCTTACTGTCTGGGGGAGCAGACCACCTCACCATCCCACAGGGAAACAGACCGTCACAGCACGACAATAGCCTGGCAGGAGGGGTGCACAGAACCCTGGCAGCTCATCCTGGGGAAGGTGCTCTAGTCTGGGAAAAGGCTTCTCAGAGAAAGGGGTCTGTTTTATTTTTACTTTTTCATCATAGGAAGAGTGCACAGTTTAAGTGTTCAGCTTGATGAAGTTTTACCCATGGGTGCCTCAGGCTCAGCCCCCAGACCAAACTGGAGAAGACCAAGTTCGTGCCCAGCCCCTAGAGGGCTCCTTTGTCCCCTCCCATCCAACACTCCCCCCACCCCCCGAGAAGTAACCATTCTTCTCTACCCTTGTGCCATAGATTAATTCTGCTTCTTTTTGAGCTTCCTAGTAATGGAGGTTTGTGAATGGTGCTCTTTTGAGTCCGGCTTCTTCACTCAACAATGACATCTGTGAGATCCTCCCATATTGTTGTATGTGGTCGTCGGTGATTCTTTTTCATTGCTGTATAGTATTTCATTGTATGAATATACTGTCATTTGTTGATGTTTTCTGTTTATGGATATTTGGGCTGTGCTGGACAGTGATAGTTTTTGGCTGAGTGGAAGTTACCTTGCTATGTGGAGGCAGAGAGGATAGGGAGGAACACTTGATAAGGCAGGAACAACATACACAAAGACCTTTGGCAGGAGGGAGCCTGCCTGGGGCCCTGAAGGCTGGTGTGGCTGAGGGGCATCCCTTCCTGTACCCTGCTTCTAGGCCGCTGTGTTCTGAGTGCCTGCTGCTTTGGCCTGATATGTGGCCCTCCACACTCATTTCCACCTCCTCCTCCTGTGCCTTCCTGACCAGCAGGGACTGGGAAGCTGAAGGCTACATTTCCAGGTTCCCTTGCAATGGCTTCCAGGGTTAGGATCCACTAGTAACACGCCCAGGTGAGATCAAGGAGGCGGGGGTGGGGGACATCTTTTGGCAGCTCTGGGCTGTGTTCTGCCACCCAGCAGGGTCACAGGCACGTGGAAGTGTCTAAAGCAATGTTCCAGTGTCTGGTCTTGAGCTGCCCAGTGGCCCTGATCCCAGGTCCCTGCACCCCACGAAGTCAGTGGTGCTTCAGTGGCATCCCTGATTCCTACCTCCTGGGCAGCTTGGTTCTGCTGGGCTCTGGGAGCCATGGGGCAGGGGCAACCCAAGACCTCTCCTCCAACTCACCCAGGGATTTTGTAAGTGCTGGATGCCTGCATCAAATCCTAGCTGCTCAAACACCTGGAGATATCACCCATACCCATTGTGATGGCCACTCTAAAAAAATAATAATAACAAATGCTGTCAAGGATGTGGAGAAACTGCAATGCTTGCATATTGTTGGTGGGAATGTCAACTGGTGCAGCTGTTAAGGAAAACAGGAAGGAGATTCCACACACACACAGACACACACACAGACACACACACACACACACACACACACACACACACACAGAATTACCACATGATCCAGGCATCCCACTTCCGGGAACATACCGAAAAGAATAGAGAGCAGGTCTCAAAGAGATGCGTGCACACCCGTGTTGACAGCAGCCTTATTCCCAATAGCTGAAATGTGGAAGTGGTGTCCCTTCCATGGATGTCCCTCCACGGATGAATGGAGAAGCACACTATGGGACATCTGCACAGTGGAATGTTATTCAGCTTTCAAAAGGAAGGAAGTTTGGACACAGGCCACCACATGGATGGGGCTTGAGAACATTATGCTAAGCTAAATAAGCCAGTCACACAAAGACAAATCGTGTATGATTCCATGTAGGTGAGGCACTAGAGTAGTTAGATCTCTAGAGACAGAAAGTAGAATGGGGGTTGCCAGGGGCTGGGGAAGGGGGAAGGGAAGTCAGCGTTTCATGGGGACAGTTTCATTTCTATAAGATGAAAGGTTCTGGATATGGACGATGGGGATGGTTGTGTCACAATGTGAATGTACTTAATGACACTGAACTAGATACTTAACAATAGTTAAAATGGTAACTTTGTTTTTTTTTTTTGAGACTGAGTCTCGCTCTGTCGCTCAGGCTGGAGTGCAGTGGCGCGATCTCGGCTCACTGCAAGCTCCGCCTCCCAGGTTCACGCCATTCTCCTGCCTCAGCCTCCCAAGTAGCTGGGACTACAGGCGCCCGCCACCACACCCAGCTATTTTTTTTTTGTATTTTTAGCAGAGACAGGGTTTCACCGTGTTAGCCAGGATGGTCTCGATCTCCTGACCTCGTGATCCACCCGCCTTGGCCTCCCAAAGTGCTGGGATTATAGGCGTGAGCCACTGCGTCTGGCCTAAAATGGTAACTTTTATGTTATATGCATTTTACCATACATAAAACAAAACCCCAGACTGAAAACCAAAAGCACTCAGAGAGGTTTCTCTGCAGAGCTTTTCCTGTATGTTGTCGGGTCAGCTGATGCCCCATCCATGAAAGACAGGGACAGAGTCAGGCCCATTTTACAACTGAGAAAACCAAGGCTCGGCCAGAGGAGGGAGGAGCCCAGCAGGTGAGCAGCAGAGGGGGCTGGACTCTGGGTCTCCCTCCTGATCTGTGCTCTTTCCACCATTCCCATCCCCATGCCACCCCACCCCACCCTAAGGAATGGTCCTTCAAGAAGCCAGCATTTCCCTCTGTCAGGAGGAGGACAAAGCCCACCCACCCCAGCGGATCCTCAGACGGGAAGGCTGCTCCTGCCCCCCTTGGGATAGACACTCCCTCTCATGTCAGCCTGCATGGGAGCGGGGTCTCAGAACCAGCCTCTGAGAGTCAGAGGGGAGGCTGGACTGCTTTTGAGCCACTGGACTGGTTTGAAAAACGCCACCCCACACAGCCTCTGGAAATTTTCCCAGATTGTGACTAGGGGCTGGGCGAGAGTGAGGGACCCTTTACCCCTCTGTGCCCCTCTGTCCCTGGGTCAGAGCCCTGAAATTCATTGCACCCACCTGCTCCAAGGACAAAGTCCTCTGCACAGGGCAGGCAGCCAGCCCCTCACCCAAGGCCTCGGGAAGGTAAAGAAGCCGGGTCCACCCATGCTCACCATCTGCCTTTGGTCCAGGGTTGGCGGCCCAGGGCTCCACCCCGCCCAAACTAGCTCCTCCCAGTCCGACCAGGAACCTGGGGTGCAGTGTGCCCAGCACCTAGGTCAGGGGTGCCACATGCTGGTGACCATAGGGAGGTGCCAGCGCCTGGTGCCTTGTTGCATGCCAGTCAGCCACTAAGGGGCAGTGAGGGGCATCACCCAGGAGGGCTGTCACGCAGGAGGGCTGTCACCCAGCAGGGCTTTCACCCAGGGCTGTCACCCAAGAGGGTTGTCACCAGGGCTGTCACCCAGGAGGGCTGTCACCCAGGAGGAGTGGCCGACCACCCATAGGTGCTGAGGGGCCTTTAGATAAGGCCTTCTTCAAGCTGCCAGGGTCCTGTGGCAGCCATCACACAGTGTCACAAATGGGGTTTAACACAACAGAAGTTTATCCCGTCAGGGTTCTAGAGGCCACAGTCCAGGATCGAGGGATCGGCAGGTTCTGCCCCTCCTGGCCCCTTCCCTGGCTTCTGCTGGTGGCTGGCAGCCCTAGGTGTTCCTGGGCTCTGGATGCAACCTCTGCCTCCGTCTTCACGTGGCCTTCCTTCCTGTGTCTCTGTGCAAATGTCCCCTGCCTTATAAAGATACCAGTCATTGGTTAGGGCCCTCCCTAATCCAGCAAGACCTCATCTTCCCTTGATCACAGCTGAGAAGACTCTATTTCCAAATCACGTCACCTTCACAGGTGCTGGGTGGACATGACTTTTGGGGAGGTCACTACTGAACTCAGCACAGAGGCTCAGCTCAAACAGGGCCCCCTCCACGCAGCCCTGCCCCACCCCTTGCAGCGTCCCCTGTCCTCTGAGCCCAGCAGGGCGCTGTGGGCGGCTGGATGGGCCTGCACCACACCGCACCCGGCTTGCTGGTTGTGAAGCATTTTCTCTCTACATCTACCTCACAGCACGCAGCTGAGCGGCAACTCCTCGGGGAGGCTGAGCGGGGTTAGGGGCCCTTTCTTTTTTAAATCTGTTTTCAAGGCACTGTCATTGATGTGTGGGCCTGGAATACTCAGAGTGGAGTCGGGTTTTACAGGTTGAAGCCTGGAAAGAACTGTTGGGTTTCTGTGTGTAGCATCTGCTCCATGACATGATATACAAGAAGGAAGAATGGAAGAGGCTGTGATCCCAGCTGCTTAGAGAAAGGGTTGCGGTTGCAACGGTCAGAATGGCAGCCCAGTGAATCCCGTTGTCCATGGTGTTGAATTCTTGGAGACAGGTGCCTCCCTGCCAGCCAGCAATGTGAGAAACGATGTTCAAGACTGTTTTGATTCAGCCGGGCGCAGTGGCTCACACCCGTAATCCCAGCACTTTGGGAGGCCGAGGCGGGCGGATCACCTGAGGTTGGGGGTTCGAGGCCAGCCTGATCAACATGGAGAAACCCTGTCTCTACTAAAAACACAAAAATTAGCCGGGCGTGGTGGCGCATGCCTGTAATCCCAGCTACTCGGGAGGCTGAGGCGGGACAATCGCTTGAATCTGGGAGGCGGAGGTTGCAGTGAGCTGAGATTGCGCCACTGCACTCCAGTCTGGGCAACAAGAGCGAAACTCTGTCTGAAAACAACAACAACAACAATAACAAAAAGATTGTTTTGATTCAAGTGCTTATGAAAAACAGGGATGGGTGGGACAGGGGGTGGATTTCTGCCCAAAGCACTTCCTATGTGGGACCAGCAGGGCAAATGGCTGTGGACCAGCACGCAGCCAGCCAAAGGGAAACTGGTGTGTGGAGATGTGCTCCTGAGAGTCAAGTGCTTAAAATGCGAATCAAATGTGGGAAGTGCCAAGAAACGTTATATCAGGACATCATTCCACATTTGGAAAAAGAGGAAAGGCGGGCAGTGGGGAGATGACCTATTGTTGAGCCACACTACCCCAGCCAGAGAGGAGGCCTTGGGGAACCCCTCTTCTTTTTGTCACAAAAAAAGTTTATGTTCATAGTAGATGACAATTGTGGTGATATTGAACAACCTTCATTAAAATGATATCACCTGTATCTATTGATGACATTTCATAGTCTTCATGAAAGCCATTCTAAGTGGCTGCAAAACATTCACTCTAGTAGGCTGACTGTGACATTTTTGTGTCCCCTATTTTTGGGTGTTCAGGGACTTTCTAGCTTTGGCAATTAAAGGTAATACTCAAGTGCAGGTGTCAAATTTTGCCCACATTTTGGATTATTTCTTCTGGATGAATCCCTGGAAGTGGAATTCCTGAGTCAAAGGGAGGGAGGACTATTAAGTCCCTTGATTAGCGATTTCAAACTGGTGGGCCAGAGCCAGTTTGTCTGTTAGCTGAGTTTCATTTGGCCTATGCATTTTTTTTTTATGTACATACAGTTTTTTTGTTTTGTTTTGTTTTTTAGATATGAGGTCTCACTCTGTTGCCCAGGCTGGAGTGCAGTGACGTGATCATAGCTCACTGCAGCCTCAAACTCTTGGGCTTAAGCAATCCTTCTGCCTCGGCCTTCATAGTAGCTGGGACTACAGGCATATGCCACCATGCCTGGCTAATTTTTTTTTTAATTTTTGCAGAGACAGGGTCTTGCAGTATTGCCCACACTGATCTCAAACTCCTGGCCTGAAGCAATCCTCCTGCCTCAGCCTCTCAAAGCACTTAGATTACAGGCATGAGCCACCGGGCCTGTGCACACATTTTTAAAAGTAAGATTTCCCATCAGAATGCAGATTTACAGCTTATCTTGGAAAATCAAAGCTGCCCAATCAATCAATGTAATCCACTGCATTACAGGAATGAAGGGAGAAAGCCAGATGATCATCCTAATTGATGCAGAAAAAGCATTTAACAAAAGGCAGCATCTTTTCATGATTAAAAACCTTCAACAAACTTGAAACAGAGGAAACTTCTTCAACATGAAAAAGCACATTTGTGAAAAACCCTCAATGATGGAAGGCTGAAAGCATTTACCCCAACAGAGGAACAGGACGGGATGCCCAATTTTCACCACTTCTGTTCAGCATAGTACTGGGATTCTAGCCAGATAAATTAGGCAAGAAAAAGAAATAAAAGGCATCATATCGGAAGAGAAGAAATAAAAGTATTCACAGATGACATGATCTTATATAGGAAAAAATCTGCTGAAAAACTATTAGCCCTAACAGAGGAATTGAGCAATGTTGTGGAGTGCAAGGCCAACACACAAAAATTAGTTGTATTTCTATATGCTGGCAACGAGCAATCCAAAAAGAAACTTAAGAAAACAATTCCACTTACAATAGCATCCTTAAGAATAAAATTCATAGGAATAAATTTAACTAAGGAGATGAAAGACTGGTACACTGAAACTTACAATGCATTGCTGAAAGAAATTAAAGAAGACCTAAATACATGGAAACTCAGCTCATGTTTATGGACTGGAAGACTTAATATTGTTAAGATGCAATACCACCCAAAGCAAAATACAGTCTTGATGCGATCTCTATCAAAATTCCAATGGGCTTTACTGTAGAAATGGAAAAGTTGATTCCCAAATTGCTATGGAATTGCAAGGGACCGCAAACAGCCAAGACAATCTTGAAAAGAAAAAAAGGATAAATTGACGGACTCACACTTCCTGATTTCCAAAACTTACTACAAAGCTACAGCAATCAAAAGGTTGTGATACTGGCATAAGGACAGACTTACAGAATGGAATATAGACATATAGACAATGGAATGGATTGAGACAAAGCAGACATATAGAAAACGAAATAGATTAAGAGTCCAGAATTAAGCCCTCAGATATATGGCCTGTTGATTTTGGACAAGAATGCCAAGATTGCTCAGTGGGGAAAGGCCAGTCTCTTCAAAGATGGTGCTGGAACTATTGGATATCCATAAAAAAGAATGAAATTGGATCCTTACCTCACACCATATACAAAAATTAACTTAAGATTGATTAAAATTGTAAATATAAGAGCTGAAACTATAAAACTCTTAGAAGGAAACATAATGGTAAATCTTCATGACCTTGAATTTGGCAGTGGTTTTCTAGCTATGACAACAAAAGTGCAGGCAACAAAAGAAAAAATAACATGGACTTCACTAAAATTAAAAACGTATATACAGCAAAGAACACTATCAAGAGAGTGAAAAGGCAACCCACAGAACAGGAGAAAATATTTGCAAAGCATATAGCTGATAAACATCTAGTATCCAGGATAGAGGAAGAACTCTCACCACTCAACAACAAAATACCCAAATAATCCAACTTAAAAATTGGCAAAGTACTTAAATAGACATTTCTCCAAAGAAAATATTCAAGTGGCCAATAAGCACAGGAAAAGTTGTACAACATCATTAATTATTAGGGACATAAAATCAAAACCACAGTGAGGTACCTTTTCACACCCACCAGGATGGCTATAATTTTGGGGCCGGGGGAATAACAGGTATTGGTGAAAATGTGGAAAAATTGGAAGCTTTGTACACTCCTGGTGGGTATGTAAGATGGTGCAGTTGCTGTGGAAAACAATGTGGTGGTTCCCCAAATAGTTTAACATAGAATTACCCTGCATTTCCACTCCTAGCTGTGTATCCCAAAGGAATTGGTAACAAACACTTGTACACAAATGTTCTTAGCAGTACATTGTAATTGCTGTAATGGCCAAAAGGTGGAAACACCCTAAATGTGCACAGCTGATGAATGGATACACAAAATGTGTTCTATCCATAATGGAATATTATTCAGACATAAAAAGTGAGGAAATACTGATACGTGCTATGATGTGGATAAATCTATAAAAATATTATGCTAAGTGAAAGAAGCTAGACATAAAAGATTCCATATGGTATGATTCCATTTATATGGAATGGCCAGAATAGGTAAATCCAGAAAGACAGAAAGGAGATGAATGGCTTTCAGGGAACGAGGGGAGGAGGAAATGGGGGATGACTGCTTAATGTGTACGGGTGTCCTTTAAATGTGATGAACATGTTCTAGAATGGGATACTGCTGATGGTAGCACAACATTGTGAGTGTATTAAGCACCACTGAAATGTACACTTTAAAATAGTTAAAATGATGAATTTTATGTTATGTAAGTTTTACCTCAAAATTTTTTTTCTTTCTTTTTTTTTTTTAGATGGAGTCTTGCTCTCTCTTGCCCAGGCTGGAGTGCAGTGGTGAGATCTCGGCTCACTGCAACCTCCGCCTCCCAGGTTCAAGCAATTCTCCTGTCTCAGCCTCCCAAGTGGCTGGGACTACAGGCCCACACCACCATGCCCAGCTAATTTTTGTATTTTTAGTAAATAGAGTTTCACCATATTAGTCAGGCTGGTCTCGAACTGCTGATCTCAGGTGATCCACCCAGCTCGGCCTCCCAAAGTGTAGGGATTACAAGCATGAGACACTGCACCTGACCAATTTTTTTCTTTAAAATCGGGCCAGGTGCAGTGGCTCAGGCCTGTAATCTCAGCACTGTGGGAGGCTGAGGTAGGAGGACTGCTTGAGGCCAGGGGTTTGAGGCCAGCCTGTGCAACAAGCAAGACCTTATCTCTACAAAAGTTAAAAATGTAGCCGGGTATTGAGGTGCACATCTGTCGCTACTCAAGAGGCTGAGGCTGGAAGATCACTTGTGCCCAGGACATCAAGGTCGCAGTGAGCTGAGATTGCACTACTGCAATCCAGTCTGGGCAACAGAGCAGGACCCTGTATATATATATATAAAAAAAAAAAAAAATCAGAGCTGCCCTTGCCCTTGTGCTAATGGGCTCTCTCTCTATTACATCACCTACCTGGCTCCCAGGGCCACCTGAGTTTGAGACCCCTGCTCTAGATTCATGTTACCAAATCCCCTTCCAGAGAGTGTGTGTAGTCAGTGACACCACCACTCAGGATCCAGGAGAGAAACATTTTCACCAAACCCTGCTCAACACACTGACTCCCTCATTTCAGTGAGGAGGAGAGTGAGGTTCAGAGATGTTAAGTGAACTTGCTCCAGGTCACACAGCCAGTCAGGACAGTGTTGGGACTGGAGCCCAGCTCGTCTGATCCTGAGTCCAGTGACCTGTCCTCCTGCCACACGGGTTTCCTACAGCCGGGGAAACCAAAGCATAGGGCTGGGAGCCCCATTCGAGGGCTCTGACTCTCAGAAACCCATCATATCCCCTCTGAGGCCCTTGGCTGGCATGAATCCCAGCCAGGTAAGAGAAGAGGAGGTGTTCAGGCCCCTGAGCCTGGGAGCGGCTGCTGGGTGCCAGCTTTCTCCAGCATCGGTGGAGGGACAGCCGCCAGGGGGCGTCTGCTTAGGAAAATCACAGCGGGTTGCCGGCAGCATGGGCATGCGGGGCGCATGGAGCCTGTGGGCTGTGTCCGGGTGTGGGCGTGTGCGCAGGGGGTGTGTGTGTATGGGGTGTGCCTGTGGGGTGTGTGAATGTCTGTGTGGGGTGCCTGTGGGGTGTGTGTGTGTGGGGGGGGGAGTGTGCCTGTGGAGTATGTGAGTGTGTGTGGGGTGCCCGTGGGGTGTGTGAGTGTGTGGGGGGTGCCTGTGGGGTGTGTGGAGTGTGTGTTTGGGGGGTGTGCCTGTGGGGTGTATGAGTATGTGTGGGGTGTGCCTGTGGGGTGTGTGAGTGTGTGTGTGGTGCCTGTGGGGGGTGTGGGGTGTGTGAGTGTTTGGGGGCTGTGCCTATGGGGTGTGTTTGTGTGGGGGGCTGCCTGTGGGGTGTGTGGGGTGTGTGTTTGGGGGGTGTGCCTGTGGAGTATGTGAGTGTGTGTGGGGTGCCTGTGGGGTGTGTGGGGTGTGTGTTTGGGGGGTGTGCCTGTGGAGTATGTGAGTGTGTGGGGGGTGCCTGTGGGGTGTGTGGGGTGTGTGTGTTTGGGGGGTGTGCCTGTGGGGTGTGTGAGTGTGTGGAGAGTGTGCCTGTGGGGCGTGTGGGGTGTGCATGTAGGGTGTGTGTGAGTGTGTGTGAGAATCAGAGTGTGTGAGTGTGGTGCATGTGTGAATGTGTGTGGGGGTGTGTGTGTGTGTGTGTGAGTGTGCATATACCTGAGCTCTTTCGGCTAGAATGGGAGGCTTTCTGATGAGGTGATATTTGAGATATCTGACTGAAGCAGTGGGGGGCAGGGGGATGACCGGGGGCGTTGGGGAAGAGCATTCTGAGCAGAGGGAACAGCAGCTGCAAAGGCCGCAAGCAGGCCCTGCCTGATGTGTTTGGGGAACCTAGGCTGGGGTGGAGAGAGCCAGGGGGGAGGACAGAGAGGCAGTAGAGGCAGGGCAGGCAGGGCCTCCAGGCCAACAAAGGCTGGTGAGCTTTATTCTGAGCAATCCCTGTGCATTCCAACAGAGTTAACCCATAAACACTTCCCAGAGACTCCTGGAGCTTAGAGGAAGGACAGATGGCTTCAGGCTTGGGGCAGAGTGGAGGAGAGCAGCCAAGACAGGATGTAGTGTGATTGGGCTGGGAGGCAGGAGATGACATTGAGAGAGTGCCTCTGAGCAGGGAGGTTCCCTGAAGACCTTTCTGCAGCTGGGCACCCGCCCCTGGGCACCTGTCCCTGGATACCCTTCCCTGACATGTTGACCATGTTGACCAAAGTGAGATTGGGCTTCGCCCTCCTGGCAGCTCCATCACCATGGCCAGTTTTGGCTCAGTGCCTGTGATGGAACTTTCTGGGATGGTTGGAGGCGGTCTGCATCCATGCTGTCCAGAAGGCAGCCACAAAGCACAAGTGCACTGCTGAGCACCTGAAATGTACCTGATGGGGCTGAGAAGCAAGATTTTAAGTTTAAATCTCCACAAGACACTAGCAGCCACTTGTAGCATGCGAGCTGCATGAACGGATTCTGCCGCATGGCTCCTCCTTGGCTTTAGCCAGGTAGCACTCAGGTCAGCGCTACCCATCAGGGCCTTGCCTCATTGACTTCTGCCATGCCCAAAACCAGCTGTTTGGTCTGGGCCACACAGAGGCCCCACGGCTGACTCACCACACCCCTCATCCTGAGTGAGCGGTCAGCAGATCTTTCCTTTCCACTGAGAACGTGAGTTTCAGCGTGCACAGGAGTCTTGGTCTTGGCTGCCCAGTTAGTCACGTGGCCGCCCTAAACATCTGCTCCTCCTGTGCCAGGAGTGGAAGGAGCAGCTCAAAACCAAGCCCCATGCCACAGCAGGTGGGCCCACCTGAGATTAGCACCTCCCTTTCCACCAGGAGCCAAGAATACCCAGGTTGCTCATTTGAACCCATATGGTGAAGTTTCTCTCTCTCTCTTACTCTCTCGCTCTCGCTCTTGCTCTCTCTCTCTCTGTAATTTATTCTGTAATTTCGGTTTTCAAAAACAAAACCCTTCCATAGTACAAAGTTCTCAGACTGGGTGCTGTCTCCAGTGAGTTCCTTGTAAAACAAATACGTGTTGCTTGTGGTTGTACAAGTTGCACAGCTACGCCAGGAGGAAGTAGACAGCTGTGAACGAGCTGGGGCCACACCTGCTTTGTGGTGGGGCTGTCCCTTGCATCCTAGGATGGTTGGGAACATCCCTGGCCTCTACCCCCAGATGCCAGTAGCAATCCCTCCCACCCCCATCATTGAGACACCCCAGATGTCCCCAGCATGGCCACATGTCTCCTGACAGTGAAGGCAGAAGCACTTTGGTTGAGAACCGCTGGTGCAGAGCAGAAATGGCCTGATGAGAAGAGGGATGAGAGGCTGAGGTGCCTGCAGTCTCCCCTCTGTGTGTCTCCAATCCACTTTTGTGTTTTACATATGTAGGGAGGCATTATGAACAATGTCTAGTGCTATGTTGGGGTCCGTGTTTAAAATGTACTTACGTGCAGCTGTGCTCTGCCCTGCCTGTCCGCGCTCGTTGCTGTGTGGCTTGTGTCTTTGACCTGTTCTGTGATGCTCCATTACAAGAGCACATTGCATCACATTCATCCCTTTCCCGGTTACTATATCAGGCAGGACCTGGGCAGGAAACAGTGGTGCGGTCAACATGAAAAAGAGCTGAATGGACAGACTTTAGCAAAGCGTAGGCAGGGCTGACAAAAACAGTGCCACGTTGTCTTCCTGGGGTTCATGGTTTCAGATGCTGCTGCAGGGACTGTCTCTGCTCATGGCTCCTAGTGTCCATGTGCAGAAGCATCTCCAAAGGCCCTTGCAAGGGGACTCACTGGGGCCAGGTTATCCACAAACACCGTGATACTCAAAATCTAGTTTTACCCTAAGGAGGTAGGGGATGACTCTTTGGATCTAGAAGTGAAGGCACCTCCTAAGGGAATTTATCCTGAGTCACCTCCTCCTGGCAACTCACCCAAGGACTCCCCATGGGGCTTCCTCACACAGAGATATCCCCTACCATAGGAAAAAGACTCCTGGGTCCGGCCTCAGCTCCCTCTCGTTGGCTGTGCCTGTGTTTCTCACTCATCTGGCCAACCCACAGAAGTGGGTGGAGCCGGGTCTGTGCTGGGCTCTGGGGAGCATCTGACGAGTCACTGCAGAAGCAGCACTTTCTGCAGGAAGAACAGAAGTGTCTGCCTGTCTCTCACTTCCTTTTTGGGGCCTGGGAGGGTTGGCCTGTGAGTGGCCAGCTGCTATTTATGGGGCTCGACTGCTCTGTGTGAAACCCCAGTCTCTCTCGAGAGGGAAGAGTAGTGGGAAAGGGTGGTGCCAGGTGACATTGCCCCTGGTCTGGGGTACAATCAGCCCAGGTGCAGCGGTCACAACGTCAGAGTAGGGGGTGTAGCTCAGGGGTAGAGCATTTGACTGCACAACGTCAGAGTGAAACCCATCTAGGTCAGGATGGACGTGATGGGTTTCCTAACAAATCAACTCTGTGTTCCTTGTATTTGTAGACGCTCAGTGTATAGAGTGGGCTTTTAGTTGGGTGACCACATTCCAACCCCCCTGATTTGGACAGAAGGGGAAACTGAGGCCCACAGAGGCTAAGTGCCTAGTCTGAGGTCACATGCTGAGCTTGGGACATCAAGAGGACTAGAGTCCATAGTCTGGACTCTCATTCTAGTGCTCTGCCTTTTCATGGGGGTGGCAGGGTCACCCGTTTGGCGCAAAATTAAGCTGAGTTTCAAAGGCCACTGAGCATCTTCCCCAGCCCCAGCCATTCTCAGGGTCCTGGGAGGAGGACAACTGTCTCCTGTATTGTCTTGAACCCCTGGTGGATGGGCGGGGCAGGGGGTAGGAAGGGGCAGAGAAGGGGCTGTCCAGATGTGACACATCTGGAGTCTCCACATCTGCCCCAGGGGTGATGAACAGAGCTGCCCTCTCCCGCCTGTTCATGGTGGCCTTCGGTCATCTTTAGTTTTGTACCACCCGGGTTGCTTTTGGGTGTGCCTTGTGACCTGTTCTCGCTGGAATGAAATGGCCTGTGCATTCCTCCCTTCCTCCTCCTCCCTCTCCACCTCCCTCCCTCCCTCCTCCCCCATACGTGTACTGAGCCCATACTCTGTGCCCCTTGCCTTTGAGATGAATGGCCGGGGCTGTCCTAACTGAGGAGGCAAGATTTGGGCAAGCTTCCTGGGAGGCAAGCAGTCACCCAAGCACACATCTGGGCAGAGAGCATTCCAGGCAGCGGAACAGCACAGAGGGGAAGTTGTCAGCATTGGCCTGGTGTGAGCAGGGGAGAGTGGCAGAGGGCTCAGGGAGAGAAGGCCCAGGTTCAAGGCCCAGGGCCATTATAAAGATCCAGTGTTTAGTCAGAGCAGCTGGGGAGTGGCAGAGGTTCCTGGGCAGTGGAGGGCTCAGCTGTGGCTCAGGTGCTAACAGAGTACATGGCACCTGGGGGTGGGGGGGCCTCTGAGAAGGGGCTGGTAGGGGGTGGCTTGAAGCAGGCCTGAAGGTGGTAAGTGCTCAGATGATTTTGGTCATATTTTGAACGTAAAGCCAACAGTGTTTGCTAATGGATTGGTGGAAGGGAAGGAGACAGGGAGAGAAAGAGAAGTCAAGGATGACTCCGGGTACTTAGGGCCTGTCTTAGTTTTAGACCCAACCTCACAATTCTGGTGGGCATTGCCCTAATGGGGGCTATCCCTCTGTGGCATTCTTTGAATTCAAGGGGAGGCAGCCATACCCCCAAAGCTCTTGCACTCTGTGTGCCTGCAGAATTAGCAACACATGCATGCTGCCAAGGCTCACAGCTTGCACCCTTTGGAGCAGCAGCCCAAGCCACACCTGGGCCCATTTGAGCCACAGCTGGGGTGGCCAAGGAGCATCGTGCCAAAACACAAGGAGTAGAGACCCAAGGCAGCCAGCCCCTGGCCCATCCCCCCAAATCATTCTGCCCTCAAGCTCCAAGGGCCCTGGGCTTATGATGAGATGAGTCATCCAGATCTCTCAAATCCCTTCAGAGTCTTTCTCCCACTGTCTTGATGAACAGCACCTGGCTTCTTTCTAGCCATACTCATCTCCTTATCACATGGGCTCTTGGCCATACCCTTGGTATTTTCTCCTTAACACACCTTTTTATTCTTTATGCGGCCAGGCTGAGAATTTTCCAAATCTTTGTGTTCTGCTTCGCTTGTGGTTATACATTCCGTCTTTAAATCATTTGTCCTCTCGCATTTTACTATGAGCAGCTAAGAGAGGATGTACAGCATCCTGCACACTTTGCTGCTTAGAGGTTTTTTCTGCCACATATCTAGTTCATTAATTTTTCAATTTTTTTTTTGTTTTTTTGATACAGGGTCTCACTCTGTCACCCAGGCTGGAGTGCAGTGGCACGATCATAGCTCACTATAGCCTTGAACCCTTGTGTTCAAGTGATCCTCCTGCCTCAGCCTCCTGAGTAGCTGGGTCTACAGACATATGCCACCATGCCTGCTAATTTTTTAAAAATTTTGTAGAGACAGGGTCTTCTTATGTTGCCCAGGTTGGCCTTGAACTCCTAGCCTCAAATGATCCTCCTGTCATGGCCTCCCAAAGTGCTAGGATTACAGGCATGAGCCACTGTGCCTAGTCATAGTTCATCACTCTTAAGTTCTGCCTTCCATGAAGTCCTAGCACATGGACATAATTCAGCCCAGTTCTTTTCCACTCTGGAACAAGTATCACTTTCCCTCCTGTTTTTAATACCCTGTTCCTCATTTCCATCTGAGACCTCATCAGAATGGCCTGTACTGTCCATATTTCTACCAGCATTCTCTTCATGAACACTCAAGTAATCTCTAAGGAGATTCCAGCTTTCCCTACAGCTGTCCTCTTCTGAGCCCTCACTAGGATCACCCTCAATGGGCTGTTCATGGCAATACAGGCTCTTCCTGGCATGCACTTCCATCCTGTCCCAGCCTCTGCCCATTACTCAGTTCCAAAGCTGCTTTCACGTTTTTAGGCGTTTGTTACAGCAGCCACATTCTGGGTACCAATATTTGCCTTGGTCCATTTTGTGCTGCTGTAACAGAATTCCCGAGATTGGGTAATTTACATAGAATAGGAATCTATTTCTTACTGTTCTAAAGGCTGGAAGTCCAAGATCAAGGTGCCAACATTTGGTGTGGACCATCTTGCTGGATCCTCACATGACAGAAGGTGGAAAGACAAAAAGGGATGAACTGAGCCCTCACATGGTGGAAGAGCAGGAGAATGGAGAGCCCATTCCCACAAGCCTCTTTATAGCAGCATTAATCCATTCCTGAGGGTGGAGCCCTCCTGACCTGACACCTCCCCAAAGACCACACCTCCTAACACTGTTGCATTGGGGTTTAGGTTTCCAACACATGAATTTTGGGGGACACATTCAGACCACAGCAGGGCCTGGGCCACCAGAAGAATGGATGCCAGCCTCTGAGACCAGGATGGCTGAGACACAGCAGGTCGTGGAGCTGAAGTAGACGCTTACTTTGGTGAAGCTGTGCTAAGACTGAGATGCCCGCTAGGAATCCTAGAGGAGACACAGAGGAGGCCAATGGATCCTCAGTTCTGAAGCCCAGGAGGCCCAGACTGCAGATAGGGATTTGGGTGCTGTCACTGAACACAGGCCAAGTGTATTAGGGTTCTCCTGAGAAACAGAACCAGTTGTGTGTGTGTGTGCATGTGTGTGTGATAGAGAGAGAGAGAGAGGAATTGGCTCAGGTGACTGTGGGGCTTGTGGATCTGAAATCTGCAGGACAGACCATCAGGCTGGCCACCCAGGAAAGAGCTGATATCGCAGCTCAAGCCTGAAAGTGTTCTGGAGACAAAATTCCCTCTTCCCCGGGGGAACCATAGGCCTTTTCTTGTAAAACCTTTTAATGGCTGGATGAGATCCACCCACATTTCGGGGCAATCTGCTTTTCTTTTCTTTTCTTTTTTTTTTTTTTTGAGATGGAGTTTCGCTCTTGTTGCCCAGGCTGGAGTGCAATGATGTGATCTCGGCTCACCACAACCTCCGCCTCCCAGGTTCAAGCAATTCTCCTGCCTCAGCCTCCTGAGTAGCTGGGATTACAGGCATGTGCCACCACGCCCGGCTTATTTTGTGATTTTAGTAGAGATGGGTTTCTCCATGTTGGTCAGGCTGGTCTCGAACTCCCGACCTCAGGTGATTCACCCATCTAGGCCTCCCAAATTGCTGGGATTACAGGCACGAGCCACCGCACCCACCCCAATCTGCTCTTCTTAAAGTTGACTGATTTAAATGTTAAACTCGTCTAAAAAATACCTTCACTGGGATATCTAAACTGGTATTTAACCAAATACCAGTACTGTGGCCTAGCTGAGTTGACATATAAAATTAATAATCATATCAGGAGAGGCAGAGGGCAGAAACATGGCACCAGGGAAGTAGGAAGCCCAAAGGTCAGAGATCCAGGTATAATCCCTGAGAAGAAGCAAAAGTAAACAGGAAGATGACATAAATTATCTCTACCATTTTTCCTATTTAATGTCTATCCTTACAATAATACAAGACCTGACCACAATTCAGGGGGAAAAACACAAACAAACAACCAAAACAGGTCCAAGGGGATCCAGATAGCGGGGTTACTAGACACAGACTTTGAAATAGCTGTGATTATGTGTGGAATATTTGCAAGTAAACGAAAGACATCGAGCCATGGGTTTGAGAAGGACTGTGAACACTTAGCAGCATACATAGAAAGAAAATCACCCCTAGGTACAATGTAACATTACAGGAAATGAAAGACAAAGGGAAAATCTTACAACTAGACGGAGAAAAAAATAAAGGCAATGAGAAGGCATTAGAGAGTTTTCACTGAGGGCTGACATGGCATCTGACTTATGTTTTAAAAAGATCACCCGCCACTGCTGGAGGAGAATGGGTGGTAGTAGTAGGCCAGTTAGTGGCTCAGCAGAGAGCTGATGGTGGGTACAGTGATGGTGATAGCAGGGGGAATGGAAGAGAAATAGCCACATTGAGGATGTCCTGTGTTTTGGAAGATAGAACAGATAAATTGGTGATGGGTAAGATGTGGGGGTGAGGCAAGGAAAGAATCAAGGGTCATCCCCAGATTTCTGTTTGAGCAATTTAGTACAGTAAGGGGTGGTGTCATTTAGTGAAATGGGAAAGACTGGGGAAGGAAGCGGTTTGGGATGTCTTACATTTAGTAGGTAATTTATTCTCTCTGAGCTACATTTTCCTCATCTCTGGGTGGGGCCATACTTGTACTCACCTCATAGCTTTATTAGGATGATTAAATGTTAGCTCCTGTTATTATACACATTTAAGTCAATGGTTCTGGCAGGCAGCTGGAAGCAGGATCTTACCATTCTCACCCCTGGGCTCCTGTATCCTTGGCCAGTTTGAATCCAGAGCTGAAGCAACCAGGCCAGCCCAGCCATTAGGGATCCCAGAGCTGGTTTAGTTCCTGTACCAGAGACAACTCCTCATTTATCTGCAAAAAGGGAAAAATAGATAAGCCTTCAATAGTAATGGGAGATTAACCTCAAATCCTGCAACATAGAAGGTCTTAAGTGGGGCCAGGTGCAGGGGCTCAGTAATCCCAGCACTTTGGGATGCCAAGGCCATAGATCACTTGAGGTCAAGAGTTTGAGACCAGCCTGGCCAACAGGGTGAAACCCCATCTCTACTAAAAATACAAAAAAAAATTGGTTGGACATTATGTCAGGTACCTATAATCCCAGCTACTCAGGAGGCTGAGGCAGGAGAATCGCTGGAACCCAGGAGCAGAGGTTGCAGTCCACGCCACTGCACTCCAGAACGGGTGACAGAAGGAGACTCCATCTCAAAAAGAAAAAAAAAGGAAAAAAAATACGATCTTAAGTGGGTTTTTGTTTTTTACCCAAAACGTTTAAATTCTGCCTCTGCAACCTGCAACCTGAGAATTGCTAATCTGCCTTATTCCATCTGAATATATTGTTTTGGTTTGCTAAAACCAGGAGGTTCACCTTCATCCTCCTCCCTGAAGGAAATTTTTCTGTGAGACAGGCTGCACCAGACATTGCTTTTTGTTTTTGTCAAGCGGGACACTGACCTGATCCAATTCCATTCATTGCAGACATTTCTGGAGGGGCTTCGCTGTGCCAGACTTTGAAATAGCTGTGATTACATGTGGGGGAGCCCGAGATGATATTTCATTAGCTCAGTAACTGTTTCCACCTTGTTCCCCACCCCCACCACACTGGCCTTCATTTCTTCTCCACTAGTGTACTAAGTCCACTCTCTCCTAAGTGCACTGACTGCTGGGCAGCCCCTCACCCGGGTTGCTGCAAGCTGGCTTCTCCTCCGCAGAGAGGCTGCCTGACTCCCCCGACCCAGGTCCCCAGCCCCAGCTCTCCTGGTCCTGTCCCCTGACTGTCCCAGTTCAGACCAGTATCTGCTGCCCACTCCTTTGCCTACTTCTTTGTTATGCCCTCAGCAGCTCCACCTGTGAGCTCCACCAGTGCTTGAGCTTTGACTTAAGCCCTGCTGCATCCCCGCACCCCTGCACGTTGTAGGTGCTTAATAAATGTTTATGGACTGAGTGAGTGGACATTCTGTTTCTGGGCCTGTCTTCTGCTCTGAGAGGGTAGGGAGTCCCTGGGCAGAAAGAAGAACAACAGGGTCAGCGGGAAGTTGGGCTGCCATTCAGGGCCTGAAGAAAGTTGGTAACAGCCTCAGCTGTTCATTGCCCACTAGAAAGAGCCTGGGCTTTGGGGTCAGGTATTTGTGGGAGCACATCTCAGCTCCCCACATCCCAGACTGGATGCAAAAAGCTCAGTCTCTCTGGGCTTTGACTCTCTCGTCTGTGAGAAGGGGGTCGTGGCAGCATTTGCCTTATTCTGAGGATAGAGTGATTTAAAAATCAAGTTCATATCTGGCACATAGTAGATGTTCAGCTAACTGTGGCCACTTATTGTCAGCCTAACACCTGCCGTGCACACACATGCATCATCGTCGTCACCTTCACCATGAGCCGTGCGGCCTTTTCCAGCTGGGGCTCCCCACTGCTCAGAGATAAAGGTTTCCAGAGGCGTCAGCATGACGCTCAGCCCCGGCCTCTTTTTCTCTCGTTCTTGCACCATCTGTCTGTTGAGTGCCTGCCACATGCCAGGTGCAGCCTCAGATGCCGGAGGCATAGTCACTTTCGGATGAGGGAAGCAGATAGCCCACCAGCGAGCACAGGGACGTGCCAGGTCAGTCCAAGCAGGAGCAAGTGCTCAGGAAATAAACCAGATGGGAGTGGTAGGGAGTGGCCAGGGTGGGGACTCTGGCCAGGGTATCTAGGAAGTCCTCTTTGAGGAGGTGCTGTTGGAACCAGGACTCAGTCCTTCAGAGAGCCACAGGCTGAGCACTCCTGGCAGGGCAGCAGCAGGGGCAAGGCGGCCGAGCGGAGAATGGGCCTGGCTTGTCTGAAGACCAAGACGGCTGTGGCTGCAGCGGAGTTAAGCGGGAGAGGTGGGAGAGGAGAGCAGGAAGGCAGGGGCCAGGCAGCCTGGGGCCTCGTCCAGACTCTCAGCTTCTGTACTTCTCCCTGGGGACATCTGTGAGTCGCTGAGCTGTGGACAGGGAGTGCTCACTGAGTCACCCAGGGCCTCACGGCAGGACCTGGCCACATCTTCTCACGAAGGACCCGGTTCATTGATTCTCCTTCCTCAAATAGGTCCCCTCCACCCAGCAGAACCCAAAGGAATCAAAAGCTTGGGGGTTTTGTGCATTTGTTTTAAGATTCCAACTTTCTTGTCCATTTACCTTTTTATTTTTTATTTTTTTGAGACAGATTTCGCTCTTGTCGCCCAGGCTGGAGTGCAACGGTATGATCTCATGTCACGGCAACCTCCGCCTCCCAGGTTCAAGCAATTCTCCCGCCTCAGCCTCCCGAGTAGCTGGGACTACAGGTGCCTGCCACCAAGCTCAGCTAATTTTTGTATCTTTAGTAGAGACGGGGTTTCACTATGCTGGCCAGGCTCGTCTCGAACTCCTGACCTCAAGTGATCCGCGCGCCTCGGCCTCCCAAAGTGCTGGGATTACAGGCGTGAGCCACCACGTCTGGCCTTCTTGTCCGTTTATTTATTCATTCAACAAATATTCATGAAATGTATGTTGTAAGCTGAATACTTTGCCAGGCTCCGAGGACCAGTCAGGCACTTTGATGCCTTCAAGCAGCCTAGGACCTAGAGGTTTCAATGCCTCTGCTTTCCTATTTATAAATGGGCAGACTGGACCTGAAGTCCTGAAGGCTCACCCGCCTGGAAGCCACCTCTCCTCTGGAGTTCTGATGACGCTGCAGAAGCCTGTACGTATCTCTGCCCAATACCACATGTACAACAGAGGACTTTAACTAAAACGAGTGAGAGAGAGAGATTCCTTTTTCCCAACTTAGGATCTAAAAGTTTCTTGAACGTTCAGTTCTGTGGCTCCATTGCCCACCCAGATCACCCACCCTGGCTACAACCAATCCAAAAACTTGAACAGATTAAGAGTTTACCAACCCACCCTTCCTTTCTGACCTGGAGTGAGAAAGAAGCACAGTTGTCCCTCAGTATCCACAGGCGATCTGGTCCAGGTCCTTAAGAATACCGAAATATGCAGATGCTCAAGTCTCTGATATAAAATGTGTAGTATTTGCATATAAGCTATGCACATCCTCCCATAGAGTTTAAATAATCTCTAGATTACTTATAACACCTAATACAATGTAAATGCTATATAAATGGTTATACTATATTGTTTTCATTTGCATTATTTTCTATTTTTTATCTATTTTTTTTTTTTTTTGAGATGGAGTCTTGCTCTGTCACCCAGGCTGGGGTGCAATGACGTAATCTCTGCTCACTGCAACCTCTGCCTCCTGGGTTCAAGCAGTTCTCGTGACTCAGCCTCCCAAGTAGCTGAGATTATAGGCGTCTGCCACCACATCTGGCTAATTTTTGTATTTTTAGTAGAGAAAGGGTTTCACCATGTTGACCAGGCTGGTCTTGAACTCCTGACCTCAAGCAGTCCACCCGCCTCAGCCTCCCAAAGTGCTGAGTTTACAGGCATGAGCCACTGTGCCTGGCCATTATTTCTATTTTCTACTTGTGGTTAGTGGTTAGTTGAATCTGTGGAGGCAGAAACTGCAGCTATGAAGGGCCGGCTGTACTATAACTGCCTGCTCTGCTTGTCTTCTACCCAGAAACCTGGGCAAATGGGCTAGGAGCTATTTGCAAGGCTGTAATTTTTGGTTAACGAACAACTTCTCTGCTCATAGCCATGGGAACCAGGGAAGGAGACAAGAAAACCAGAACCAATCTTCTTCTTTCAGTGTGAAACCATCTTTTATTCTTGCTGGGAACTATCTGGGCATCTGGGAGGAGTGTGAAGGAGCAATACTATACAGAGGGAAGGGTTTGGGCTCTGGAAGCAGATCGCTTACCAGCTCTATGACCTTAGGCAAGTCACTGTTCCACTCTGACCCTCTGTCTCCTTTTCAGCAAAATGGAAATAATAAATCTATTCCTAGGCCTGGCATGGTGGCTCACGAATGTAATCCCAGCACTTTGGGAGGCCGAGCTGGGAGGATCACTTGAGCACAGGAGTTCGAAATTAGCCTCAGCAACAATTGAGACTGTGTCTTTACTAAAAAATAATTTAAAAGTTAGGCAGGCATGGTGGTTCGCACCTGTCATCCCAGCTACTCAGAAGGCTGAGGTGGGAGGATTGTTTGAGCCCAGGAGGTTGAGGCTGCAGTGAGCTGTGATTGTGCCAGTGCTCTCCAGCCTGGGTGGCAGAGTGAGACCCTATCTCAAAATAAACACATAAGTAAATATAAATAAATTTCTGAGAGGATCAAGTAAAGTGGTTAAAGTAATAAAGCCTGGCTCATAGAAAGCCGGGTGATAAGTACTAGGCGACAAGCAATATTATTCATACAAATATAAGGACAATGACAATTGAGAATAATTTCATTCCCTTTGTGATAGCCACCTGATTGTTAGTGCCTAGGAGGCACTCTCTCTAGAGGAGAGACCGAGGATTCACTAGCAGCTCAGATCCACAGAGCAGAGCATACCCCATGTGTCTCATGGAAACACCCCTTCACAGTGGCCGAGAAACATCTGTGCACTGCCTTGCTAGAAATCGGGAAATACAAATTAAAGCAACAAATACCATTTCTCACCTATTAGTTTGGCAAAAATGTAATAGTCTGATACTATCCCATGTGGATGAAGATATGAGGGAGGAGCCAGCCACATGTGGCTGCTGGTGGGAGAGAATATTAATTAGTGTGGTCATTTGGGCAATATCTAGTGAAGCTGGCCACAACTCAGAGAGATGCTCATACATCTGCACAAAGGCACGCACAGGTCTGCCCACTGTAGCGTGGCTCCTAACAGCGAGGAATCAAAAACAGTCCACGTGTTCTTCAGTAGAGGAGGAACGGAAAAGAATGTGTGGAATCCCATAGAGCAGCTAAACGGGAATGAGCTCATTATATGAGCATCCATATGAGCTGATCTCAAAGGTGTTGGGTGAGAAAAGAAAGGGACATAATGATAGATTTAGAATGCTATTTATATAAAATGTTTAAAAATAACACGCAAAATAATGCTATATACTGTATTTTTCATAGCTAAAACATTCTGTACTGTACTCATAAAAGTATAAAAAGGGGCCTGGAAGATAGAGCCACATTTATGATGGTGAGTGTAGGGTAGGAAGTAGAATAGGGAGTTGGGGGATTTCGGAGATTTCACTGTCATGTTTTCCTTCTTATAAGAAAAACTTGAAGGTGAATATGCCAAAATTTTAACACAAATTCTCAGTGGTGAAAATATGGATGTTGGTTATATTTTTCATGGTTATTTTCTGTATTTTTTTTCAAAGGGGAAAATAACAAGAAAGCTCTATTTACAGAAAAACACCAGCTAAAAAATGTAGAAGGAATCTAAAAGGTATCGAAAGTTACCACCTTGCAAGTGGAATATTGGTTTTGGCCAAAGATGCTAAAATGATCAACAGAAGGGTCGTCCTTTCTGTTGGGAACCAGGATGCTCACAAGGCATTGCCCACAAGGGACACTAATTGCAAAAGGGACAGTGTGCCTCCACAGGGGAACAGCTGGTGTCACCATCTTAACAAGGGATCTGACAGCATCACCGTGGGGGGAGAAAGCCAACATCATGCACCTCCAGGAGCTCTCAGAGGTTGGAGGAACACGTGAACCAACACCAGGAGGATACAGCCCGAGAGATCAGCCATGGGACATTTCACAAGACCACGGCCAAGTCTCTTCACAAAGTCAACGTCAAACACACCAAACAAAGGAAAAAAAGATAAAAGAGAAGAAAAAGAGCAAAAGGGAAGGGACTGCTCTAGCCAAAAAAGGACTACACAGATACAATGACCGGATGTAATATGTGACCCCCAGAGGGATACCGATTCAAAAGATGCAGCCATGGAAAATGTCTTATAAGCACCAGGGCCATTTAAATGTGGACTAGATGTCAGATGGTCTTATTGAACTATGATTGACTTTCTTAGATGTGATCATGACAGTCTATGTGAGAGAATGTCCATTTTCTTAGGAGGTGCCTTGTGGACACACTTAGGACTGCAGTGTCGGGATGTCTGCAAATTGCCTTCAGGGTCTCAGCCAGAAGGCAGGCAGGAAGAGACAGAGATGGATGGAGCCATGCAGACACCAAGGTGAAGAGCTACTGAATCTTGGTGGAGGGTCCCTGAGTCTTCATTATAATTTTAACTTTCTTGAAGTTTTGAAGTTTTCATAATAAAAAGTTAGGAGGGAAACATTTTAAAGTAGAGAAACTAGATCTTCCCACAGAACACTGGGGACCCTTATTATTATTATTTTAAACCCTGCTCTTTGCTTTTTCAAAGTGAGTTTTGCTAAAATAATGGTATCTAGCATTTCTGAGAAATTAGCACAAATGTACAGCTACATTAGCAACAGGAAATTCAGCACATCTGAGTCATCTATGTAAATGGCAATAATGAAAATGAGGGCTTTCGCTGCATGTCTAAGAAATGTCCTCTTTTGGAGACTCTTCCTTTTGTTTTACACCCAGAACTGTCTCAGAGGAGGTTCAACAGCAGGGCCTCAAGGGACCAGGAGTAGGTGGCAGACATGAGGGAGCTCAAAGAGACCACAGCACCTGCAGGGATGTGGGTCTTTAGGGCCAAAATACCACGGACATGCTAGTGCAGAGTGGAACCATCTCCCTGGGAAATATTGATCAACAGGCCAGTGTTGCCTTTCTTCAAACAATTTAACTTAAGGAGCTCATGCCCCTCAAGGTGACAAAGACGGTAAAATGTGAATTAAATGAGCAGATGTTACGTGTTTAGAACAGTGCCCTAAGTTTTCCCTGTTGTTACTCCCAATGATCACTGTAGGAGTTCATTTCAAAAGCTAAGAACTGTCCGGCAGGCTATACTAAATGGAAAAGGTGGCATGCTAAACAGCAACCTTGATCTGTATAAGCCAGCAGTTGTGTTAAAAAAAAAAAAAAAAGGTATGGAGGGGGAGGGAGAGGTGAAATATATCCTCTAGCGACACGCACATGCTCAGAAATGCCTAGGCTTTGCTGGGAGGCTGTATGAACAAGGTCCACTAAGGGTTGCCGCCTTTGAGTAGGGACATCATGGGCCTAGGATAACCAGACAGGAGAGAAATTTACTTCCGCCATATTCTTTTACTGCTTGAATTTTTTTCTTTACTATGTGTGCATTTTAACTCGCTAATTATACATATATAAATGAACCAGGTCCAAAACCTTAAGGTATATGAGTTATCTCTACTCTGGGTTCTAAATCTCTTCTGTCACCTTGGCTGTGGAGCTTAAAATTAGAATCCCGCATCCTCTTGGGAGACAGCTCAAAAAAAGGCTGGTCTCAGAATGAGCTTTAGAAACCTCCAGCACCTGTTCAATCTTCTGGGGGAGCCAGTGCAGAGGGGGAATCTATTTTTGTGTTTCATGAAACGATCCCATTTGTATGTTTCCATTTATACAAAGTTTGGGGAACAAGCAAAATGAATCTGTGGTGGCAGGAGTCAGAATTGTGACTCTCTTGGGGATGGAGTGGGGTGTGCTGGCTGGAAGGGGCAGTGAGGGACCTTCTGGGGGCTGTGCATGCTCTGAGTTGTGATCTGAGTTGTGGTTGCCTGGGTGTGCATGTATGAGAACACTTACTGAACTTCCCATTTTAAAAGGGTGCATTTCACTGTCTGTAAATTACACCATCTAATTAAAGAAAATAGAAAGCAAATTAAATCCATTCTCTGTAAACTGCATTTGAGCAAAAGCATTAACAAGCTGTGATTGGCAGTAAGACATTAGGGAACTCTGTCATTCAATTCTCAGCCACTCCCCAAATCAGGCTGGATTTTGTTTGTTTTTCATTTCAGGCATAACAGGTATTGGCTTTAAAACTCCAGGACAATGTGTGTGGCTGCAGAGAGCAGCATTCAGTCCCATGGAAGCACAGTCTGGAAGCACAGTCTGCTCACTGGACAAAGCTGAACTTGCTGTCTTTCCTTCTTCTCCTTCCTTCTCCTCTTTCTCCTTCTCCTTCTTCTTCCTCCTCCTCCTTTTTTTGCGACAGGTTCTCATTCTGTAGCCCAGGCTGGAGTGCAGTGGTGTGATCATAGCTCACTGTAGCCTTGAACTCCTGAGCTCCAGCCCAGTGTTGCAATCCTCCAGCCTCCCAAGTTGCTAGGACTACGGGTGCACACCACCACACCCAGCTAATTAAAAAAAAAATTAGGCTGGGTGCAGTGGCTAACGCCTGTAATCCCAGCACTTTGGGAGGCCAAGACGGGTAGATCACTTGAGGTCAGGAGTTCGAGACCAGCCTGGACAACATGGTGAAACCCTGTCTCCAATAAAAATACAAAAATTAGCCGGGAGTGGTGGCTCACTCCTCTAGTCCCAGCTACTCAGGAGGCTGAGGCACGAGAATCGCTTGAACCCAGGAGGTGGAGGTTGTAGTGAGCTGAGATCACGCCACCACACTCCAGCCTGGGCAACAGAGTGAGACTCGGTCTCAAAAAAAAAAAAATTATAGAGACAGGGTCGCTATGTTGCCCAGGCTAGAGCTGAGCTTTCTAACCATCAGAGCTACCCCCCAGGGAGCCAGCTGCTCCGTGAGGTGGTGAGAGCCCTGACCCTGGGGGTATGCAAACAGGAGGTGAGGGGGGACTCAGTGAGGGCATCCTGTAGTGACTTTGGGCTTGCCCATTTCAACAGGCAGAAAGTTCCTGGCAATGGGATCTCTTTCTTACCTCTCTCTTAGAAATCCACTGCCAGAGCCCAGCTATGGTTTTGTCACTGTTCATTGACACAAGTAATTAAATGTAAACAAGTAATTAAATGTAAAACCCCTACAAATGTAAAAGCCCTAAATGTAAAATGTTTAGCCCTACAAATAGGGCTAAAGTCCCCTTTGACGGTCACCCCCAGTCCTGGTTCCCTCTTGCCCCACCCGGCGAGAGCCAGTTTCGTCATGCATGTCTTTGCAGACTTCTTATGCTTCACAGTCATGTGTGCGTGATCACAGACAACACAGCGCTGTACTGTGTGTGTGTGTGTGTGCATGTTGTTTGCTTTTGGTTTTGTTTTACTAAAAGGCATCATGCTGTAAGGCTCATGCTATAAGCTACTTTTATTTACTCAGCGTCTGTCCTGAAAGCTTCGAGATTTCTCATTCTTTTAACTGTGCAATAGATTCCTGGCTCTGGCCTGTGCACCCTGCTTATTCAGGCATCCTCTGCTGCATGGACATTTACATTGTTTCCCGTTTCTCGCTGTCATGAGGAGGCTCACGGAGGAGGAGAATTTCTGGGGGGTGGGTTAGGTGTGTGTTGTGCATTTAACTGACCCTGGCTGGTTACTCTCCAGAACGCTGCTGCCAGCTCCCTCCCTCCAGTGGGCCCTGAGTTCATGCTTCTGTAGATCACCCCCCTGCCCTTGATGTTACCAACTTTAAAACTTTGCAACCTGATGGCTGAAAGTTAGTTTTTCATTGTTCAGTTGTTTTTCTGATTTTTGGGAGACTGGACATTTTCCTGTGTTTGCTGACCGTCTGCATCTCCTCTCCTGCTCTGTGCACCATCACCCTGCTCCAGCTGCTTCCTGCAGCCTCCCTCCTTCCTCTCCACCTCTCCATGTCCTCCTCGTCCTTCAGTTTCTTCCTAAGGGCCCATGGGCTTTCTTTGGCTTTTACGTTCCTCTCACTCCGCCTTTGGCTGTTGCTGGGCCTCCCATCCCCTGGGAGGTTTCAGACGATGGGGAAGACACAGGAGTGCAGTCGCCATGCAGTGCAATACGGGCTGTAATGTTCCTCCTCCACGGCCTTTATTGAGGACTTACTGTGTGCCAAGAACCTGCTCTAAGAATGTAACTGTGCTCCCTCCCTCATTTCATGCTCATAACCGCCTGTGAGGCGGGCAATGTTCTCATCCTTTTTTTTTTTTTTTTTTTTGAGATGGCATCTCTGTTGCCCAGGCTGGAGTGCAATGGCACGATCTCGGCTCACTACAACCTCTGACTCCCAGGTTCATTCTCCTGCCACAGCCTCCCAAATAGATGGGACTACAGGCACGCGCCACCACACCCGGCTAATTTTTTGTATTTTTTTTTAGTAGAGATGGGGTTTCACCGTGTTGCCCAGGATGGTCTCGAACTCCTGAGCTCAGACAATCCACCTGCCTCGGCCTCCCAAAGTGCTAGGATTACAGGCGTGAGCCACCATGCCCGACCTCATCCTTGTTTTACACAGAGAACATGGAGGCACAGAAGAGTTCCATAAATTGCCACCAAGGCCTTCTGCTAGTATGCAGCAGAGTCAAGATTCAAACGCAGGCTGTCCGGTCCTGGGGTTCAGCCTCTCCAGTGCTCTGCTAGGTGTTGGAGAGGGTCAAGGAGATACAGAGAATGAGTACCACCTGACAGGCTGGGACAGTCAGGGATGGCTTCCTGGAGGAGGTGACACCTCAATGGAGCCTTGAAGGAAGAGCAGGAGGAGCCGACCAGGCAATGAATAGAATAAGTATACCCAGGAAGAGGGAAAGGCCTGAGTGATGCTGGGAGGGTGGAGAGCTGGCCTGGCTTGGGGTGTGTGCCGGCGGGCAGGAGATGAGGACCAAGGGATGGCCAAGGCCAGATCTAGAAGAGCCTGGGCCATCCCATAGTCAATACCTCATCGCAAGGCCCGGCAGGCCTTCCACTGCTCTGTGTGTACCCCATGGGACGCCAGGAGCCTGGGCCGCAGCCACCCACCTGGGCTCCTGAGACCCAATGCACAGGCATGGGGGCGGGAGTGGGTGTGGCTGATTTACATCCAACAGGTTGAGGGGAAAACCCAGGAAGTGCAGCCCAAGCACTAATCAAATCTAAGACTAGTAATAAGCATCCTGAGTAATGAGTGGCCTGGGCCGGAGCAGGCGAGGTGGCCGGAGCCGTGTGGACCAGGAGGAGCGCTGTGAGTAGCCGGGCAGGAGGGCAGGAGGGCAGGTGGGAGGTGTGAGGAGGGTTGGGCCTGAGTGCCGTGGGGGTTGCAAGGTCCAGCAGGTGCAAAGCCCACAGCAGATCCACACACTGGGGCAGTCCCAGCCTCCCCAAGCTCCTGCACATGGAGAGCCCCGAGTCTGGATGCCTCTGGGATGTGGGGCTTGCCTTCCGTGACAGAAGCCACTGAGGTTGCAGGGTTGGCCACACCGGCAGGAATTCCCTTTGTCACCATGGCCCCTGCACAGCCCCCATTTTCCCCCTTACATGCCCGCTGGACCATTTTAATGCTAATCTCAAATACCAGATTGTTTGAGTTGTGGAGACCACAGGATTTATTCCTTAAGAACACAAACCCTAAAAACAAAACAAAAAACTAAGCATCATACCTTCACCCCTGCTGAAACAACAATTCCTGAACATCATCACATAGCCCGCCAGGGTTCAAACTGTACCAACTGTCTCACCAATGTCTTTCTCAGTTGACTTGTTCAAATCAGCCTGTCCCACATTAGACTTTTGGCTATGTTTTAATCTATAACAGTTTCCACCCATTTTTTCTGTTATATATTTATATTTATATTTATCCTATAGCTTTCTTTTTTTTTGTTTTGTTGTTTTGTTTTTGTTTTTGTTTTTTGAGACAGAGTCTTGCTCTGTCACCCAGGTTGGAGTGCAATGGCATGATCTCGGCTTTCTGCAACCTCCGCCTCCCGGGTTCAAGCCATTCTCCTGCCTCAGCCTCCCGAGTGGCTGAGATTATAGGTGCCCACCACCACGCCCGGCTAATTTTTTGTATTTTTAGTAGAGATAGGCTTTCGCCACGTTGGCCAGGCTGATCTCAAACTCCTGACCTCAGGTGATCCACCTGCCTCAGCCTCCCAAAGTATTGGGATTACAGGCATGAGCCACGGCACCCGGCCCGTATAGCATTTTCATCAGGGTGGGTTTCTAAGGTTTTATGAAAGGGCCCCAGGTCCTTTAGTGCAGACAGAACCCATGGCCAGATGGACCCGGGGCACAGCCTAGATTCACAGCCTCTGCCTGCTGCTCTGTCCCACACCTCAGGCAGGGAGCAAATTTGTTCTTCAGTCCTTTTTTGTGTCCAGCCACCAAGTCCCCAGAATCTACACAGCCAGGGGCTCAAATATGTAAAGTTTCTGAGAGACTTGGACAAGGCAGTGACCAGAGGCTGCCTTAACACAGGATGAAATTGCCCAGTGCTCTGGGGCCACGAGTCAGGACCCAGCTAGAACTGTGACCTGGCAGTGGCAGAAGCTGTCTGGTGCTGCCGAATCAGCCCTGGCCGGTTGTCCACTGGCCCACTCTGGGACCTTGGCTGAGCCGCTTCCCCTCAGTGTAAAATGAAGAAGACTGTCTTTCCTACCAGACATCCCTCAAACACACAAAAGTGCTTTGATGAAACTACCAGACCCCCTCTTGGGGAGTCATGAGGAAAGGCTCTGAGAAGCCCTGCGGTTAAAAAACTGCCTTGACTTTCTTTAACCCAGTGTTTTTCAAACTAATCCGACCACAGAGCTCTTTCTTGGTGCAGCACCTGTTAACCGGCCAAGCCCGTGAGGAGGCACAAGCAGAGGGCTCTGAGAATCACCCTCCTTGGCTGCTCTCTGGTCTCGGGGTGCAGGAGAGAGTCTCCATCCTGCATCCAAATTTGTGGCGGCCCAGAGTCTGAGCCCAGCCCACACAGCTAGTGTCAGAGAGGTGTTCCCTTTCTTCCCTTTCCATCAACGAAGCTTCTCTCTCAAGCTTCTATTCTGCCTGGCTGGTGTCAGTCATGGGGTTTTCCTGCCCTCCTTTGGCACTTGATGATGGTTCTGGGATTTTATGTAGGTCCACATGGTGGTAGAGGAGGGGGCGGGGACAGGCCCTCTGGTCAGCTTGGCATCTGCTGTCTGGTCAGTCAGGCACTGTCTCTCTGTCAGGTCCAGTGGCTTTTGGTGGCTTTGGTCCAGGCAATGAATGGGTCTTGGAACATCTCCAAGGCTGCCCTTGTCACATAGAACGTCCTGCCCACCTTCCACTCAACCAACCCTTCACGGTGATATGCGGCGGGTGGTGGCTTTCTCCCTCTTTGCTCCCCAACCCAAAAGTGGGGAGAATCGGGTCTGCCTTTAATTTTGTTTGATCCTTTGATTTTAGATTTGCCTTTGAATAGATAGTATAGTCAGATGGTTTGAAACCCAGAAAGTATTGAAAGATATATAATAGAAAGTCTTTTCTTCCTCCTTGTCCTCCATCTGCCCAGTTCCCACCTCCCCTAGAATAAGCAGCTTTATTTACATATAACTTACATGCCATGAAATTCACCTGTGTAAAGCATACAAGTCTGTGTTTTTAGTATATTTACAGAGTTGTGCAACCATCACCATAAGCTAATTTTGGAAGATTTTGATGACCCCAAAAAGAAACTTTGTCAGTCTTCATTCCTCCCTAGCCCCAGGCTAATCTACTCTCTGTCTCTATAGATTTGCCTGTTTTGGACATTTTCCATAAATGGAATCATATGTGATGTATTGTGACTAGCTGCTTCCACTTGGCATAATGTTTTCAAGGGCCGTCCATGTTGTAGCAGGTATCAGTACTTGCTTCAGTTTTGTGGCCAAGTAACATTCCACTTTATGGATATGTCATGTGGCTTTTCCAGTCATCGGTGGATGGACATTTGGGTTGTTTCTACTTTTTTTGTCACTGTGATTATTAAGAAAGCTTCTATGAACTTTTGGATTCAAGTTTTGGGTGAACATGTCTTCATTTCTCTTAAGTAGATAGATACCTACAAGTGGAATTGCTGGGTCATATGATAAATTCTATGTTTAACATTTTAAGGAACTGCAAAATGCTTTCCAAAGCAGCTGCACTATTTTATAATTCACTTCATGCATGAGGGTTCCAATTTCTCCACATCTTCACCGACATTTGTCATTGACTGTCTTTCTCATTCTAGCCATCCCAAGGGGTGTGAGGTGGTATCTCACTGTGGTTTGGATTTGCATTTCCCTAGTGACAAATGATGTTAAGCATCTTTTCATGTGCTTCTTTAGCCATTTATATGGTTTTTTTGGGGAAAATGCCTATTGAAATATTTAGCCCATATAAAAATTGGGTTGCCTTTTCATTATTCTGTTATAAGCATTCTTTATATATTTTGGATACAAGCTCCTTTTCAGGTATAATATTTGAACCTATTTTCTCCAAGTTAGTGAATTGTCTTTTTACTTTCTTCATGATTTGCTTTGGAACACAAAAGTTTTTCATTTGATTAAGTCCAATTTTGATCAATCTTCTCTTCTATCACACGCACATTTGGTGTCACTGCCTAGCCTCAAATCATGAAGATTTACTTCTATGTTTTCTTCTATGAGTTCTGTGGTTTTAGCTCTTACATGTAAGTCTATGATCTACTTTGAGTTAATGTTTGTGTGTGGTGTGAGATAATGGTCCAAATTCATTCTTTTGTATGTGAATACCCAGTTGACCCAGCATCATTTTTGAAAACACTATTCTTTCTCCCATTGAATAGTCTGGGTATCCTTGTTGAAAATCCATTGATCATAACTGTTAGGCTTTATTTTTGGGCTCTCAATTATATTCTGTTGATTTATGCCTGTCTGATGCCAGTACCACCCTATCTTAATTAGCATTGCCTTGCAATAAGTTTTGAAGTAGGGAAACATGAGTCTTCCAACTATGCTTTGTTTTCTTTCAATCCATGAGCATGGGATGGCTTTCCATTTATTTAAATCCTTAATTTCCTTCAGCAATGTTTTTTAGTTTTCATGTATGTCTTGCATTTCTTTTCCTTTCTTTTTTCTTTTTTTTTTTTTTTGAGACAGGGTTTCGCTCTTGTCGCCCAGGCTGGAGTGCAGTGGTGCGATCTCGGCTCACTGCGAGCTCCGCCTCCCGGGTTCATGCCATTTTCCTGCCTCAGCATCCCGAGTAGCTGGAACTACAGGCATCCGCCACCACACCCGGCTAATTTTTTGTATTTTTTTTTAGTAGAGATGCGGTTTCACCGTGTTAGCCAGGATGGTCTCAATCTCCTGATCTCGTGATCCACCCACCTCGGCATCCCAAAGTGCTGGGATTACAGGCGTGAGCCACCATGCCTGGCCTTCTTGCATTTCTTTTATTAAATTTTTTCTTAAATATTTTCCTTAAAATAGTGTGTTTGGTTTCTTTTTTTTTTCTTTCTTTCTTTTTTTTTTTTTTTTTTTTTGAGACGGAGTCTCACTCTGTCGCCCAGGCTGGAGTGCAGTGGCGTGATCCCCACTCACTGCAAGCCCCGCCTCCTGGGTTCACGCCATTCTCCTGCCTCAGCCTCCTGAATAGCTGGGACTACAGGCACCCACCACCATGCCCGGCTAATTTTTTTTTTATATATTTTTAGTAGAGACGGGGTTTCACTATGTTAGGTCAGGTTAGCCTGACCTCGTGATCCGCCAGCCTCGGCCTCCCAAAGTGCTGGGATTACAGGTGTGAGCCACTGCGCCCGGCCTGGTTTCTTATTTTTAACACAATTTTTTAATGTATACATGACCATTTACAAATATGATTAGAATTTCCCCCTTTTTTCAAAAATAACCTCCAAAACAAAAACAGGGCCTATGAGCCATGCCGTTATATACCTTGTTTTGTTTTTATTTTTGTTTTTTAGTTAATATGCCTTGCTGTTCTTTCCACAGCAACATACAGAGAGCTTCCTCATTACTTTTGTTGATAGCTACAGAACAATCTAGTGTATAAATGTACTGTAATTTACTCAGTCAATTCCCTGCTGATGGATGTTGGGTTACTTTTAATCTTCTGCTATTACAAATGTTGCTGCAATTGGCCAGGCGTGGTGGCTCACACCTGTAATCCCAGCACTTTGAAAGTCTGAGGTGGGCAGATAACCTGAAGTCAGGAGTTCCAGATCAGCCTGGCCAACATGGTGAAACCCCATCTCTACTAAAAATACAAAAATTAGCCAGGCATGCTGGCGAGTGCCTGTAATCCCAGCTACTCGGAAGGCTGAGGCAAGAGAATCGCTTGAACCCAGGAGGCAGAAGTTTCAGTGAGCCGAGATCGCACCACTGCACTCCAGCCTGGGAGACAGAGTGAGACTCCATCTCAAAAAAAAAAAAAAAAAGAAAAAAGAAAAAGAAAAAACAAAAAAAACCAAATGTTGTGCTCACTTCGGCAGCACATATACTAAAAAAAAAAATGTTGCTGTAATAAATTTATCATTTCACACTTCGGGATAAATTTCAAAGTTTAATCACTGGGTCAGTGGGTAAATCCATCAGTAATTTTGACAAATGTTGCCAAATTACCCTCCATGGGGGTTATTTCTATTTACTCTCCTTCCACAATGAATAAGAATGCCACTCTCCCCACAGGCTCTGCCAATAGAAGGTTTTACTAAACTTTTGGAGTTTTAACAATCTCAGCATGAATATGGTATCAGTGTAGTTTGAATTTGCCTGTCTCTTTTGAATGAGACCAAGCATCCTTATGTTGTATTTCCCTGACTGTGAACTGTCTATTCATGACCTTTGCCCATTTTTCTCATGGGTAGCTCTTTATTTTTCTGCTTATTCTTTAGATCTGAGTTGCAAAGGTTTTGTGCCTGTTTTTCATATGTCTTTGGAATTGGGTGTTTGTTGTCATAGAGAAGTTTTGGGGTTTTTGTTGTTGTCGTTTTTTGTTTTTGTTTTTTTGGTGTTTTTTTTTTTGAGATGGAGTCTCACTCTGTTGCGTAGGCTGGAGTGCAGTGGTGCAATCTCGGCTCACTGCAACTTCCCCCAACTGGGTTCGAGAGATTCTCCTGCCTCAGCCTCCTGAGTAGCTGGGATTACAGGCGCACACCACCATGCCCAGCTAATTTTTGTATTTCTAGTAAAGACAAGGTTTCCTCATATTGGTCAAACTGATCTCGAACTCCTGACCTCAGGTGATCCACCCACCTCGGGCTCCAAAGTGCTGGGATTACAAGCATGAGCCGCCGCATCCAGCCATAAAAAAGTTTTTTTGTTTGCCTGTTGTTTTGTGGATTCTATGTTATGCGTCTTTTCTTTTAGAGATTTTGGGTCATAGTTAGAAAGACCTTTCACACTTTGATGATGTAAAAAAATTATGAAATGGTTTCTTCTCTATTAAATTTACATGTTTTTATTCTTTTCACATTTAAATATTTTAGCGGGTTGCTTTTCGATCTGAGGGAAATTATTTCCTGTGCTCGTTTCTGGCCCAGTCACTTTGTGCCAAGAATCCTCTCTCCCAAGTGTTGAAAGCAACACCCAGGACTTTCACCTTTCCCCACCAGGCCACCTCTCCCTGCATCCTCCCTGGATGGAGGAGATGCAGGCAGGGAGGGAGCTGCTGCTGAAACTCAGTATGATCCCTGCCCAGCTGTCTATCAGCACAGTGCAAGAATGCGGCTTGCTTTTCCTTCCGCAAGTCTTTACTGAGTACAACTATATCCAGCTACTGATTAGCATTTATCCAGCACCTGCTGTGTGCCTGCTATCTTGGAAGGCACTGGATTCAGAGACAAATGAGACAGTACGGGGAGGCAGAATGGCTATACCCTGAAATGTCACATTACCAACAAGAAATGTCACCCAGCAGTGGGTTCTGGGAGTTCAGGTTCTGGGGGTAGTTCCCCCAGCCCAGAGCACTAATTTGATGCTACTATCATTATTAATGATTATCATTGGCTGGGCACAGGGGCTCACAGCTGTTGTCTTAGCTAATTGGGAAGCTGAGGGGAAAGAATCACTTGAACCCAGGAGTTCAAGGCTGCAGTGAGCTATGATTGCACCACTGTAATTTTGTAGAGACAGAGCAAGACCCTGTCTCTACAAAAGAAAATGTTAATTATCACTAATATTAAAATTATTTTACATTATTATAAATTATTATAAAATGATAACTATTAACCCATTATATTTCATACTATTTATATCACTACTGGTAGTTATTATACCAGTAGCAGCAGCCATGTCTTGGGCCAGTTACATGCTTGTCATGTACACACCCTTGAGAAGATCTACAAAAGAAAGTCTAGAGTGTCCATTTTACAGGTCAGGAAAACTGAGGTTGTGCACAGCCAGAGTCCTTCCCAAGATGACTCAGCCGTGCTTTCCCCACCACGGGCACTTCACTCCGGCACACTCTGGGTCACTGAACCATGGCGAATCCGTTTTCAACATGAGCTGGCAGGAGGTGAAAATTATGATGGGTAGAAGTGGCTGTCCCCATTTCACAAACAGAAAACTGAGAAGGTGACTTGACCAGTTTTCCCAGGACCTAACTAAGTTCTTCTTCCTTTAGAACCAGCATGGGAGGCCGGGCGTGGTGGCTCACGCCTGTAATCCCAGCACTTTGGGAGGCTGAGGCAGGCAGATCACCTGAGGTCAGGGGTTCGAGATCAGCCTGACCAACATGGAGAAACCTCATCTACTAAAAATACAAAAATTAGCCGGGTGTAGGGGCACACACCTGTAATCCCAGCTACTTGGGAGGCTGAGGCAGAAGAATTGCTTGAACTCGGAAGGCAGAGGTTGCAGTGAGCCGAGATCTCACCACTGCACTCCAGCCTGGGGAACAAGAGTGAAACTCCATCTCAAAAAAAAAAAAAAAAAAAAAAGGCATGGAGATGGTGGACTCTCAACCTTGAACATCTCTGAAGGTTCATTCTGAGTGGAGGTGGGAGCAGGCAGGGGGGTCTTAGAGCCATTTTCAGTATTTCAAAATAGCCCGGGGAAAAAGCATATACAGCTCACAGAAACCAAAAGCCATCTTTTCCTCCTCCTCCTTCCTTCTCTCCTTCTCTTCCCTGTCTTCCTCATCTCTCTTCTTTTTCCCTTCTTCTCCTCTTCTGCCTCCTCTTCCTCATCCTTCTTTTCCTCCTCCATTTCTTCCTCCTTCTCCTTCCCAGTTAGCAGAAGCCAGGTTGTAAGGTCACCATCCATTCCCATGCACATCCCTCAGGTCTCAGGCTGCAGCCTTATCGGGGCACACACCCTATCTCTGCACGCTGGAATCCTCTCCTGCCCCTACCCCACTGGTGAGCTCAACTCATAGCCCCCAGCCCAAGTTTGCAGTCAGTGTTTGCTTGAAAGACTGGATGAGAAAGGCCGGGCTCTGTGGCTCACGCCTGTAATCCCAGCACTTTGGGAGGCCGAGGCGGGTGGATCAGGAGGTCAGGAGATCGAGACCATCCTGGCTAACACGGTGAAACCCTGTCTCTACTAAAAATACAAAAAAATTAGCCAGGCGTGGTGGTGGGCACCTGTAGTGCCAGCTACTCTGGAGGCTGAGGCAGGAGAATGACGTGAACCCAGGAGGTGGAGCTTGCAGTGAGCCGAGATGGTGCCACTGCACTCCAGCCTGGGTGGCAGTGCCAGACTCCGTCTCGAAAAAACCAAAAAAACAAAAACAAAAACAAAAACAAAACTTGATAAGAAATTCCTCCTATCTGCCAAGCTTTTACTGTTCCTTCTCTTTCAGTCACATCTACAGGTTTTCTTGGTGAAATTGTAAAGGGCAAGAATGAGGAGCCCACCCATCGCCCCAACCCTGCTCCTTCACTCCTGCACAGACACCTCCCCACCAAGGAGGAAAAGAGGGAGTTGGCTCACGCCAACAGGAATTGGCCCCTAAAATTTTTGTTGTCTCGATCCAGGTGTAGGCCTTGTCCAGCACAGCACTCCTTATCATAAGAAATGGCAATATTAATAAGGGCAGCAGCTCAGGGGGTTGTCTTTACTAACGTGCTCAATACCATACTAGGCACCTGCCATGCATATGCTGCTCACAGTGATTCTGTGAGTAAGCAACAGCATCCTCATCTTACAGGGGAGGACGCTGGGTGTCCAAGAGCAGAAGTCGTGCCCAAGGTCACACAGCAAGGAGTACCAGCCCCATGACTCACAGCCCAGGGTTCCAAGCAGGGCTGCCCTGTGGCTTTCCCCAGGCTCATCCCCAAAGTGGCTCAGAATCTGGTCCACTCCCCCTGCTGGTCCTTGACTTGTCCATTTTAGACGCTCTGGATTGATTCCCCACTTTCTAAGGTGAGAACTTAACTTGGACGTCACTATCTGCATGCATGCAGCTTCCCCTCCCCCGGCCCCCGGTGAAGGAGGGGTGCGTTTTCAGTTGGAGTCAAGATAGACCTGCTGGCTGCCGGCTCTGCTCCAGAATGTCAACTCCTCTGCAGTTTTGTTCTTCCCCTTCTCCTTGCTCTCTCCTAGAAAGCCTGTTTTTGCCTTTGCTCACTGACAATGGTCTAATGGCTCTCACAGTGAGTAAACTCTTTTACAGAAGGAATAATTCCACATCTCCACCTTATTTGTTGACTCAGATGGCTCATTTATTTATGACAATATAAATATTGCCCACAGCTGAGCTGCTGTACATGTCCTATGATTACCTTTCTTTTCCTTTCTTTTTTTTTTCTTTCTTTTTTTTTGGGGGGGGAGACCGAGTCTCACTCTGTGGCCCAGGCTGGAGTGCAGTGGCACAATCTTAGCTCGCTGCAACCTCTGTCTCCTGGTTTCAAGTGATTCTCCTGCCTCAGCTTCTCAAGTAGCTGAGATTACAGGCATGCACCACCACACCCAGCTAATTTTTGTATTTTCAGTGAAGACAGGGTTTCACCATATTGGCCAGGCTGGTCTCGAACTCCTGACCTCAAATGATCCACCTGCCTTGGTCTCCCAAAGTGATTGGAGAACAGGCATGAGCCACCACACCTGGCCTACCTTTCTTTTCTCAGTAATGTCTTTTGTTTCCCTGGAGTTGGTAACTCCTCTGTTTTCCATGCAGGTAATTCATCTCCAGCTCTGGGACAAATCCACCCTGTCAGTTGGTCAGACATCCTCACTTATCACTTCTGTATTTTCACTGGTGACATTTACCCTTCTTCCATTTTAGCTGGGATAGAGTACCCTCTAGACCTTCAAGCAGCTGTCACTGGGGAAGTCCTTCACCATCATGCTGAGAATGTCCATCTTCCTCTCTGCTGACAGGGGTCCTGTTCTACCCGTGGTTTTTTTGGCCACTCCCCAGATTCAGTGGAGCAAGCCCTCCAGTAGCTTCCAAGATCTTGCATGTCTGAGAACGTCTTTATTCTACCTCGCACTTGATAGATAACAATGTTCTAGACTGAAAATAACTTTCTATCCTAAACTTTAAGGCATTGCTCCATTTTCTGCTTACTTTCTGCTTTCTACTTCCACTTTTTGCTGGTAAAATATATATAATGAAACTTTTATCATTTTAATCATCATGACATATTCAATGAAGTGGCATTACGTACATGCACAAGCACCACTATCTATATCCAAAACTTTTTTATGGCCCCAGAAAGAAATTCTGTACCCCATTAATCAATAACGGCTGCCTGTGCTAACCTCTATTTTACTCTCTAACTCTGTGAATTTGCCTCTTCTACTTCCCTCAGGTAAGGGAAATTGTACAATATTTGTCTCTCTATGACTGTCTTATTTCACTTAGCATAATATCTTCAAAGTTTATCCACATTGTAGCATGTATAAGTATTCCATTCATTTTAATAACATCATAGTATCCTGTGTACCTGTAACATATTTTCTTTGTCCATTCATGTGCTGATAAACGATTGGGCTGTTTCCACCTTTGGCTGTTGTGAATATGCTGTTCTGAATGTTGGGGCACAAGTATCTGTTCACATCCCTGTTTCAGTTCTTTTGGATGTTTGCTTAGGAGTGGAATTACTGGGTCTTGTGGTAGTTTTATGTTTGTCTTTTTGAGGATCTGCCAGACTTTTCCACAGCTGTTGCTCTGTTATACATTCCCATGAGCAGTGCCTTCACATCCACTTGCTTCAGATCTCTAACGCTGCTTATTTTCCATTTTTAATAATAGCCATCCTAATGGGTGTGAAATGATATCTCATTGTGGTTTTAATTTGCATTTCCCTAATGACTAATGATGTTGAGCATCTTTTCTTGTGCTTGTTGACCACTTGAATGTTTTATTTGGAGAAATGCTGATTCAAGCCTTTTGCTCAGTTTTGACTTGAGTTGTTTGGTTTTTTGTTGTTGAGTTTTAGGAGTTCTTTATATATTCTGGATATTAACCCCATATTAGGTATATGATTTGAAGATATTTTCTCCCATTCTGTGAGTTGTCTTTTCACTCTCTCAATAGTGTCCTTTGGTGCACAAAAGTTTTAAATTTTGATGAAGTCCAATTTATCTAATTTTTTCCTTTCATTGCCTATGCCTTTGGTGCTGTATCCAAGATATCATTGTCAAATTTAGTGCATGGAGATTTTCCCCTATGTTTTCTTCCAAAAGTTTTATAGTTTTAGCACTTAGTCCATTTTGAGTTAATTTTTGTATGTGGCATTAGGTAAGCATTCAATTTCATTCTCTTGCATGTGAATATCCAATTTTTTCAGCATCATTTATGGAAGAGACTGTCCTTTTCCCCATTGAATGGAATTGTTAGGGTTTTCTACATATAAGATCGGGTTATCTGTGAACAGAGATAATCTTATGCTCTCCTTTCCACTGTGGATACTTCTATTTCTTTTTCTTGTCTAAGTGCTCTGGCTAGTTCTCCTGGTGCTATGTTGAAAAGAAGTGGCAAATGTGTGTATCCTGGCCTTGTTCTGATCTTAGGGCAAAGCTTTCACTTTCACCATTGAGAATGTGGGATCTCAAATATGGCCTTTATCATGATAGGAAAGTTACTTTCTATTCCTAGCTTCTCAAGTGTTTTTATCATTAAAAAAAGTTGGATTTAGTCAAGTGCTTTTTCTGCATCAATTGAGAAGACCACTAAGTTTTATTATTCATTCCTTTAGTGTGGAACTACCATTGCACTCCAAAAATAAATCCCACTTGGTTATGGTGAATAAACTTTTCATGTGCCATTGGGTTCAATTTGTATACATAAGACATATTCGTGTGTAATTTTCTCTCCTTGTGACATCTTTATTGTAATTTTGTATTAGTGTAATGCTGACTTCATGAATGAGTTAGGAAGTGTTCTTTTCTCTTTGGTTTTTGGGAAGAGTTTCAGAAGAATTGGTGTTCATTCTTTTTTAAATGTTTTGGTAGAATTCACTAGTAAAGCAGTCTTGTCCTGAGCTTGTCACTGGTAGGTTTCTGATTACTGATTCAATCTCGTTATAGGAGTATTCAAATTTTCTGTTCATTCATCAGTTTTGGTAGATTGTGTATTTCTAAGAATATGTCCATTTTTATCTAGGTTATCCAATTTGTTGGTGTACCATTGTTTATAGTATTCTTTTATAATCCTTTTTATTTCTGTAAAATAAGTAATAAAGTTCTTAATGTCATTTCTGATTTTAATAATATGAGTCATCTCTCTTTTTCATAGTCAGTCTACCTAAAGGTTTGTCAATTTTGTTGATCTTTTCAAAGAGGAGCTTTTGGTTTTGTTGATTTTCTCTATTGTTTTTTCATTCTCTGTGTTATTGATCTCTGCTCTAGTATTCATTATTTCTTTCCTTCTGCTATTTTTGGATTTGGTTTGTTCTATTTTTATTTCCTCAAGGTATATAATTAGGTTATGATTTAGTTATGATCAGGTTATGATTCTTCTTTTTCAGTGTATGTATTTACATGAATTTCCCTCTTTGCATTGCTTTTGTTGTATTTCATAACTTTTGGTATGTTGTATTTTCATTTTCATTTGTCTCAAGATATTTTATAATTTCCCCTGTCATTTCTTCTTCGACCAATTTGTTGTTGAAGAGCGTGTTGTTTAATTTACACATATTTGTGAATTTTCCAATTTTCCTTCTGTTATTGATCTGTAGTTTTATACCACTATGATCAGAAAAGAAACTTTGAATAATTTTAATTTTAAAAAATTAAAAAATTTTAAAGTTTAGCCTTGTTTTGTGGCTGAACATAAGGTCTATCCTGGAGAATGTTCCATGTGCACTTGAAAAGAATGTGTATTCTGCTGTTGTTGCATTGAGCGTTGTCTATATGTCTGTGATGTCTAATTGGTTTATAGTGTTCTTGATGTCCTCTATTTTCTTATTTATGTGTCTGGTAGTTCTGTCTTATTATTGAAAGTGAGGTACTGAAATATCCCAATATTAGTGTAGGACTATCTATTACTCCCTTCAACTCTGTCAATTTTTGTTTCATATATTTTGGAACCCTGTCATTAGGTGTGTATACATTTATAATTGTTACATCTTTATGCTGTATCCCCTTTATTAATATATATTGTCCTTCTTTGTCTTTTGTAATTTTTTTGTGATTTAAAGTCTGCTTTGTCTGACAACAGTATAGCTGCCCCAGCTCTCTTTTGCTTTCTATTTGCATAAAATACCTTTTCCATTCTTTTACTTTCAACTTCTATTTTACCACTATTTTACTCATTGCCTATTAAATCATATAGGAAAAAATTGGAGTTACAAACCACGCAAAAAGTAAAATAATTCTGGCTTTGTATTTTTTTTTAATCTAAAGTAAGTCTCTTATACACTGAATATACATGAAGCCTGTGGGTTTTTAAATCCAATCTGCCAATTTTTTTTTTTACTAGCAGAGTTTAGTTCATTTACATTTAATATGATCACTGATAAAGATTTACTTCAGCCATTTATATATTTGTTTTATGTATGTCTTACATGTTTTTGTTTCTTCAATTACTTCATTTTTGTATTTTGTTCATTTTTTTTGTAGTGGGCCACTTTGAGTCCCTTTTTCTTTCTTTTTCTATACATATTTTAGTTATTTTCTTGGGGATTACAATTAATATCTTAAACTTATGACGTCCTAGTTTGAATAATATCAACTTAGTTTCGGTAGGTCATAAGAGCTTTGCTCCTGTATGTCCCTGCCTTTCCCTTTATATTGTGATTATCACATACTGCATCTTTGTACACTCTATGACCACTAACATAGGTTTGCAATCACTGTTTAACTCATTGCCTATTAAATCATATAGAAAAAAAATAGGAGTTACAAACCATGCAAAATGTAAAATAATTCTGGCTTTTATAGTTACTTATTTAGTTACCTTTATATTTACTTCACTTTTTCTTATGTCTTCAAGGTACCGTCTAGAGTACTTTTATTTCAGCATGAAAGACTCACTTTAGGATTTCTTGTAGGGCAAGTTTACTGATAATGCACTGCTCAGATTTTGTTTATCTGGAAAAGTCATAATTTCTCCTTCATTATTGAAAGGTGATTTAAAATTATATACAATTCCTGGTTGACAGCTTACTGTTTTCTTTGAGGACTTTAAATATATCATTTCACTACCTTCTGGCTGCCATGGTTTCTTAGGAGAAATCAGCTGTTACCGTATTGATGATCCTTTGTACACAAGAAGTTGCTTCTCTCTTGCTGCTTTCACAATTCTCTCTGGCCTTGGGTTTCCTTGATTTTATTGTAATATGTCCTGGTGTGGGCTTCTTTGAGGTTTTCCTGCATCAAATTTATTGAGACTCCTGAATGAGTATATTCACGTCTTCTCAGATTTGGGAAATTTGGGGCCATTATTCCTTCAAATACTTTTTCTGCCATTTTGTCCCTTCTCCTTCTGTAACTTCTATGAGCATACATTAGTACATTTGGCTCTGTTCAATTTTCCTCAATCTTTTTTCATTTTTGCTACACAGACTATTATTTCAATTGTTTTAAGTTTGCCAATTGCCTCTTCTGCTTGCTTAAATTTGCGATAGTTCCCTTCCATTAAGGTTCGTATTTCACTTTTTGAACTTTTTCATTCCAGAACTTCTGTATGGTTCTTTAAAAAAAAAAAAAAGACTACTTTTAGAGCATTTTTAGGCTCACAGAAAAATTCAGCAAAAGTACAGAGAGTTCCCACATCCCTGTCCACATCCCCCCGCACAGCCTCCTCAACTAGCAACATCCTAAACCAGATGGTGCATTTGTTACAATCAGTGAACCTACACTGACACGTCGTTATCATTTAAAGTCCGACGTTTACATTAGGGTTCACTCTCAGTGTTGTACATGGCTTTGAACAAATGTATGCGGACATGTGTCCACCATCGGAGTATCTTGCAGAGTAGCTTCACTGCCCTAAAAATCCTCTGTGCTCCACCTACTCATCCCTCCCATCCTCCAACCCCTGGGAATCACTGATTTTTGTATTGTCTCCATAGTTTTTGACTTTTCCAGAATGTCATGGAGTTGAAATCATACAGTAGACTTTTTAGCTTTGTTTCTCTCACTTAGTAATATGCATTTGAGGTTACTGCATGTCTGTTAATGCCTTGATGGCTCATTTTTCAGTATTGAATAACAGTCCATTGTTTGAATATACCACACTTTATTTATACATTTACCTACTGAAGGACATTTTGGTTGCTTCCAAGTTTTGGTTCCTTTTTTTACCACTTCTTTCTCTTTACCATGTGCTCATTGTGTTCACACAACATTTTCCTGACTTCCTTTAGTTCTCTGTCGGTTTCCTTAAGCTCATTGAACATGCCTAACACAAATCTTGATTTCACACCTTTGACTAGTAATCCCAATATATAGACGTCCCTGGAAATGGTTTCTGTCATAGTCTGTATTTCCTGTAAATGTGGCAAAACTGCTGCTTTGTATGCTTTGTAATATTTTTTTGAGACCTGGACATTTTGAGTGTTACGTTGTGGTGACTGGAAATCTAACCTTACCACTCCTCAAGGATTGCTGAAACTTGCCTGTTAAGGGCTGAAGCCATCTGTTTGTGACTTTTCCAAGCTTTTAGTTTTAAGCTATGTATTTTTCCAAATTTAATTTGTATTTTTGCACAGTATGTATTCCTTGTTGTGTGTAGTCACTGAAGTTTCTGTTCTTTTATCTCTGCAGTCAACCAGTGACCCAACAAAGATTTCCTTAAGTGCTTGGCTCCCAGACCAGAGAAGGATACTGTCTCTTTAAATCCCGTGGAAGCCACTTCAGCCCTTGAGGGTTGAAACAATGTCCTTTGTGCCGGCCCCTCAGTGGTCACAGGTAGCCATCAGCAATCAGAACCCACAACCTCAATATTTGGCGGACAAGGGTCCTTCTTGCTTATCCTGGCTCTAGCCAAGTGGCACTGCCATGGAATAGTAAGTAGCCACTACCATGTGATAGGCTGAAATTCCTAAAATTTACCATCAAGCTCTCCCCTGGACAACTCCACAGTTCCCAAATAGTGACTTCAGACAGTGGCTGGCAGCTCCGTAGTCATTTAGCAGGAGGCACAGATTCCCAGAGCTTGCCACTTTACTGCTTTCCTCCATGTCACTCCTCACATCCCAGGATTGCTTTTGAGATGTCTTGACTTCGTAAATATGATGATGTACCCTAGTTTGTGAGACTGTATTGCACTGATACTTGATTGACTCCTTCAGTCTGGAGCCAATGTCCTTCCAATCATTAGTCAACCTTCGGAGCTCCTGAAATGATTCCATAATCTCCTATCTTTTGTCTCTTATTTTCTAGACAATTTATTCGATTACATCTTCCAGCCCTTCTACTGATGTTTTTATTCTGGCTATAAATTATAATTCTAACAATTCTCATTTGTTCTACGAACGTCCTTTACAATAGTCTGCTGTTTTGTTTCTTAGATACACAATCCTCTCTTATATTTCTGGGGATCTCAACTGTTGCTGCTCTTGTTTTAAAATGCTCTTCTGTTTCCCGCGTGTCTTCGTTGGCACCAGGTGTCTGCCTTCTGTTTGGTTTGAGTTTGCTTTCCTGCTAGAGGCAGTGCTCCCATATCAGGTGACCCTTGGCCATTGGTTCACAAGTCAGACTGAGGCACTGACAGCTGCCTGGAAGTTCTGGGTAAGCAGTTGGGCTCACTGACGTAGAAGCTTTGCCCCAGTGGGATCAGGCAGGGACTTGGACATTTTCTGGAGAGAATCTCCCGCTGTCAGTGCCTCTGGGTCTTTTCCTTTGGGTCTGTTTTCCCAGAGCAGAGACTTCTGATTTCCTGCCAGTTGCAGGGTAGGGAGGGAGGCATCTTTAAAAACCTGGTTGCCACACTCCTTAGATAGAAACTGGGGTGGGTAAGGAGAGGGGAGACTGGCTGTCCAGGAGGAAGATTATCACAATTCCCCTGTTGCCAGGAAGGACCACGTTGCTACCCTCAGCTGTGTCCAAGGAGACCCCACTCTTATGCCTGGGTGGGTGAGGGACTGGCACCTGCCTTGGAATGGGGATGTGCTGGGGTCACACCCTCTTTATGTAAGTTTCCAACCAATCCTCTTACAGAGCTTCACCCCTTCTGCCCAGCCCTGCCGTCAGAGATACGTGGTGCCTCCAAATCTGGAGACTTCCTTGAGTTCTGTGACTCAGAACAACTTCCTTCCCATGTAGGCATCAATGATGAGAGATTCTCAAAGGCAGTCAGGCACTCTGGTTCCTCCATCTCCCAGAATGTTAGAGACATGTGTTCTTTGCTGTAGAAACCTCTGCCATTCCCTTGATCTCTGAAGATAGATGGACTTGACTGTCAGCTTTGCATGGTTTCAGGAGGGAAGGAAGATAAACCCCTGTGTTTAAGCTGCCGTGTTAAATGAGAGGCCCCTGGTCTTTTTTCTTTTCCTTTTTTAGAGACTGGGTCTCACTCTGTTATCCAGGCTGGAGTGCAGTGATGTGGTCATAGCTCACCTCAGCCTTGAACTCTCAGGCTCAAGCGATCCTCCTGTCTCAGCCTCCTGAATAGCTGGGACTACAGCACGTGGCTAATTTTAAAAATCCTTTTGTAGAGACAGGATCTCACTATGTTTCTCAGGCTGATCTTGAACTCCTGGCCTCAAGAAATCCTCCCACCTCTACCTCCCAAAATGCTCGGATTACAGGCATGAGCCATGGTGCCCAGCCACCTCTGGTCTTCCCTCAGCTTGCTTTCGTTAAAGAACAAACACATGCCACTGGGCGTGGTGGCTCATGCCTATAATCCCAGCACTTTGGGAGGCCGACTCGGGCGGATCACGAGGTCAGGAGTTTGAGACCAGACTGGCCAACATAGTGAAACCCGCTCTCTACTAAAAATACAAAAATTAGCCAGACATGGTAGCATGCACTTGTAATCCCAGCTACTTGGGAGGCTGCAGGAGAACTGCTTGAACCCGGGAGGTGGAGGTTGCTGTGAGCCAAGATCACACCCACTGCACTCCAGCCTGGGCAACAGAGAAAGACTCCATCTAAGAAAAAAAAAAGAACAAACATATGCCTTGCAAAATGCTTTTAAGCATTTTTAAGGAGAAGTTATTGGGGGAAGCAAATGTCATGAAATCAGAAGAGGATGGAGAAGGTGATGCATGCACACAGTGGAAGATTCACAGTAACACAAAACCAGACATGCAGAGAGCGCCCACATGGATGAGTCTCAGGCACCAAGTGGAGGAACAAAACCAGACACGGAAGTACCAGAAGGGGCAATATTAGCCTATGAGGGTAACAACAGAACAGTAGCTCCCTCTAGGCATGGGCATTGGGTGTCGGGGGACCCCAGGGAGGCTTCAGGGGTGAGGAAATGTCCTACATCTCCATGTGGGCTGTAATGACACAGGTGCATACATACATCAAATTTCACCAAGCTGTATTCTTCAGCTTTTTGTGCACTTTACACACATCATTGTGGTTGTTTCATACTTTAGTAAAAAAGAAAACAAGAAGGAAATTGACATTCTTGGTTCTTGCTGTGTGCTAGGCACTGAGTTGGTCCGTACTTAAAGAAACCATTCACTTAATGAGCAGGTGCTGTGTCCTAAGTACTATCTAGGTTCTGAGGACTCAGCAATTAATAAGAAAAATTAGGCACAGTCCCTGCCAGATGGTGCTCACAGTTAGTGTAGGAGCCAGCATCAAATAACCACATGCATAGAAGGAAAGTGACCACAGCAACAGGTAAAGGGCAGTGCGAGTGTGTAGAAGAAGGACCGTGTCCTAGTCTAGGGGGTGAGTCAGAAAGGCTTCCCTTGGAGATCAGGTTTAGACAGAGGTCTCAGTCTGAGAAGGAATAAACAGCTGAGGGGCAGGGGCTGGGGAGAAGGGCACGTCATGTGAGGGAACAGCAGGTGCAAAGACCCTGTGGCAGGGAGAGGCGTGGCACGTTAAGGAGGGCAGGGAACAGGGCCCAGTAGGGCACTGCTGATGTGAGAGAGCAGGGGGCCTGAAAACAACCATGTGCAGATGGGGAAACTGAGGCTGGAGAGGGGAGGTGGCTGCCCCAGGCCCCTAGCAAGTGCAGTGGGGGCTAGAAGCCAACTTTGTCTGCCCTCTCTGCTCCTCAGACAGAAAGGTTGTCTGTGCGAATGTGGGCAGGAGAGGCCGTCTTGGTTCCCATCAGGGACAAGAGGCCGGGCTGTGGCCGCCTGCCAGCTGCCCTCACTCTCCTGGTCTCTCAGTTCCACAGGGCCTGTGGACGGGGGTGGCTATGAGATCCTGCCCCGAAGAGCAGTACTGGGATCCTCTGCTGGGTACCTGCATGTCCTGCAAAACCATTTGCAACCATCAGAGCCAGCGCACCTGTGCAGCCTTCTGCAGTGAGTTCTGGGGCCTGAGCCGAGGGGACAGTGTGATCACCCTCCTCCTTTCTCCCTAGAGCACCCTCTGGCCCCACAGTCAGGTGGCTGAGGAAAGGGTGGCAGGAGGAGATGTACAGTGTGGCACCTCTTACCCCTCCACCTTTCTGCTTTGGTCACACAACCTCCTTTCGGTGTCTCAAACACAGTCCATTCTTTCCTGCCTCAGTTCCTTTGCACATGCTATTCCCGCTGCCTGGAATGCATTCCCTCTATCATCTTCCCTCAGCTCCCTCCTACTCAACCTTCAGGTCTCAGCCCAAACGTCAGGGGTCTCCTCTGACCACCCAGTAGAACTAGGCCCTCCCTTGTCACTGTGTGTTGTTACATTCTTTTGAAACTTTTTATTACAGAACTTATCACACATGTACATAGAGAGGACAGCACAATGACGCCCTCTGCACCCATCACCAGCTTCACAAATTGTTTAAATTCTGCCTTGTACTTTCCCAACCAATTTTTTTGACTTGTGTATTTTATTTTATTTATTTTATTTTTTATTTTTATTTTTATTTTTTGAGATGAAGTTTCGCTCTTGTTGCTCAGGCTGGAGTGCAATGGTGCGATCTTGGCTCACCGCAACCTCCACCGCCCGGGTTCAAGTGATTCTCCCTCCTCAGCCTCCCGAGTAGCTGGGATTACAGGCATGTGCCACCACACCCGGCTAATTTTGTATTTTTAGTAGAGATGGGGTTTCTCCATGTTGGTCAGGCTGGTCTTGAACTCCTGACCTTAGGTGATCCACCCACCTCGGCCTCCCAAAGTGCTGGGATTACAGGCGTGAGCCACTGCACCCAGCCTGCCTTGTGTATTTTAAAGCACAGCCAAGATCTCATATAATTTTACCTGCAGATACTGGACCACGAAAACCTGTGAAACATAATCCAAATATCCTATCACTGCCAGCAATAATTTATTAACATCATCTAATACTCAGGCAATATCCAGTTTTCCCTGATTGTCTTGAAAATTATTCGTTGCTTGCTGTTCTTTTTCATAACCTGTTCTTTTCCTTGATAGAACTTACCACAATTTGCTGTTTTGTTCTTTCATGTGTATGTGTTTTATGTCTGACTCAACCACTAGACTGGGAGCTCCCTGGCAGGGGAACCATGTCTGACTTGAGCCTAGCACAGTGCCTGACACATAGTAAGTCCTTCATGAATACTTATTGCGGGGAACTCAGAGAGGCTGAGTGACTCACCCAAGATCACCCAGTTTAAAAGTGGAGATGTCACAGCGACATCCTGGTTTGAACCCAGGACTCCGACTCCTAAATCATGACCTGAACCACTACCCATTAATGAATTAGAACATTCATTGGTTCATCCCACAAACATAGATGGAGTGCTCCAGCCCCATGGAAATAGGAATCTGCCGTGGCCCTTCAAAGACAGTGTCATCTAATGGGAGAAATGACTATGTGTCAAGGTAGAAAGCCACAGTTGGGAGAGACCCCCTTCAGCTAAAGGGCTGGGGAGCAGGGAGGTGTCCCTAGAGGAAGCACCATCAGAGGCAGATTGTTAAGAGGTCACAGAATGCGGAAATCAGATGGGCACCTGGAAGAAAGGGCACTATGAGCAGAGGCTCAGAGGAGGGAAACACAGTGGGGAGGACTGAGTCCCAGGCGGGGGAGGGGAGGGGTGTGAGGTCAGGCAGGGAGGGGTGTGAGGTCAGGCAGGGAGGGTCAGTGGGCTGGGGCACTCAGGCACCACCTGCAACAGCACCACCTGCAACAGGGGAGGAGGTCACAGAAAGCCCCAAGGACACCAATGCTGGGCTAACCCTGTGTGATGCAGAGTGGAGGTGTCAGTTTCTGTGCGGTTCAGGGGCGCCCTGGGGATAGGGCAGGGCCAGAGCAGGGGAGGTCACTGGCCCTATGTGGGCCATCTGAGTTTTCCCTAAGGTCCCAATTCCGTGATCTTTTAGTTCCTTCCTTTACTCTGTCAAAGACACAAGAACGGATCTGTTTGCTTTGTGAAGAGGCTCAAATGAATATTCTACTTAAGCTTTCCATTACGTGAGCATTTAGTATGTGCCAGGCACTGTGCTGGGCCCTACAACTCTGCCAACAACCCTACGAAGAAGTCAGTACTGTTATTTTCCCTATGTTGGAAATGAGGAAACTGAGGCACGGAGAGGCTAAGACCACACTGCCTGCAAGTGGTACAGCCAGGGATGGCCCCAACTGAAATTTGGTTCTGAAATTTGGGTTCTTATCCACTATCCTGCACTGTCTCCAAAATGTGTCCTTAAAATATATGTGTGAGCCACATATATTTTATTTATACATATTTATTTATTTATTTATTCATATTTACGAAGTCAGGACATCTCAAAAGCCATACCTTACTCTAAATACAAAGGAAACTTGCCTTTTTCACGTAAAAACTTCCATGTAGAAATATTCGGAGGCTAGACCAGATGCGGTGGTTCATGCCACCTGTAATCCCAGCACTTTGGGAGGCCGAGGCAGGCAGATCACCTGAGGTCAGGAGTTCACGACCAGCCTGGCCAACACGGCGAAAGTCCATCTCTACTAAAAATACAAAAATTAGCCGGGTGTTGTGGTGGTCGCCTGTAATCCCAGCTACTCGGGAGGCTGAGGCAGGAGAATTGCTTGAACCTGGGAGGCAGAGGTTGCAGTGAGCCGAGATCGTGCCATTGCACTCCAGCCTGGGTGACAGGAGCGAAACTCCTTCTCAAAAAAAAAAAAAAAATTAGAAATATTCTGAGACTTTAGATAAGATAATTGATTGTTCCAAATAGGTTTCTTTATGCATTCAAAGTTGGGTCCACTGTGCTCTCTTAAGGCAAGTGTGATTTGGCTTTAGTTTCCTTGGCTTCTGTGCCTTGGCACTGATACTTGTGTAAGCTGCTGTAATTCTCATCTAGTATTAAGACAGAAGAAACACTATTCATGTGAACTTTTCCACCTTCCTTCCAGCCCCCTCCCCCAGCTTGTCAAAGAGGATTCTGGCTTTTCCCCTTCTTTCCTTATGCTGATTTGAAATATATTTCTCCTTGATGAGGCTTGAAAAATGCAAGTAAAAGTCTTATGTAACAATGTAATCCAGATCTAAATTTTAAATGATAACTGAAAATCTTCATACGTTTGGAAACTAAGAAATGCACTTGTAAATAACCCATAGGTCAAAGAAAAGATAATAATGAAAAATAAGTGCATTTTGATCTAGGTAGAGGAAAAATACTACACATCAAAATGCAATGCAGCTAAAATAGTACTTAGAGGACAATGCATAGTCTTCAATGTGTATATTGTAAAAGTACTTGGCTTACTCTGGAATTGCCTTCTGGAATTTTACTGTATTTTTTTTTTTAACTTTGATGTCCTTTGTGGTCAAACCCAGAGTTCCTGCTAGTCTGTGTCACCCAGCAGTATCATGAATTTCTCTCTCCCAGGGTCACTCAGCTGCCGCAAGGAGCAAGGCAAGTTCTATGACCATCTCCTGAGGGACTGCATCAGCTGTGCCTCCATCTGTGGACAGCACCCTAAGCAATGTGCATACTTCTGTGAGAACAAGCTCAGGAGCCCAGTGAACCTTCCACCAGAGCTCAGGAGACAGCGGAGTGGAGAAGTTGAAAACAATTCAGACAACTCGGGAAGGTACCAAGGATTGGAGCACAGAGGCTCAGAAGCAAGTCCAGGTAAGCCACCCAAGGCAAACCTGCATGGTGTCACGCAGGGTGAGAAAGCGTGGGAGGCCTGATGCCAGGCCTAGAACAGGAGAGTCCACAATGCATGAAGCCCAGAGTCCAAGCAAATGGCCAGAAGCCAGGGAGATCATCCCAGGATAAAAAAAACAATGTAGGCAACATTTCCAGAAGTCTGTGGACAAGAAGAAAGCAGGAGAAAGGACCTGCCGTGTGAGGAAGAGCCTTGCACTAGAGGCTGCCGAGGCTGTGCCAGTCATTGAAGCACAGGCACAAGTAAGCAGCAGACCCACCTGTGTGAGCACCTGAGCAGCAGCCACCACCTGCCCTCCACCAGTGCTGCAGACTCCATTTATTTCTATTATTATTTTATTTATAATTTCAACTTTTTTTTTTAGATCCGGGGGTACATGTGTAGGGTTTGTTACATGGGTATGTTGCTTGATGCTAAGGTTTGAGGTACAAATGGTCTTGTCACCCAGGTGGTGAGCATAGCACCCAATAGGTAGTTTTTCAGCCCTTGCCCTCTCTCTCTGCCTCCCCCTTCTAGTAGGCCCCAGTGTCTGTTGTTCCTGTCTTTATGTCCATCTGTATTCGACACTTAGCATTTCACTTATAAGTGAGAACATGTGGTATTTTCTGTTTCTGCATTAATTCACTTAGGATAATGGCCTCCAGTTGCATCCATGTTGCTGCAAAAAACGTATTTTTCTTTTTATGGCTGTGTAGTATTTCATTGTGTATATTTACCACATTTTCTTTATCCAACCATCGATGGGCACCCAGATTGATTCCATGTCTTTGCTATTGTGAATTGTGCTGTGATGAACATACGTGTGTATGTATCTTTTTGGTAGAACGGTTTATTTTCCTTTGGATATATACCCAGTAATGGGATTGCTGTGCTGAACGGTAACTCTGTTTTAAGTCCTCTGAGGAATCTCCAAACTGCTTTCTACAGTGGCTGAACTAATTTACATTCCACCAACAGCGTATAAGCGTTCCCTTTTCTCTGTAGCCTCACCAGCATCTGTTGTTTTTTTACTTTCTAACAATAGCCATTCTTACTGGTGTGAAATGGTCCCTCATTGTGGTTTTGATTTGCATTTCTCTGATGATCAGTGATGTTGAGCATTTTGTCATGTTTGTTGGCTGCTTGCATGTCTTCTTTTGAAAAGTGTCTGTTCATGTCTTTTGCCTACTTTTTAGTGGGGTTATTTGTTGTTTGCTTTTTGAATTGTTTAACTTCCTCATAGATTATGGATATTAGACCTTTGTTGGGTGCATAGTTTGCAAACATTTTCTCCCATTCTGTAGGTTGCCTGTTTACACTGATAGTTTATTTTGCAGTGCAGAAGCTCTTTCATTTAATTAGATCCCACTTGTCAATTTTTGTTTTTGTTGCAATTGCTTTTGAGGACTTAGTCATAAATTCTTTCCCAGGGCCAATGTCCAGGATGGTATTTTCCAGGATTTCTCTAGGATTCTTATAGTTTAGGGTCTTACATTTAAATCTGTAATCCATCTTGCATCTATGTTCCTCAGGGATATCGGCCTGTGGTTTTCTTTTTTTTGTTGTTGTGTCTTTGCCAGGTTTTGGTACCAGAGTGAAGCTGGCTTTCCAGAATGAGTTAAAGGAGACCCTCCTTGATTTTTTGGAATAGTTGCAGTAGAATTGGTACCAGCTCTTCTTTGTGCATCTGCTAGAATCTGGCTGTGAATTCATCAGATTCCATTTAGAGGCAAAAGAGGCTTCCTAAGAAAGAGAAGGGAAAGGTATCACTTAAAATGTTTAAGTAGTTCATTAACAACTGCCAGAGGGAAAAAAAATTGTAAAAAGAGAAGGCTCAGCATGGTGACTCATGCCTGTAATCCTAGCACTTTGGGAGGCAGAGGCAGGCGGATCACTTGTGGTTCGGAGTTCAAGATCAGCCGGATCAACAAGGGGAAACCCCATCTCTACCAAAAATACAAAAATTAGCTGGATCTGGTGGTGCACACCTGTAGTCCCAGCTACTTGGGAGGCTGAGGCAGGAGAATTGTTTGAACCCAAGAGGTGAAGGTTGCAGTGAGCCAAGATCGTGCCTTTGTACTCCAGCCTGAGGGACACAGTGAGACTGTGTCTCAAAAAAAAATAAATAAATAAATAAATAAAAATAAAAATAAAAATAATAAAAAATAAGTAAAGAAAATGAAAAAACTTATGGCTGGAGATGGCCACTTTGGACATGGCAAGAAGGGTCCTGTTGAGCTGGGCATCTGGTAAGTGCCAGGCATCAGAAATGATCTAATTAACCCTATCCCAGCAAACACCTCTTTTTGCACCTGCCCTGCTCTGTGGCATCAGAAAGGACAGAAGAGGGATGCCGTGTGGATCCATAAATACTAGCGATGGCATCTGCCCTGCTCTCGGCCTGTCCTGCTCTTCTTGGGGCTGATTGGTTCCTTTCCTTTGCAGTGACTTTCCTGTGATAACATCATTTCCATGAGGCCAGGTCCCAGGGCTAAGGTCCCATGGGCAGGGCCTGTGTGCCTGATGATGGAGGTTGCCCAGCACCCTGTTGTCCCTGCTTAGCCTGGCATCTCCTGCTCTCCTGTCAGTTAGCTGCTGCTGCCTAACAAGCCATCCCCAAATGCGGAGGTGTGTGCTTTCTCCCGAGTCAGGGGTTTGGCTGGGCTCAGCTGTGCCAGGCTGGCTCTGCTCCATGTGCCTCTCATCCTCCTCCTGGGACAAGTGGGCTGGCCAGGTGCGTCCATCTCATGACGATACAGGAGTGCAGCAGACAGTAGCACGCAGTCCTCTCGCCACCTAGGCTGGTAACTTACACTTCATCACCACCGCTGCATTTCTTTCCATTCACAGTGCCAGCGGATTCAGGGGAGGGGAAACAGACGCCACCTCTTGGTGGAAGGAGCAAGCTGGGGGAGGGGGGAAACCTGTAGCCATGGTGAATTCAAGGCCATTTTTAATCTAGCACAGCCTCTCCTGAGGGGAAGAAGTGCAGATTCACATGGAGGGGGTGTGGATACAGAGGGGCTGAAGAGCCCAGCCACAGATGCGAGGGGCCATGCCTGCCGCCCTGGTGTCTGGCCACCTGCGCACCTTCCCTGCATCCAGTGATGCATTTGAAACTTCCTGCAAACCTGGAACATTGCCCACCTCTGATGCAACAGATTCCCCCGTGGGTCATTCCTAGCCACCTCACAGATCTAGAGAGTGAGTCTCAAATTTGGAGTGACTTGCTGACAGTCACACAGGGAATGCGTGAGTGAGCTGGGATTTGAGCACAGTCTGGGGGTTCCAAAGTTTGTCCCCTCTGCAACAGCAAAATGACCCAGAGTGGCGTCTGCAGGCTATTGCTCCTTGGCGGTGAACTGTTGCCCCTGGGACAAGGTTAGCCACTTCATGTGTGTGACCATCAGCCAAGCCCCCTTGCCAGAGGGCACTGGGCAGAACCTTGGAGCCTCATCTTGGCTCCAGGGATGGAGCCCAAGGCTGTGAGCATTGGGGGCTGTGTGAGGATGTGTTGGTGCCAGTGGGGTCGGCATTACCATGCCTCACCCTACATCAGCTGCCACACTTGTGCCATGGCGCGGCTTTTGGTGGCTCTGTGACTGTCGCTGTGCACTGCCCTACCCTGCCCTTTATTTCTCCAGGGGCCCAGGGTTAAGGTCTGTTCTGTTCTGACTTCTGATGCCTGCATGGGCTGGTGGGGCAGGAGGGGAGCTTGCTGTGGATTGCAAACAGGAAGTACAGAGCCACATGGCCAGGGGAGGGACCCAGAGGTGGACCTATTCAAGGGCAGAGAGCAGAGGACACCATGTGACCAAGTTGTCCAGCTGCACACGGTGGAAGGGCTCACCTGTTCTCTGCCCCCTTCCGTGGGCTCCCTGAATTCTGCCGTTCCCTGTCTCCAGCCCTGCCAGGTCCCACCTCACCCTGACTCCAGGTTTCTCTTGCATCCCATTCAGAACTGCCACTCCTTAGTGGGACCTGGAACTGTGGCAGGCTTGCTGTGCATGGGGAGTGGGGAGAATGAGGCAGTTCCTGTCCCAGACCCATGGAGCTCACTGTCTCGTGGAAGGCCAGGCAGTGGACAAGCCACGCAGATGACAAATTCCTCTCAGTGCACGGGAGCCACGTAACCCAGCTGCAGGTGACACGGGGACAAGGAAGGCTTCCCCGAGGAGGAGTCTTTAGGGCAGGCTGGGGTGCGGGTGTGGAGTGTGGAGCCAGACCCCTAGTTATGTCCCTCACAAGCTGTGTGACCTGGAGCAAGCTACCGACCCTCTCTGAGCCTTAGTTCTGTGAGGCTGGAGTTGTTCGCCTTCATAGAGCTGCTGTGAGGGTGATTTGGGAGAATATGTTTTTGGGGGAGCATGTGCTCTGTGCGCTGGAACTGCTCATTCAAAAAGCAACTATGTTGAAGCCACACGGTGGAGACAGGGTTCCAGACAGAGGCAACAGCATGTACAGGTGCTGCTAGGAGCAGAGAACTGTGCCGTTGGGAGGCTGTGAGGGGCTCTGTGCTGGAGGCTGGGATAAATCCCTTCCTCTCGGGCTCCCAGCCTGCAGGAGTGTGGTGGCCACTCCACAGAAGCAGGAGGGACCCCACCCCAGATCTGCTTTGAAGGTAGAGACTGACCGCTCCACATGCTCACCAAGAGAGCACAGAAAGCCCTGCTGCTCACACATGGCGCTTGGTGGGGAGAGGAGGGCAGGCTCCCAAGCTGGACTGAAAATGGCTTGAGATGTTGAGCAGGAGAGGAGACTGGCGTGGGGTTCTACTGCGACGACTCCAGGCCGACGCGAGGAGCTTCCTGCCCGGGCTCCGGGGCAGGTGCAGGGAGTGTGTGTGTCTCCCTGAGGGGAACAGGTGGCCCAGGCAGCCTGCCCTACTGGGTGGGGCTGCTCATCTGTCCGGCAGAAGACGAGGAAAAGCACCAAGGGCAGGACCCTGTCCCCCAACATGGGGGTTGCAGAGGACTGAGTTGGGAAGAGCAAGGATTCAGGGGCAGCTGGAGATGGCACTAGGAGGGACCAGATGCCAGATGACAGAGGGCCCTATGTGCCAGGCTGGGAGGCTGATGTCCTGCTGGGGGCAGGGGCAGCCATGGGAGAAGGGGGTCAGAGCAGGGCTGTGGGGAGAGCTCTCTGTTGCCCCTGGATGGTGGCGATAGCAGCAGGGGCCCTGTGAGAGGCTACTTCTGGCAATAATAGGAACCAGAGACCTGGGAGGGGGACAGAAGGACAGTGCATTGGCATGAGATTAGAACTGGAGGGAGAGGTGCTGGCATGTGATCAGCCATGGAACTGCTCAGCCTCTGTGTCCTGCAGACACTGGGGGTGCCCGTGACCCCTTCTGGGAATAAGGTCAGAACTAGGCCTCCTGGGCTTGTGGCTGCATCACTCCCATCTCTGCCTCTGTCTTCACATGGCTTCTCTCTCGTGCCTGTGTCTCTTCCCTTCTCTTCTTGTATAAGGACACTTGTCACTGGATCTGGACACTTGGCACCAGATCCTCATCTTCATGTTGTGACCCTGCGTGGCTCTGTGGGGAGGCAGGGTTCAGCTAGGCGGGTCTTCTGCTGCTCTTGCTTGGGGTCTGTCATGCAGATGGTGCTGGGGATAGAGCCATTGGAGGCTTGACTCTGATGCTGGGATATTCAGGCCTTGCTTCCCCTCCAGCTGATCTCAGGGCTTGCCCCTCTCCACTGGGACTCTCCAGTTGGACTTCTCGAGTGGTAGCTCAGGCCCAAGGGAGCAAACACCGAGGCTGTCAGGCCTTCTTGAGGCAGAGGCCTGGAGTGGCACAACCTCGCCCCCATGGCACTCTCCTGGATAGGATGAGGCCCAGTCCAGCCCAGAAGGTCCACAGGGCATGATGTCAGGTGACTGTGCTCTGGGTGTGGTCTCTGAACACTTGCATGGTCTCTGAAAGCTGGGTTTCAGAATCTTATGATGAAATGTTTGAAATATGCACAAATGTTTAGTTTTCCTCCTTGAATCAACGCCGTTCATTTCCGCTTAGTAACAACCTGTAGCCTGGCATTCTGTCTGTGCTCTGAGGGCTGGTAGCGTCTCCCCTGCTCATGCCTCCAGGGCAGTGTTTGCATTTGATTTGAGAGGTGAATAGGAGCAGGTAAGCCTTGGATATGTGGCACCAAGTTTGCAGGTCCTGGGGTCTTTGCTTTCCTCCGTTAGGCCTCTCTGAGCTCTGGGCACTGGACAGAAGGACAGCCACTGACTGGCGGAGTGACACGAACTCACCCCAAGTTCCCATCTCCCCCCTGTAAATGTCAGAGTGACACTGATGACCCCTAAGAGTCCTGGCAGCTCTGTCACTTTATGAGATTCCTGAATCTAAAAGCGTGTGTGAGGAAGACGGGCAGTGCCAGCCCTGGGGCCGCTGTGTGGCCCGCGGGCTTGGAGCACCGGCCTGGGAATTGGTGAGACCGGCTCCCGGGTGCAGGTCTAAGACCGAGAACAATATCTTAGACACTCAGTTTTGTCATCTGTAAAATGGAGTGTGAACGGCAGATGCTGTGCAACGCAGTCCAGCAGGTCCTCAAAAAACAAAACAGAGCTATTATGTGACCCAGCCATTCTTCTCCTAGGTATACACCCAAGAAAATGGAAAACATCCATCCACACAAACATGTGGATGTGAATGTTCACAGCAACGTCATTCACAATAGCCAGAAAGTGGAAGCAACCCAAATGCCCATTCCCTGTTGAATGCGTAAACAGATGTGGTCTGTCCATTCCGCCTAAAGAGAAACGAAGGTCTAATACACAGCACGGCAGGACATGGTGGACCTTGAAAACTCAAAGCCAAGTGCAAGGAGCCAGGCATAAAAGACCACGTGTTGTATGATTTCATTAATATGAAATGTCTGGAATAGGCAAATCCACAGAGACAGAAAAGAGATGAACAGTTGCCAGGGGCTGGGAAGAGGGAATGGGGAGTGACTGCTGATGAGACAGGGTTTCTGTTTGGTGATAAAAATTGTCTCCAATTAGACAGTTGCCATTGCTGCACAACCTTGTGATGTGCTAAAAGCCACTGGTTGTACACTTTAATACAGCAAATTTGATGGTATACAAATTCTCAGTATTTTTAATGGGGGTAGTTGTCTGCCATCAGAGCGGGAAGATGAAGGGGGTGCTGTAGGGGAAGTGCCCGGCACGAAGTGGGACTCGCTCTTCTTGACGTGTCATCTTAAATCTGGCTCATCTGTCTTTCCACCCAGCGCCTAGAGGATGCCCAGCTCCAGGGACAAGGAAGAGCTTTTGGGATAAGGAGAACTTCCAAGGGGAGGGCTTTCACCTGGGCTGAGTCTGTCTCTGGCATCCAAACCTGGAGGCACAAGTCCTGAGTCATAGGGTGGCCAGGTGCCCTGATGCCCAAAGCCCTCCTGGTTGGCACCTGCTGTCCTGGTCTCAGTGTAACGTCGCCTGTCCTACTCTCAAACACAGTGGGCCCTCTGTGTCGTGCGACCCATGTCTGTGGATTCAACCAACAGCAGCTGGAAAATACTCAGAAAAGATAGGGGATAGTTGCATCTGTACTGAACCTCTGCAGCCATTTTTTCTCATTGTTATCCCTAAACAATACAGTATAACACCCTTCTACATGGCATCTATATTGTATTTGGTATTATAAGTAATCTAGAGATGACTCTAATTGTATAGGAGGATGTGCATAGGTTATATGCAAATGCCAGGCCGTCTTGTATCAGGCACTTGGACATCCGCGGATTTTGGTATCTGTAGGGGATCCTGGAACCAGTCCCCCATGGATACCAAGGGACGACTGTAAACGCTCACTCAGGAAGCTTTCTCCTTGGAGGAAGGGCCCAGTTCAGGATGCACAGAGACATGCTCCCTGGAGCATCGTCTGTTCGTCTGTCGATTCACCCATCAGCCCATCTCCAGCGCTGTCCCAATTACAGCCCTAGCAAGTGGAGACAACAAGAAGGCCTAGCTCACGTTTCCAGCTTTGAGGCCTTAGAAAGTTGCTGCCAGGATGGGGGAGTGGATCAACTTCCTCCAGGATCCAGAGAGCATCCCAGCAGCCTCAGGGTCAGAAAAGGAGCCCAGCCTCTCCAGGAGCCAGACAGGCTCACAGCAGGGGGATGGGGGGATGTGGATTGCTTGAGCCTAATGACGGGAAGAGAAGAAGGCACTGCAGAGAGGGGTCTCATGCTGTCTTGCAGCTCTCCCGGGGCTGAAGCTGAGTGCAGATCAGGTGGCCCTGGTCTACAGCACGCTGGGGCTCTGCCTGTGTGCCGTCCTCTGCTGCTTCCTGGTGGCGGTGGCCTGCTTCCTCAAGAAGAGGGGGGATCCCTGCTCCTGCCAGCCCCGCTCAAGGCCCCGTCAAAGTCCGGCCAAGTCTTCCCAGGGTGAGTGCATGAAACTGGGGTCCTCGCCCTTCTCGCTGCTTGGGTGACAAGCCTCGGGCCATCCCTCGGTCCTGTCACTGCCCCTGCTTCTAGGTGGAGAGGCCCAGGGCTCATCCCTGTTACTTGCTATACCTTGATAAAATCAGGTTAAGACATCCTGGCAGACAGATAACTGGGAGAGTGGCACCCGGGAAGGGTGGGTGTGGGGTGCCGGTCTTCAGGTTTGCCTGGGCCCAGGATTCTCCAGATGCAGAGCCTTCAGGGCTAAGCCCAGGAGGAGGTGTCCCCTTGGGGGGCGTGGCAGGCTCGGTGCTGGACAGAAGTGAGAGCCAAGAATTGCCTGCCCACCCCTGCCCCGGCACAGGTTCTGGTCAGCAACTGGCGGACACTGACACCTGTCTGGGGGCGTTCTACGCTGGTGATTGCCCTTAGCTCCTGGGTCGGGGGAGAGTGCGGCTGCCCACACCGTCACCCCTACCCTAGTGCAGGGCCAGGCCTGGCCCACGCCCTCCACTCTCGCCTCTGCAGATCACGCGATGGAAGCCGGCAGCCCTGTGAGCACATCCCCCGAGCCAGTGGAGACCTGCAGCTTCTGCTTCCCTGAGTGCAGGGCGCCCACGCAGGAGAGCGCAGTCACGCCTGGGACCCCCGACCCCACTTGTGCTGGAAGGTGGGGGTGCCACACCAGGACCACAGTCCTGCAGCCTTGCCCACACATCCCAGACAGTGGCCTTGGCATTGTGTGTGTGCCTGCCCAGGAGGGGGGCCCAGGTGCATAAATGGGGGTCAGGGAGGGAAAGGAGGAGGGAGAGAGATGGAGAGGAGGGGAGAGAGAAAGAGAGGTGGGGAGAGGGGAGAGAGATATGAGGAGAGAGAGACAGAGGAGGCAGAGAGGGAGAGAAACAGAGGAGACAGAGAGGGAGAGAGAGACAGAGGGAGAGAGAGACAGAGGGGAAGAGAGGCAGAGAGGGAAAGAGGCAGAGAAGGAAAGAGACAGGCAGAGAAGGAGAGAGGCAGAGAGGGAGAGAGGCAGAGAGGGAGAGAGGCAGAGAGACAGAGAGGGAGAGAGGGACAGAGAGAGATAGAGCAGGAGGTCGGGGCACTCTGAGTCCCAGTTCCCAGTGCAGCTGTAGGTCGTCATCACCTAACCACACGTGCAATAAAGTCCTCGTGCCTGCTGCTCACAGCCCCCGAGAGCCCCTCCTCCTGGAGAATAAAACCTTTGGCAGCTGCCCTTCCTCACTGCATTGTGGTTGGGTCTTTGATGAACTGAGACATCTTGTCTATCACTTTCCTGGGCATCAGGCTCCACTGAACGCTGCCCCCTTGGTTTGGGAGGCCCTGTGGTGCCCCCATCTCACCAGGCTCTCGAGGAAGCTTGTGACCTTGGGTTGAGCCCTAAGCAGCCGGGTACCCACTGGGGCTCTGCTTCTCTCTTTCACTAAGAGAGAGAAAGAGACCAAAGAAAGGTCTGCAGGGAGGGTGCCTGTGCAAACACCCAGGGAACCAGGGGCTTGAGCCATCTTCATTTCCTTACAGACACACATTCCCTTCCATGCCTCCTTAGTAAGGGCATGACGCACAGTGTGTGTGTGTGTGTGTGTGTGTGTGTGTGCAGGTGTGTGCATGCATATGTGTGTGCATGTATGCGTGTGCATGTACGTATATGTGTGTGCGTGTGGATGTCTGTGCATGTATGTATGTATATGTGTGTGTGTTGTGGGGATGTGCAGTGGACAGGAAGGGGAGGGCAGCTGTAGCTGAAAGCTGCGAGTCTCTCTGGAAAAAACATCAAGATTCCCTGGACCACAGCAAGAGAATGTTTTCATTTGAGTCCACTTTTTGTTAGCATTTAAAGCTATATCTTGAGTAGCATGTAAACCTTAAGTAAACTATTCTTAGAAGCATTTTCACAGTAAGATAAATCCATAATAATGTACATTGAAATTATGCACCCTGCACCTCCTAAAATTATCTTGCAAACCTGCACCCACCAAAGGATCCCGTAGCGCACTTTGGGAGGTGTAGACAGGAAGCCTGGGGCTCCGTCGCTCATTCCATCTTTTCACCAGCTGTGGGCTACCACGCTGCATTGGTTTGCTTGGGCTTCCTTAAAGTACCACAGACTGGGCAGCTTCAGCAACAGAATCTCACTGTCTCACAGTCCTGCAGGCTGTAGGTCCAAGATCAAGGTGTCGGCAGGGAAGGTCCCTTTTCAGGGCGGTGCGGGAAGGCTCTGTTCCAGGCCTCTCTCCTGGCAGGTAGGTGGCCTTCCCGGTGTCTCTTCACCTCGTCTTCCCTCTGTGTGTCTCTGTCCACATTTCCTTTTCTTATAATAACGACACCAGTAGTTAGATTGGGGGCCCCCCTACTGACCTCATTTTTCATTTTAACTTATTTCTATAAGATGATATCTGTAAATAAGATCACATTCTCAAGCACTGGGGCTTAGGACATCAACACAGGAATTTCGGGGGACAAATTCAACCCATCACACAGGCCGTCCTCGAGGCCACCTCTGCGTCATCTTTGTCTACAGGCAAGTTGGCATCTAAAAAGTGTCTGCCCAAGACATGCGTCTGGCCCATGGTACAGCCAGTCCACACGGCCAATGGTGAGATCCGGGTGGCATTGTTTCCTCACCGCCATGCCTCACGCAAGCAGCTGCCTTCTTACAACAAGGTGGACACAAATCCCAGAACTGGCGCAGACGCTTGCTGGCTGTGGGTGAAGTAGCCCCACGTCAGCGTCCTGCAAATATGCGGCTTAGAATGTTACGGCTTGTGTGAAAGATATGCAGATTTCTATTCCTTCCGATCCATGGTTTCAAGTTCTGCTCGTCTGAACCCAAGGGGCTCTGTAGGTGCCTCTGGAACAGCCGGGGTTTTAGGGGTGTTGAAAACACAAGGTACCCAGGCTCAACCCCAGCTTCAATCACACAAATAATCTTGTGGTGGTGTTTCTTTGGTCAGTTTTTAAAATTGATCTTTTGTACTCTTTTTTTTTTTTAGAAAGGGATCCTTTGGTAGAAAGAAAATCTGAAACTCTAAATACTGTCCATTTTATCTATGTATTGTTGGTCCTTTCCCCAAAATATATCCTGATTCCAGCCACTTGTCATGATAGTTTTAATCTGAGCTCTCATCGTTTTTCACCTGGATTACTGTACCAGCCTCCCCACTGGCCTCCCCGCTGCCACCTGGCCCCTCCCCAGGGCTCAGCAAGATTTTTCTGCAAAGGACCTGGTAGTAAGCATCTTGGGCTTCGTGGACCCTGTGGTCTTTGTTGCACCTACTCAGCAGTTACTCAGCTTCGCCACTGCAGCCCTAAGTAGCCACAGACAAGAAGTGAACACAGGGGAGGAACTGTGGCTCCAATAAACCTTTATTCACCATGACAGGAGGGGACTGCATCTGGATTGTGGGCCATAGTTTGCCAACCCCTGCCTGACTTCATGGCAACACTGAAATTCGTATTTATGCTTCTTAAAAACATGTCTAAGCCAAGTGCAGTGGCTCATCCCTGTAATCCCAACACTTCCAGCTGAGCCTGGAGGATTGCTTGGGGACAGGAGGTCCAGATCAGCCTGGGTAACACAGCAGGATCCCATTTCTACAACAAACCATTTCAAAAGCAGCCAGGCATGGGGGCCCACACATGTAGTCCCAGCTACTCAGGAGACTGAGGTGGGAGGATTGCTTGAGCCTGGGAAGTCAAGGCTGTATAGTGAGCTGTGTTTGGGCCACTGCACTTCAGCCTGGGCGACAGAGTGAGACCTCCTCTCTCTCTATTATATATATATACATACACACATATATATATCTGTATATATATATATATATGTGTGTGTGTGTGTGTGAGAGTGTGTGTGTAATGGTTGTCTGCAAGAAACACCTTTAATTAATCACAGCCAACCCTCAAATAATACGCATAGTATAGGACCCTTACAATGCTACACTCCCAACTCTTCTCCCCACCCACCTTTTGTTTTCTTTCCTTCCACGGATTCTGTGACATCTTCCTCTCCTCATTGACTCTGCATGAAGGGGATTCCTGGTGGGGGAAGGGTAGCTGGTGAGAAATGAGGTATCAAGAAACTAGCAAAGCATCTTCTGGCTGTCTGTGGACAGTTCTTGTGTGGTCCCCAGCCTAGTCTCAAGGGTTCTGGGCTGGTCACCCTGCAGCCTCTGTGCTGTGTCACCAGATTCGGGCTCTGAGGGAAGGGCCCTGGGAGGCCCAACAGAGCGGGGTGCCTTGTCTAACATCCCCCCGTTCCTCTGGCTGTGTGGCTCAGGAATAGGCCCAGACAGTGTGTCCAGGTGGTGCCAGGTCACCTCACTGCCCCCTTTGAGATGGGCCCAGAGGGTTTTGTGGGGTGAGCATGAAGCTGGGCACCCAAAGCCTGGGGCCGAGTGCCCCTCCCTGTGTCCCAGAGGAGGGGCCCTGACCTGAGAAGATCCCCAGTGCCTGGCTTATGGGTGCCAATGTGGGGAGGGGTGGCTCTGAGGACTGAAGCGGGTCACTGAAAGAAGACATTGAGCTCCATGGCTCAGGGACCTTGGCAGTAGAGGCCTGGTAAGCAGAGACTAGGACACTGGGACTTGGTCACAAAAAATATGATCAGAAAGGGCATGGCCATCAGAGAGTTGGTCAGGCGGCCTGGTCATTGAGGGACTGTCAGTGAGGACCTGGTCACTGGGTGCTTGGTCAATGGGTCTTGGTCAGTGGGGACCTGGTAAGTGGAGATCTGATTACTGGGGGCTTGGTCATCAAGAGCCTGGTCAGTCAGGACCTGGTCAGTGAGGACCTGGTCAGTGAAGGACTTGTGGGGGGGCATTGGTCAGCAGCGGCCTTGTCGGGGGAGGCTTGGTCAGTGGGGGCCTAGTTAGTGGGGTCCTGGCCAGCCGGCTGCTGGGTGACCTCATGCAGGGGTTTGTCCTTGGAGCTTGCTTGCCGCCATCTGTAGTGGGGATGAGTCACATCACCCCAGAGGGCTACTGGGAGGAGGAGATGAGCAGGTGTGTGGAATCCGGCCCTGCCCAACAGACCTAGCACTTTACACCCTAGCTGAGTCCCCTGCTAAAGAGGGGGCCTGCTCTCTGCCCTCCACCCTCAATTCTCTGCTCCCCGTCCACAGGACTGCCCCACCTAGGGAGGGCTGAGGTTGGGGAACACCTGTGGACACTCTGATGCTGGCCACAGGCCCAGGGCCGGGCGTGACAGTGACAAGGACCTGAGTGCGTACATGAATGGGGCCACCTGGCCCAGCCACAGAAGCAACACACCATATGCACGTGTTCACCCACATATATGTGCACGCTCACATTTACAAACACACTGCATGCACACATGTTGATGCTTCGGGGGTGGAGGACGGTGACTGTGGGCCCTGCTGACCCAGGCGGGGGCCCATTGTGATGGGTGCCGTGATCCCGTAATGTCACTGGTGCTGAGTACCCACCCGCCTACCTGGCTGCCTTCTCTGTGTCTGGAGCTCTTAGAGACAAGATAAACAGCGATGTCTGGTTCTGCTCAGAGGAGGCTTTCTTAAGTGAGAGGCACAGTTGGATCAGCAGACTCAGCTGAGTGTGACCTGCTCTGTTCCCTCCCTGCTGACCTGGGACAGTCGCTACCAGGCAGTGCTGGCCTCTGGGCGGGTGCCGAGGAGGGTCATCCCTGAGCACTCACCAGGTAGGTGCCTGTTCTGCACTGACGGTATAGATGTTCGTCTTGTTGGTCGTCACAGTGACGCTGGTGGGGGTGGGTGCTGTCCCCTAATGTACCCATTCCACAGGTGAGATGTCTAGGGTCAGAGAGGCAGCGACTGGTCCAGAGACCCAGATGTGACCCTGGGCCATGCTCTTAGCCCTGCCCTGTGCTACGCTGGACTCAAGCCCTGACCTCTGTGGCCTCCCTGCCCTGGATTCCAAATCCATCCGGGGTTCCAGCCCCTGATGGGGCAGAGTCTGGCCCTGGAAGAGCCACTGGGACAGAGATCCTATGGGTGAGGTGGAGGGGGTGGTCCTCAGTCCAAGTCTGTGCCCTAAGCTGGGACCCCGCGGGAGGTCTCACCAACTCAGACTTCACATGTGGTCACTGAGGGTCATTGTGGGACCCACTGGACACAGGGGGTCCCTTGTCTGGGAGTGGGGTGAAGAGCCTTCTGCCCTTGGGCAGTTAGGTAGGGGACTTTGAGCACTGCTGCTTTGGGACCTGGGAAGTGGGGACCTGGGCAGCGGGGTCCTCGTCATTGAGAACATGGTCAGTGAGAGATTTGGTCATCATGGGTTGGGTCAGGGGGGCCTGGTCAGCAGAGACTTGGACACTGGGGCTTAGTGAAAATATGATCAGTGGGGAAATAGTCACGGGGCCTGCTCAGTAGGGCCTGGCTAGCAGAGGCCTGGCCAGCTGGCCACTGGATGACCTGACAGGGGGTTTGTCCTTGGAGCCTCTTTGCCTCTATTCATAGTGGGGATGAGTCATAGCATCCCTCAGCACTCGCCAGGTGCAGGTTTTGTGCTGACCTTGTAGATGGCCTTTTCCTTCATCCCCACAGCAACTCCATGGGGCGGATCCTGTCCCCGAATGTAGCCATTCCACAGGTGAGATGTCTAGAGTCAGAGAGGTGATGACTGGCCCAGAGACCCAGATGTGGCCTGGGCCGTGCACTCAGCCCTGCCCTGTGCAGTGCTAGACTCAAGCCCTGACCTTTGCAGCCTCCCTGCCTTAGATCCCACATTTCCCTGGGGTTCTGGACCCTGATGGGGTGGAGGGGGTGATTCTCAGTCCAAGTCTGTGCCCAAAGCTTGGTCCCCACAGGAGGAGGTCTCATCAACTCAGACTTCAGGTGCGGTCACTGATGGTTGCTGTGGGACCCACTGGACACATGGAGTCCTTCGTCTGGGAGTGGGGTGGGGAGGCCTCTGCCCTCGGGCAGTTGTGGAAAATGAAGGAGCTCTAGAGGGCTGCCTGGAGGGTGATGATCGTCCCTCTTGGTCAAAGGGGCTTGGGGACTGGAACCTTCTCTGTCTGATTCTCTAGAGGTCTTGTCTTCCCTTTGTCCCAAGTATTCCCAAGGAAGATGGTCCCCCTGGGTGTTCTCCAGGACCAAGTCCCCAGAATTCTCTTGTTTTTTCCTTGGTGATCCAGGAAAACGAAGCCCCCTCCTGTATTGACAGCTGGGAATTGTGGAGTCCACCGTCCTCCACCTGAGACGAGCACAGGGTCTCCACGAGGACAGAGGCTGCTTTGGACTCAATAGGTCATTTTTCCCCCAAACCAAATGCCCTCCTGCTTAGCTGGTGTTGTTCCTGAAGCGGCTTCACCAGCCAGAGTGAGTGAGAATTGGAGCAGAATGGAGCAGTCACCAGATGTCTTGCTTCCTACAGAAAACTGGGCATCTTCATGGTCCTAGAAGGATCCCAGGAGGCTGATCCTATAGAGACGTCTGGTTCCTGACCCCAACTGCCTCCAGGTGCCTGGAACAGCCCATCGTGGGCCCTTTACCCTCAGCAGGTGGACGCCGTTGGTCCTGCCAGGGCAAGTGTGTGTCTGTCTTAGGGCATTTGGGAACAATGGGCCTCTCTGTCCAGGTCCCCCTGTGTTCAAGTCCTCAGGAAGGAGCCTACTCCTGGTCCAGGGCAGGGACTCTAGAGACTAGGGCATGGGTGGGAATACTGGATTTAACCCTTTGTCTTGGGGAGCAATCGTGGAATGGGGCTCACCTGTCTGGCCAGCATTTGGGGGTCTGGTGGGAGCCGTTCGGGTGTTCTCTGGAGCTCTCGGGTGCTGCAGAGCCTTTGGATGACTTTGTCTTGCAGGATGGAGATGGATGAGCACCCGGATATCCTGCCCACCCAGGGGCAAGGCAACATCATCATTACTAAGTATGAGCAGGTACAGGTCGGGCCACTCCCTTGAGGAAGGTGGGGCCTCACCTCCCCCACTGGTCAGAGCCTGGTCAGAGGGTCCTGGGCTCCCCAGGACCACAGGGTGAAGACAGGCTCTCCATGCCGTCAGGACCCCAAGCCCTTCACCTTGCCCCTGTCTCCCTGGCCCTCGCTGGGTCACAGGGACGCTGAGCTGGGGCAGCAGTGGACACAGAGCATGAGCGTGTTGACATCTGGAAATTCACCAGTCGTCTCTGGGTTGTGTGGTGAGTCCTCTGTCCCCCCACCCACAAGTCTCACCTCAGGGATGGGTTTTGTTTTTAGAAAGGTCTCTCTGAGGTAGGGCAGGCTTCCCTGGCTCAGGACAATCTCCTCTCCAGGGTAAGAACTCCTCTCTGCCTCTCCTGCAAGTCCAGCCTGTGGTCAGGGTTAGGGCAGAGCCTCAAGGCCCATCTAGGGAGCTCGAGAGAGCGGGTGGGACAGAGAGGGGGCTGGGTCAGGCCCGGGGCTTTCAGCACTGAGCTCTCCACATCAGCAGGAGACGAGGGGGCAGCCTAAGGGTCTGGCCCTGTCCCCTTGGGGCCTGCCCTGGTGAGATCTGAGGGTGGTGGCCACAGGGCAAGGGGACACCTGGCCAGGCCTGTGGGCTGTTGTGTAGCAGGTCTCCAAGGGCTCAGGGGGCCCACTGGGGCATCCTATAGGGAGGGGCATGGGGACAGCAAGGGCTGTGACCCTGGGAGGCTGGGGGAGAAGAAGTGTAGGGCCTGTCCTGGGCATCCCACAGTGAGGCCTGGGGGGCAACAGAGCCTGAAGCTGAAGGCCCCAGGAGTGGTGGTGCTGGGAAGGGACCTGGGCCTGGTAAGGGGAGCCCAGCCTGGAGCCGGCCCCTCAGGACTCACAGGATGGAGAGAGGGAGGAGCCTGGGATTGGGGGGCGGTGAGCCGGTGAGACCTGCCACTTCTGGGATGCACCTGAACCAAGCTGGCCCAGGGTAGAGCTGATAGTCTGGGGAGGAAAACAGATGGGGTGGTCAGGGAACAGCGGCTCACCTGGGACCCCTCAGTGGGGGTGACTCAGTCAGTCCCCAAGCTCTACGTGGCCCTCCAGAGACTCTGCTTCCTGCTGGCTCAGTCAGCACCACAGAAGGTGGACGGGAGGCTGAGTCGGGGCAGGCAGGACAGTAGGGGGAGGACAGCCAGGCATCCCATGTCCTGGTTTTTGCAGTGGCTGGGAGGAGGCTGAGGGTTGAAGGCTGACTGCCCTGAGAGCCAGCTGAGGCTGTAGGCAGGGTGGTGGGGCCAGCCCCACTGCCTGCAGGGCCCTTGGTCACCCTTGTCACCCCAGGCTTCTCCCCAGCAGCGCTGAGCAGCCCAGTAAGAGACCTGGGGGGTCTCATACCTAGGCTCTGACAGGAAGAGGGTCCTGGAAGGGCCAGGGTGGCCGGAGAGAGGGTCACAGTCTCTGTGGCGGGCAGGATGGGGGAAGATGAGGAATAGGCAGGGTCTGCAGCCGGGATGCAGGGAGAGGCAGGTGAACGCTGGGAGGTCACACCCTGCAAGGCCTATGGGGAGTGTCAGGTGGGACAGGTCCCAGGTGCGTCCTCAGGGCACTAGGCAGCTCTCAGGCCAGGCTCCCTGGACTCTGGTGGGTGATGTGGTCACTCACGAGGCACTGCTGTCAGTCAGGGCTCAGCCACCCACCCTGGGTGGCACCCATCTCGTCTCAGGACTGGACTTTCTCAGCTCCACAGAGGGTGTCGCCTCCAGCCCAGGAGGAGCAGCCCCATTGTGCAGCCCAAGGCACCCCACAGGCCCCGAGTGGCCCCCTCCAGGCCAGCCTCGAGCTCCCTCTTCTCCAGGGTCCTGGTGCCTCGTGGGCATCAGCTCCACAGGGAGGCCCTTGCCTTCCTTCCCTGTGCCTTCTCCCGGGCTGAGACTTAGGGTGGATGGGGAGGGCTGGGGCCCTCTCATGGATGAGGATGGCTCCTGGCCCAGGTAGGTCGTCAGCTCTGCCTGGGTTGCCTTACAGTGAGACAGAGCTGCCCGTGTCAGTGCCCTGGAGGTGAAGGGAAGAGCCTGTGCCTGCTGCGTGGGAGACTGGTCCAGGGACAGGGAATCAGGAGTGGTTGGTGAGACAGAGGGGGTGGCCTGCGGGCCCGGGCGGTGGTAAGTGGGCCAGGGCTGTCCCTGGGAGGGGCGGCCTTTCCTGACGGACTCTGTTCCCATGAGCATTTGACCAAAACCCAAATCAAGAACCACAGTCTTGGCTCAGAGGTCACTGCCTGTTTGTACCAAGTCCCCAGCTAAGGGCCAGGACCTGACCAAAACTCGGGGTGTCTGTGGCCTGAGGATGGTGTGTCCTGGCATGACCAGTCCAGACCACCAGCTCCAGTTAGTTCAGAGGGTCTCAGCCCCCGGGCTCTGCTCTTTCCTTGCTCCTTCAGGGCCCCAAAGCCCAGGACCCAGCATCCATGGGCCGCTGCCGGAGGCCTGGCAGCTCCGCTAACTCCATCATGGCTCATTTGACAGCAAAGGTGTCAGGAAATAAAATGTACTGACAAGTGGCTGAAGATGCTTGGAGACTGGCCAAAATATAAGAACAGCAAGAAGGTGACATGGCGGTTGGGCCTGGTAGCTCAGGCCTGTAACCCCAGCACTTCGGGAGGCTGAGGTGGGCGGATCACCTGAGGTCAGGAGTTCGAGACCATCCTGGCCAACATGGCGAAACCCCGTCTCTACTAAACATGCAAAAATTAGCTGGGCACGGTGGCGGGCACCTGTAATCCCAGCTACTCAGGAGGCTGAGGCACGAGAATTGCTTGAACCCAGGCAGTGGAGGTTGCAGTGAGCCAAGATCGCACCACTGAACTCCAGCCTGGGCGACAAGAGGGAGACTTCATCTCAAAAGGAAAAGAAGGTAACGTGGGGAGGGAGTGGCCTCCATGACTGCTCTCTGCAGAGTCAGGAGACAGGCACCCATGGCCATGACCTGGCACCATCTGCCTCTCAGCAGATGGGTGGCACTCCATCCCCATCATAGGACAGCAGGCCTGTTTACCGGCTTTCCTCCCCAAGTCACTACACATCCTGTCTCACTGGAGTGTTCTTTTGTCTGTAGCTGTCTCGAAGCAGGTACAAAGGCATTCCCCTGGTGTGAGGCCAGGCGTGGGCACTTCTGCTAGACATTGACAAAGTCAAGTCCCAGAACCCAGGAAATACAAGGTAAGGCCCTCCCACACTCAGCCAGGGCAGGACAAATAGGCCAGGCTGTGTCAGGAGCCCAGGACTCCAGCCGGAAGGAATGTCAAGCCCGGGTTGGGGGTGGGGGCTGTAGTCAGATGCACATACTAGGCACAGACGGTGACACAGGCACCACAGGTGTGCTGGGCTCTGCTGACCCTCCCTGGCTTCAGAAACAAGGCAAAAAAGGAACTTTCTGCAGAAGGAAACCTTCCTCCCTTCCTTCCAGAAGTGCTGACTGTGGGATGACAGCTGTTAGGGGCAGGGAGTCTTTTGTCTGTTCTGAGGCTGCTTCCTCCTCTTGGCCCTGCCCTACAAGTCATGAAGGAGAAGGGCAAGAGGTCCTCCAGGATCACCCACCGCATCAAGGCAGATGTCAGCCACACCCTGCAGAATCACATGATGTTTAGAGTATTCCCGGGCAGCAATAGTCCTGGGCCATGTGCCCATACTCACAGGCATAGGTGCCTCTCGGGGGTTTCAGCACTTCTTGAAAATTCAGTGTTTGTGACCCACCAGGACGTAGTAGGCAGGACTCAAGCTCACTTGCCAGCATGGACACCCAAGCAAGGGGGCGGCTCAAGGGGTCAAACTGAGACAGAAAAGGGTTGAAGCCCAGACTCCTGGTGTCACCTGGATCCGACCACCATGTCTCAGATGAAGAAATGACCTTCCCCTCCTGGCGTTGCCCCAAAGCCCAGGAGCTTGGCAGGGGCGCATGCAGATGGTTCTGGCAGGAGACAGGTTTGACAAGTGGCTGGGGTGCCTGATGGGCCAGGCTCTTGTCATGAAATGAGTTGGCATCCTGAGGAAGCCTCTTCTTCACCAGAAACCAGACAGAGATCCAATTTCCCCTTTGCCTGAACCCCATAGGAGTGCAGCAGACAGGGAGGGGGTCACCCAGGTGGCTGTTCCTGCTCGGTCCCCACTTTCCAGACCATTCCAGGCAGGGAGAGCTGCTGAGCCGACTCCATGGGCTGCCACATGGGGTCTGGACCCAGCCGCCCTCCTGTGCCGGGCAGGCAGCCCTTGAGTCGCCGCAGGACCCTTTGTGTGGTGGTCAGCACCCTGCCGCCTGCCCTCGTGGTGGGTGCACTTCACAGGTGCTGCTCCGGGCCTGGCATAGTGGCCTCCCCAGCCTGCCTAGGGGAAGGAGCATAAACAATCCCTGACTGTGCCCTTTAGGGCCATTTGAGCTTAGACGCTCGCTGCAGGAGTCCCCCAGGCTCTTTGTCAGCTGAGTCATACGTGACCTGCTCAGTCCTCATGCCCACCCCAAATCCCCGGGGGCCTGTGGCAGGTGTCCCCAAGGATCTCTGCCATCTCTGGTGATGTGAGTCTTCCCAGGTGGCCTCAGCCCTCCCAGGTGACATCCTTCCACGGTGACTCTGGCTCTTGCAGGAGGTGGGCTACCACAGGGACCTGAGCCGCAACACTGCCGTCCTCCTTTATCTGCCGGAGGAAGATGCTTTCTGGGTGGCTGGCTCAGCTGCTGGCCGGTGAGAGGCACTCCCTGCAGGGTAGGTGGACAGCTGCCCCCAGGGCCTTACACAGTCATGCCAGGGGACAGCCACTCTGGCCGGTGATCCCAACTTCCAGTCAAGGTGCTTTCCTTGTATCCCAGCTTATTTGGAGCCTCCAGGATGTCCCTGCTGAGGTCCCACAGCAGCCTGGGTCTGGACATGGACCCTTAAACCTCAAGTCAGACACGTTTCATCCCTAACATCAGAGAGCATTGACACCTTTTTCTGGCCACCCTCTGTTGCCCGAAGCCAGCCCCAACTTTGTGCAGGCGCCACTCACCTCCCTGAGTGTCCTCCTGCCTCCCAGCTGGCTGTGCTCCCAGCCACCCTCCCTTCCTATGGATGGGCCGATGAAGCCAAGATGGCAATGTCTGCCCATCCCATGTCCCCCAGCCTGATCCCACATCCAGGAGATGGCCACACAGCCCCCAGCTCCCACCCCGGTCTCCCCGCTAGCACCTGCCTGCCTCGGCCCTACCTCATGGTGTCAAAGGCAGGCTGCCCTCCTGGCACCTCAACCCAGGATGCCGCCGGGCAGCGCTCCCAGCCAGGGCCCTCCTCCCCAGGGCTGAGGCCGCATGATGGGGTCACCAGATGGGAAGGAGGGAAGCCTCGGGGTCCGGGGTCCCCCATCTTGCCCAGCTCTTCCAGCTGATGCCTCCACATCTTGGGCGTGGGCTCTGATGGGGTGATGGGTCGGCAGCTTCTCAGTATTCCACAGCCCAAATACTGCCCAGCTCCGGAAGCTCCTATCACATCAGGAGCAGGTGCTGCACAAGTCCTTCCCAAAGATCATGAGACAGCTGGTGAGTGGATGACACCCTCTGCTCCTCCCCATAAGCCCTGGGCCCCACAGGCCAGGGGAGGCTCTAGTCTCTCACAGAGCTGACAAGAGGCCAAGTCCCAACCACAGCCTGACCTGGGATGGGGATTCTCCAAGGGTTCGGAGTTGGGTTTCCTTTTCCTGCCCTGGGGGAGGCAGAAGGGCTGGGACCAGGGCCAAGCTCTGGCTAAGCAGGGCTAAGGGAAGTATGTCCACTGGGCATCCGTGCATGGGGCAGGTGTTGGAGCCCTGGCCACCGCCCTGGATTCTGCTCCTTGAGGAAGGGTCTACAGAGGGGCCTGGAAGTGGGAGGACTTCAGGGCAGCCCAAGGGGCCCTGAGCACCTCTGCTCCTCCCTTCAGGGCAAGGAAGGGCTATGCATTGAGGGTTCCATGCTGACGAGGCTCCTCCAGTGTTTCCTTGATGGGGTAAGGAGGCACAGGGAGACCCCAGCCCAGGGACCCTCCTGTCCCGCAGTGCCCGGCACCCCCAGCCCAGGGGTCGAGCTCCGCCAGGAGGATTCAGATCCCCTCCAGCCTGCAGGAGGCACAGGCAGTTCCCTACAGGGCACATAAACCAGGCTCTGCCTGAGAGGGGGCATCCCACGGCAGAGGCCAGGGCTCAGGCCCAGCCTCATGGGGAGACTGGGCTAGGACCCAACTTGGAGGGGCCCAGGGAAGCCCCAAGTCCTCAGGAAGCCCCTTCTTCCAGAAGCCACCTCACTGCTGAGATGAGTCCCCCATGAGGAGCTGCAGGACCTTGTCTGACCGCAGCCTCATGGAGGGGTCTCATCCCATGGAAAGGGGTCCTCAGCACTCCAGAGGACTGAAACCCCAATGGGTCCTGCTCAGGCCACCAGCCCCAGCCTGGAAAGGCCAGGTCCTCCCACACCTGCTGTCCCCAAAGAAATCCTTCGGGCTCACCCTGCGACTGTGGGATGTGCTTATCTTGGAGGGCGAGCAGGTACTGACAGCCATGGCGCATGCATCATTCAAAATACACAGGGGTAAGTCCCATGTGCCTGAGGGTGCCCAAGGGAACACGTGGGACAGACCTCCGCTGGCCTGAGGGAAGCGTCCTCACACTGTTACCATGACTCTCTGCTCCATCCGAGCAGAGGGCCTGGCCTGGTGGGCTGGGCAAGGCATGATGACACTGAGTCCACCCCCCAACATGACCCAGATGAAAGGAGTGTGGGGAGCACTTCCCTGCCCGGCCTCCCCTAGCTGTGGCCTTCTGTGCACAGCTCGACCCCGGGGTGGCCAAAAAGGACCCGGCACCACCCAGTGGGAGGTAGCCCTGGTGGAAACGGGGTGCGGGCACTGACCCCTCCCAGGGAACCCTCCTGGCCTGATGCCCGCCCTCTCCCTAGAGCACCTCATGAAGCTTTCCTGGAGCACCGTCTGGGAGTTTCAGGAGCGACTCTCTCAGAGCTGGGCCCTGGAGGACAACTCGGTCCTCAGGAACCTTCAAACCTCTATGAAGGAACTCACAAAAAAACACTGGGACCTGCCATCCCCAGGTGGGCTCCAGCACCAGGTCCCCTCCGGAGTCTCCCTCTGGGGCAGTCAATGGTTGGGGGTGTCCTGGCCCCGCCAGCCCTCCTATCTGGCCTTCCTCCTGCACCTCTTCTTCCTCCTCTTCCTCCTCTACTCTAAGAAAGTCAAATGGGTCTGCCGCTCCTCAGGGCAGGCGCTGAGCGCATGTGTGTGTGTGTGCTGGACATGCTGAGTGGACAGGCAGGGGCCATGGGCAGGAACCACCAACACCCCTCCCGCACTTTCCACACTGTCCTCCTCTCCTCCTCGAAGGGCCCTGAGGGACACTGGGGCAGTCAGACCCAGCTGTGGAAGCCCCCACCCCCACCTTCAAGCAGCCTCAGAGAGCAGCAGGGACCCCTCATTCTTGAGTGCCCCTCCAAGGATGTCAAGACAACAAGCCAGGGAGACAAGAGAATCAGTGTCCCTGACCCAAGAGGATTCAGGCACAGGATAGGGGAAGCCCTGACCCAGAGCCAGAACCAAGAGTTCAGCTGGACATGGGATTGGTCCAGCCCTGGCATGGGGTGAACAGCCTGGAGGGCAGAGGGGAACCCCTGCCCGGGACCTTCTCATGCTCTGTGGGGACAGGCCCCCATGTGTGGTGGCAAGGGGGCTGGGTGACAGTGCAGGTCCCTCCCAGTTGAGTTCTGAGTTGGGGCTGCCGAACAGTCCTGAGGTGAGGGCATGAGGCAGGAAGCCCTGAGCCAGCCTGAACACTGGGGGCCATTTCAGGAGCAACCTGAGGTTCCCTGAAAGCTCCCTGACCCCAGACTGCACACAGTCCTCGCCCTGAGATCAGCAGCCTGCGGGGGCATACTCAGTGTCAGGGACCCCGAGGACTCCAGAGACCCAGGCCTGTGGGGCCCAGCCCTGAAGGGACCCGATGAGCTTGGTGAAGATGCCGACCACGTCTGTTTCTTTTTTTTCAGGAGAACTCGAGAGAGGGTCCTCGAGGGTGTCTCCTGGCATTAGGCCCCTCTGTGAGGGGGACAGATTGGCCCTGCCCAGCCCACCAGCTCAGCTCCAGGGGCTCATGCCATCAGCCCCCCAGGACAAAAGCCTTGTCCTCCCCCAGCCTGGCCTGACAGGGTTGTCTCCATGGCGGAGGCCAAGGCCCAGCAGCACGAAGGGGCTTCCCCAGAACCCAGGGCAGCAGGCTGCTCTCTGGGTGGCCCAGAGGATCAAGATGTGGCCACCCTGTTTCCCGGTGAGGTCAGGCCTCGTATTACATAAAAATACCTGTGCTGGGACTCTATGCCACACCTCCACACAGACCTGGATGCTGGGATCCATGGTTTCCTTACTACAATTTTGAACAGGGCTACTGGGCCCCTGTCACTTCAACATGTTACCTGGACAGCCCTGCAACCACACGACGGGCCTGGCCCAGCAAGCCCACTGGGACCCCGACACCAGGCCCTGCCCAGGCTTATGACAGAGGAGGCAGGTCAGGAGACACCCCAGCAACAAGGCAGCACCTGCCTGCGATGCCCCTCAGTAGAAGAACGTGGCATGGAAGGAGCCCAGGTGGCACACGCCCAGCTGCGTCGCAGCCCCAGATGGCTGCTGGACCTTGGTTCTGGGCCTTGGAAAATCCCATTCAGCGGGGCTTGGTCCCATCAAGGCCTCTGGAGGGAAGGCTAAGCATAGGGTTCCTGCAGCCCCAGCCAGCCAGCCAGCCAGCAGCATGCCCTGGGGCCTCTGACCCCACCTGTGAGTCCCAGGCCCAGAGGTCCCTGGCTTCAACTCGAGTCCTAGGAAGAGAGAGGCACCAGAGGCACCACAGGCTCCCAGGGTGACCACAGAGGGGACCAGGGCACTGTGAGCCCTGATGCTGTAAGGATTCACATCAGAGAACCTGGGCAAGACGGGAGACCGTGCAGTAATGAGGATGTGGAGGGCTGGCTCAATGCGGCCAACAGCTGTGAACACTGCTGCCTCTTCCCAGCCTCATCACTGCAGTGCAGGCAGTCTGATCTCTGGAGCCCAGCCCAAAAGTGTCCTGAGTGCCCCGGCTTCACATGCCAATATGCCACCTGGAGGCTTCAAGGCCCTGCCTGCTGCACGCCCGCCTCACCATTGCTGAGCACCCCATCTGATGATGAGAGACTTGCTGTGGATTCCTGGGCCGGCACCATTTCCCAGGAGGACCAGCGGGCTGCCTGTGGGCAGGCCGCCCACACTGTGGAGGGGGCTGAGATCAGCCTTCACTGTAGGAAGCCCCTACCTGGACACAGACTTGCCGGCTCTACCTATCGCCATCATGGCAGCCTACATGGCATTACTTGTGACCAGGGTGCCCCATCCAGGTCGGTCTGCCCTGGCTGCTGTTTTCCCTCCTGCCACCCTCTCTTTGACTGCTTGTGTCAATAAAAGGAGAACTGGCCAGTTTTCAGAATAAAGTGTAGCTTTATTATGACATAGGAGAGATTACAAAGCATTAGGGGAGGAGGAGGAGGAGCAGTGACACAGCTGCTCATAATGAGAGGGGAAAGGAAAGGGTAAACATCTTGGTAAATAAAGTCTCCAACCACAGCACAGTCATTGGAATTTTTTTCTTAATTAATTTTTATTTTCAAACTTGTAGTCAATGAAACAGTCACTTAAATTGTCAAAAGAACAGCAATTTTACAAATGAAAAGCATACACGCCAAGCCATATCATGAACCAAAATAAAATTTGAAGGCCCTTCACCTCCCCTGTGACCATCTAAATGTGTCACACACATTTGAACCAGACTGACTCCATCTTGGATAAGGTCTAGGTAAGGTAAGTCTGACACCTACTGGGCTGCATTTGCAGAAGGTTACCCATACTTAGTCATAGGATAAGACAGGAGGTCAGCACAAGATACAGGTCACAAAGACCTTGCTGATAAAATAGGATGCAGTAAAGAAGCTGGCCAAAACCCACCAAAACCAAGATGGGGATGAAAGTGACCTCTGGTTGTCCTCTTGCTCATTATACACTAATTACAATGCATTGGCATGCTAAAAGGTACTCCCACCAGGGCCATGACAGTTTACAAATGCCATGGCAACATCCAGAAGTTACTCTGCATGGTCTTGTCAATGAAAAAGAGTCAAACTCTATAAAATGTTTGAAGAGATTTATTCTGTGCCAAATATGAGTGACCATGGTCCGGGACACAGCCCTCAGGAGATCGTGAGAACATGTACCAAGGTGGTCGTGGTGCAGCTTGGTTTTATACATTTTAGAGAGACTTGAGACTTCAATCAAGCATATTTAAGAAATAAATTGGTTTGCCTCCAGGTAGCAGTCTTCAGAGAGAGGTTATAAAATGTTTCTTATCAGACTTTAGGTCTGTGCTGATGTTAATGCTGGGGAGGTATTTTGATGGTTATTTCTTGATTATATGCTATACAAGGGTCGATTATTCATGCCTCCCCTTTTTAGACCATACAGGGTAACTTCCTGACGTCACCATGGCATTTGTAATGTCACGGTGCTGGTGGGAATGTAGCAGTGAGGACGACCAGAGGTCACTCTTGTCGCCATCTTGGTTTTGGTGGGTTTTGGCTGGCTTCTTTACTGCAACTTGTTTTTATCAGCAAGGTTTTATGACTTGTATCTTGTGCTGACCTCCTATCTCATCCTGTGACTTAGAATGCCCTAACTGTCTGGGAATGCAGCCTAGTAGGTCTCAGTCTTATTTCACCCAGCCTCTATTCAAGATGGAGTTGCACCGGTTCCAGCGCCTCTGACAAGAGTAACAAAGTTGCTGCATTTTAAAATTCTATACATGCAGCTTTCGTCCTGCAGACTATTCAGCAAGATAGAAACCAAAAGCTTGTACCTCTTCTAAGGAATACTTCCACTCAACAAAGACTGTTCTGCAGTAACCTTTAATTAATGCAACTAACAGGAAATAAGACTATAAAACACTAGACAATTAAAATTTAGGAACGTTTTCTGCTTTTTGAACAACTGTATGCTATGGCTACTTAAAAACACTTTAAACAATCACATCCGAAATCTTATTACTTATCTCAACTGAAGCAGTAAGTGCACAATTTCAAAAATGGCCCTACTGCAGAACGTCACAGCTAAGTTTTAATCACATGCGGAGAAGGCTGTGGACCATGGGGAGAGGGCCGGGTGCTTCTCAGCTCACACTCTGGGGTAGGTGATTAACACAAAGGCTGAGGGGCATCCAGTTTGGCTCTGGGTTCATTTACATGAGGAGGTTGGAACAGCAACTGCTGACACCAATACCCAGCATAGTGCAAAGCTGAGGGACAGAAATATCGAGTCATCTGGCCAAAACAAAAGACAAACTAGCACCAGAGACCGCAGCCAACCCAGGCTAATGCCATATCTTTGCTCAGTCCTGGGTGTGTGAAAGAGCCCTGATTTGGTTCTGATGGAGCACAGCCTTCTGGCCAGGAGACATGCCCCTGCCATGTGGGTGAGGAAGGCTTCCCACTGTCACAAGCAGTCCGTGAGCATGGCGGTTCCCCACACGTGGCTGTCCCCATTTACCATGCTGCCCACACTCCCTGGGCTCAGGGGCCAGACAGAGTGGAAGAGCTGGGGAGATCCAAGCTGATGTCCTAGAAAAGGTCTATGGTGGTGGAGACTCCACCGGTAGCAGAGAGAACAATGCACACCTAGGGCCTGGCGGCGCAGCCCTGAGACTGATGAGAAGCGCTGGGAAGGCCAGCCCACCAGGCTGTTCAACTCAGTGAACCACCAAAACAGGTCTTTGTCCTCTAAAAGACTCCAAGTTAAAATTAACCGGTAGGATATCGCCTACAACTAGCAGTGCCAGCCCAGAGGCCACAGGTAACCTACAGGCAGCCAGGTGCCCTGTTACCTAAGTATAGGTGTTCTCAGAGCACGGCATTTGAACCAGCCTCATCAGCATCGGCTGGGAACTGATTAAGAGTGAAGAAGCCCCTGCCCCCCACAGACCTGCTGAATCAGAAACGCCAGCACGGGCTTTAGGAAGGCCTGCAAGTGACCAGCCCACACTCATCTGAGAATCACCCTCAGTCTCTCTGCCTGTATGGACGGACTTCAGCTGCAGGTCCCTCACCCTGGGATCTCCACCGTGAGGAGTGGGGAGGAGCCAATCTCGGCTGAAGTCATTCAGTCCTAGCCTACCACCTCCAGCCCTAAAAGCTGCCCCCACCAACTATCAACGCCACACACCTCTGAGTACCTCAGGAGGGCGCCACCCTGGGGCCAGGCTGTGGGACTATGCTGCAGGAGAAGCCAAGGTCCCATGAGACTCCAAGAGAAACTTTGAAAACAGAAGGCCTGGATTGGCATGAAGAGAAGATCTAACCCAGGCTCAAGGCAGCACTGGGAAACAAACTGCTCTATACCGCATCCCAGCTCTCTGGCTATTTCAGAGCAACCATCAGGCTGGGCAGGGATGGCTCATGCCTGTAATCCTAGCTCTTCGGGAGGCCGATGTGGGTGGGTCACTTGAGGCCAGGAGTTTGAGGCCAGCCTGGCCAACATGGTGAAACCCTGTTTTTACTAAAAAATTAGCTGGGCATGGTAGCATACTCCTGTATTCCCAGCTACTTGGGTGAGCTGAGATCACACCACTGCACTCCAGCCTGGGTGACAGAGCGAGATTCTGTCTCCAAAAAAAAAAAAAAAATCTCCTTTTGGAGACTCCCCAAGGGGAAGGAGACTGTTGGGAAGTTAGGCTGTGTTTAGGGGATGTTCAGAAGCCTCAGGCCTGGTAATCTGGGGGACTCTAGAACCACCAGGGCAGGCAGGAGCCTCAAAGCGCAAACCTAAGAGGGCCCCAAGAGCTTGCTGTTCACTGTGACGGGTCACAGAGGGCCACCTGCCATGCGGCTGTAACTATTAATACTGCCTCTCCTCTTAAAAATACACTAGGAAGAGCCTCTCTGAAGTCATTAGTTATGGTGTTTCTTATTGGAAAAAAGACGAGAATAAAATCTACAAAGAAATCAAATGAGTGGCCCAAACTCTATTCTGCACGAGTGCACACTCGCTTTGCTTTCCCTTAGAGGAAAACATCCTGCTCTGACTCCTGGATGGGCGCGGGTGCAGGAGGGTGAAGAGCGCGGAGCCCCCCTTTGAAGTGTGTGGGTAGAGCAAGTCTAGGGCTGCAATGAGGAGTGAGTGGTTTTATGGGATGATAGGACTTTTTTTTTTTTTTGAGATGGAGTCTCGCTCTGTCGCCCACGCTGGAGTGCAATGGTGCGATCTCGGCTCACTGCAAGCTCCACCTCCCGGGTTCACGCCATTCTCCTGCCTCAGCCTCCTGGGTACCTGGGACTACAGGCACCCACCACCACGCCTGGCTAATTTTTTTTGTATTTTTAGTAGAGATGGAGTTTCACCATGTTAGCCAGGATGGTCTTGATTTCCTGACCTCGTGATCCACCCGCCTCGACCTTCCAAAGTGCTGGGATTACAGGCGTGAGCCACCGCGCCCAGCAAATTTTTTTTTTTTTTTTTTTTTTTTTTTTTAGTAGAGACAGGGTTTCACCATGTTGGCCAGGCTGGTCTCAAACTTCTGACCTCAGGCGATCCGCCCACCTCGACCTCCCAAAATGCTGGGATTACAGGTGAGCCACCACCCCGGCCAGACAGCCAGATGATAGAACTTTTATGGTGTTTACCCTTTCACTCTGCAGAGGCATCTGACCAGGCCAAACAATAGAACTTTTATGATGTTTACCCTTTCACTCCGCAGAGGCATCTGACCACTTCTCACCACCTTCATGCCTGCTTCAAGCCACTCTCATCTCTCCCTGGGGTCATTGCAATTCAATTCTAATGGGTCTCCCAATTTCCCAGTGGTTGCCCCCGTAGCTGCTCTCAGCACTGCAGCTGGAGGGAGGCACCCTGTGAACCCTGAGTCAGATCATGCCCCTTCCCCTCAAAACCCTTCCCTACAGCACCCACCCTACTGTGGCAAAGCCAAGGACCTCGAAAAGCACCCAACCCCCCATAATCTTGACCTCCTCCCACCCATCTCCCTTACCCCATTTTTTCCCGCTCTCATTGACTTCTTTGCTGTCCCCACAACTGGCCAGGCTCCCACCTCAGGGCCTGGCTCTGTGCCATCCACTTGCAATGTTCTCAGGGCCCTCCACGCCTTCTGCAGCTCCTTGCTCAATTGGCCCCTTCTCATTGACTCTTCTTGACCTCCCCACTTGAAACTTCAAATCTCCCCAATCCTGCTCCTTGTTCCCCAGGTGCCCTGGGTCTGGAAAATGCTATGTGGGAGTGGATGCTTCTAGAAGCGTACGGGCCAAGGCTCATGGCTGGATAAGCATCTGAGGTGCCACAGCCCAAATGGACATTTCCTGACCTTGTTATATGAATTAAACTTTCAAAAAGTTATTATGATATAACTTACATCTTACAGATGTAAGATGAAGACTTACATCTGCTGTGAGTGCACAGCTCCAAAGACTTACAGATGGAACTCGCCAGCCCCCAGATCATGAAGCAGAACATGCCCAGGCCCTCCCAGCACTGCCCCTGCAACCACGGCCTGACTCTGTAGGCCAGCCTCCTGTGCTTTTTACACAGAGGGAATGATAACCTCCTCAGTTTTTTAAAATGAACTTTTACTTTTACTCTTTGAATGACTTTAAATTTACAGAAAAATTAAACAGATACGATAGAGTTCGCCTGTGCTTTCCATCCAACTCTCCTTAAGAATGACATTTTGCAAACCCCGTCTCTACTAAAAATACAAAAAATTAGCCGGGCGGGGTGGCGGGCGCCTGTAGTCCCAGCTACTCAGGAGGTTGAGGCAGCAGAATGGCAGGAACCTGGCAGGCGGAGCTTGCAGTGAGCTGAGATCACGCCACTGCACTCCAGCTTGGACAACAGAGCGAGACTCCGTCTCAAAAAAAAAAAAAAAGAATGACATTCTGCATAACCCTGGCACATCTGTCAAAACTAGAAATTTAGGCCAGGCATGGTGGCTCATGCCTGTATCCCAGCATTTTGGGAGGCCAAGGTGGGAGGATTATTTGAGGCCAGGAGTTCAAGACCAACCTGGGCAACACAGCGAGACCCCATCTCTACAAAACATACTAAAAAAAAAACCCCAAAACAATACAATCAGCTGGGCATGGTGGTGCGTGCCTGTGGTCCCAACTACTCAGGAGGCTGGGGTGGGAGGATTCCTCGAGCCCAGGAAGTCAAGGCTGCAGTGAGCTACAACTGCACCACTGCACTGAGCTACAACTGCACCACTGCACTGCAGTCCGGGTGACAGAGCAAGACCCGGTCTCAAAAAAACAAAGAGGAAAGGAAAAGGAAAAAGGAAAGGAAAGAAAAGGAAAAAAGAAGCAAACGGAGAATGAGGCATGAGCCTCTCGTGGGATTTATTCCTGCTGTTTACGGCTGGAAACCCAAGGGCAACACTGTCCAGGGAAACACTGAGGCCCAGCTGACGACACGTGCTGGGCTCCAGAGTCTGCACCTTCACCTCAAAGAGGCTTTAGCCTCTCATCTCTCTCCTCTTCTCATCCAGGCTGTCTCTACACCAGCAGCGCTCAACCAAGATGCTTCTGCCCTCACCATCAAGAGACAGGTAGCCGTGCCTGGGGACACTGGGGTTGTCTCAATGACAATGGGGGGGATAGGGAGGTGATCTACTGGCATCTAATGAGTAGAGTCCAGGGATGCTGCCAACCATCCTAGGACGCACAGGACAGCCCCAACACAAAGCTGATGTGCTACTCCATCCCCTTTCACAACTGGACCACTCCTCCCTGGGGTAATTATGAGACTTCGCACAACCACAAGCAAAATCCATTTGTTTCACAAGGAACACACTGGAGACAGCACCCAGTCTGAGAACTCCATGCTACAGAAGGGTTTTGTTTTTGAAAACCGAAACTACAGAATAAATATCCAGAGAGAGAGAGGGAAACTTCACCATATGGGTTCAAATGAGCAACCTGAGTATTCTCGGCTCCTGGTGGAAAGGGAGGTGCTAATCTCAGGGAAGCCCATCTCCTGTGGCACCTGCCACAGCCTGGTTTTGAGCTGCTCCTTCCACTCCTGGCAAAAGAGGAGCAGATACTTGGGGAGGAGCAGATACTTGGGCAGCCCCATGACTAACTGGGCAGCCAAGACCAAGACTCTTATGCACGCAGATGCCCCCTGGTGGCTCCCCCTCCACCAATGCTGGAGGAAGCCGGCCACCGGCAACTGCTCCCAGACTCAGGGGCCTGAACTCCTCCTCTTCTCTCACCTGGCTGGGAACTGTGCCAGCTGAGGGCCTCAGAGCGGGCTGTGATGAGTTTCTGAGCGTCAGAGCCCTCGAATGGGGCTCCCAGCCCTATGCTTTGGCTTCCCCGGCTGTAGGAAACCTGTGGGACACAAGGACAGGTCACTGGATTCAGGATGAGATGAACTGGGTTCCAGTCCTGACGCTGTCCTGACTGGCTGTGTGACCTGGAGCAAGTCACTTAACATCTCTGAACCTCACTCTCCTACCCACTGAAATGAGGAAGTCAATGTGTTGAGCAGGGTTTGGTGAAAATGTTTCTCTCCTGGATCCTGAGTGGTGGTGTCACTGACTACACGTTCTCCGGAAGGGGATTTGGTAACATGAATCTAGAGCAGGGGTCTCAAACTCAGGTGGCCCTGGGAGCCAGGTAGGTGATGTAATAGAGGGAGCGCCCATTAGCACAAGGGCAAGGGCAGCTCTGATTTTTTTTTTTGGAGACAGGATCTTGTTCTGTCACCAAGGTTGGAGTGCAGTGGCATGATCTTTGCTCACTGCAGCCTCTACCTCCTCAGCTGAAGTAATCCTCTCACCTCAGCCTCCCGAGTAGCTGGGACCACAGGCGCAGGCCACCATGTCTGGCTAAGTTTTTGATTTTTTTCTACAGACAAAGTCTCCCTATGCAGCTCTTAAAAAATATTTTTGAGGTAAAATTCACATCAAAATTACCATTTTATTTTTATTTATTTATTTTGAGATGGAGTTTCACTCTTGTTGCCCAGGCTGGAGTGCAATGGCACAATCTTGGCTCACTGCAACCTCCACCTCCTGGGTTCCAGTGATTCTCCTGCCTCAGCCTCCAGAGTAGCTGGGATTACAGGGGCCCGCCACCATGCCCAGCTGCTTTTTTGTATTTTTAATAAAGACAGGGTTTCACCATGTTGGCTAGGCTGGTCTTGAGCTTCTGACCTCAGGCGATCCACCCGCCTTGGCCTCCCAAAGTGCTGGGACTACAGGTCTGCCTGGCCTCGGTACCATTTTTCAAGAGCCTGGCTCTTCCCCATTGAATGATCTTGGCACTTTTGTCAAAAATCAACGAACCTTATATGTGAGGGTTTATTTCTGGACTCTCAATCTGTTCCATTGATTTCCATCTCTCTCCTTATGCCATGACCACACTCTTTTCATTACTGTAGCTTGTAATAAGTTTTGAAACCAGGAAGTGTGAGTCTTTCAACTTTGTCCTCCTTTTTCTTCTTTTTTCTTACTTTACTCATTTTTTAATTTTTGAGACAGGGTCTCAGTCTCACCAAGACTGGAGTGCAGTGGTGCAATCATAGCTCACTACAGCCTCAAAGTCCTGGGGTCAAACCATCCTCCCATCTCCGCCTCCCAATTAGTTGGGACTACAGGCACATGACACACACCTGGCTATTTTTTTTTTTTAATTTAGTTTTTTGTAGAAACCAGTCTCGTTATGTTGCTCTTCTGGTCTCAGACTCCTGGCCTCAAGTAATCCTCCAATCTCAGCCTCCCAAAGTCCTGGTATTACAGGCATGAACCATTATGCCCAGCTTTTTTGTCCCTCTTTTTCAAGATTGTTTTGTTTCTTTGGGATCCCTTGGAATTCCACACCAATTTGGGGATCAGCTTTTCTATTTCTACAAAAAAGGCCATTGAGATTTTGATAGAGATTGCATTGAGTCTGTATTTTGCTTTGGGTGGTATATAGCATTTTAACAATATTAGGTCTTCCAATCCATAAACCTGAGCTGTATTTACAGGCATATAGGCCTTTAATTCTGTTCAGCAATGTTTCATAGTTTTTGTGCACAAGTCTCTCACCTTAAATTTATTCTGAAGAATTTTATCCTTTCGGTTTCTATTGTAGGTGGGTTTGTTTTAATTTTCATTGCTAGTGTATAGAAATAAAACTGATTTCTGCGTGTTGACCTTGTACTCTGCAACTTTGCTGAATTCCTTTATTAGTGCTAGTAGCTTTCTACTGGATTTTAAGAACTGTCTTTATGTAAGGTAATTTCATCTGTGAATAAATAGTTTTATTTCTTCCCTTCCAACATGATGCTTTTTATTTATTTTGCTTGCCTAATTTATCTGGCTAGAATTCCAATACTATGTTAAACATAAGTGGTAAAAGGGGGCGTTCTGACCTGTTCCTCCTATGTTAGGTGAAATGTTTTCAGTCTTTCACCAGTGAATATGAGGTTGGCTGTGGGTTTTTCATAAATGTGGTTTATCAGCTGGCAATGGTGGTTCACGCCTGTAATCCCAGCACTTTGGGAGGCCAAGGAAAGTGGACAGCTGGAGCCCAGGAGTTTGAGACCAGCCAGGGCAACATGGTGAACCCTGTCTCTACAAAAATACAAAAATCAGTCAGGCGTGGTGGTGCATGCCTGTAATGCAGGCATGTGTCACCACACCCAGCTAATTTTTGTGTGTTTAGTAGAGAAAGGGTTTTGCATGTTGGCCAGGCTGGTCTTGAACTCCTGGCCTCAAGTGACTTGCCTGCCTCAGTCTCCCAAAGTGCTGGGATTACAGGTGTGAGCCACTGCACCTGGCCTTCATGGAACCATTATTAATAATAATGGCCAAAATGCAGAAACAACCCAAATGTCCACCGACTGATGAATGGATAAACCACATATGATATATCCATAAAATGGAATATTATTTGGCCATAAAAATGAACTACTGATACATGCTATAACACAGATGACCTTTGGAAACATTATGCCAAGTTGAAGAAACTAGTCACAATACACCATGTACTGTGTGATTCCATTCATGTGAAATGTCCAAAACAGGTAAATCTATAAAGACAGAGAATAGATTAGTAGTAGCCTGTGGCTAGGGAGGAATGAAGACTGACAAAGTTTCCTTTTAGGGTGATCAAAATGTTCTAAAATTAGATTATGGTGACAGTTGCATAACTCTGTAAATACATTAATACTAAAAAACATAGACCCGTACACTTTAAACAGGTGAACTTTATGGCACGGGAATAATATTTCGATAAAACTATTTACTCAAGGGGAGGCAAGAACTGGGCAGCTGGAGAAAAAGAAGGAAAAAAAGACTTTCTATCATATCTTTCAATACTTTCTGGGTTTCAAGCCACCTGACTAATACTATCTATTCAAAAGCAAGTCTGAAATCAAAGGATACAAAAAAAATTAAAGACAGACCCCTGATTCTCCCCTAGTTTGGGCTGGGGAGTGGAGAGGGAGGGAGCTACCGCACACCCTGCCATAGTGTGAAGCAGTGGCTGAGTGGAAGGCCGGTAGCGGGTTCTATTGGACAAGGGCAGCTTTGGGGAGTTTCCAGGACCCATTCATGGCCTGGAAGCCACCAAAGCCACTGGACCTGAGGGGAGACAGTGCCCTATTGACCAGATGGCAGTTGCCCAACTGACCAGAGGAGCTGTCCATGCCCTTCCTCTTCTACCACCATCTCAACCCACATAAAATCTCAGAACCCCCATGAAGCCCCAAAGAGAAACAGGAAAACCCTAAGACTGACACAGCCAGGCGGAGTAGAAGCTTGAGAGAGAAGCTCCGTTGACAGAAAAAGAAAGGAAAAACTCCTCTCAGGCACTAGCTCTGTGGGCTGGGCTCACACTCTGGGCAGCGCAGACTTGGATGCAGGAGAGACTCTCCCCTGCACCCTGAGACCAGACAGCAGCCAAGGAGGGTGATTCTTAGAGCCCTCTGCTTGTGCCTCATGTGCTTGTCCGGTTAACAGATGCTGCTAGATCTCTGTGGTCAAATTAGCTTGAAAAATGCTGGGTTAAACAAAGTCAAAGCGGCCAGGTGTGGTGGCTCACGCCTGTAATCCGAGCACTTTGGGATGCTAAGGCAGGCGGATCACCTGAGGTCAGGAGTTCGAGACCAGCCTGACCAACATGGTGAAACCCCATCTCTACTAAAAACACAAAATTAGCCAGGCGTGGTGGCGCATGTCTGTAATCCCAGCTACTTGGGAGGCTGAGGCACGAGAATCACTTGAACCCGAGAGGTGGAGGTTGCAGTGAACCAAGATCGCCCACTGCACTCCAGCCTGGGCAACAAGAACAAAACTCCGTCTCAAAAAAAAAAAAAAAAAAAAAAAAGAAAGCCAAAGTATTTTTTTTTAAACTGCAGGCCTTCTTTCTCAGAGCCTTCTCTTGTGTGCTTGTGACTCTTCAAGAGGAAGTCTGGCAGGTTCAAAGCACTTTTGTGTTTTTGAGGCATATCTAATAGGAAAGACAGTCTTCTTTGTTTTACAGCTGACGGGAAGTGTCTCAGCCAAAGTCCCAGTGTGCGTCAGGGAACAACTGGCCAGGGCTGATTCTGCAGCACCAGACAGCCTCTGCCAGCACCAGGTCACAATTCCGGCTGGTCCTGACTCGTGGTCCCAGGGCTCTAAGCAACATCATCCTGTGTCGAGGCAGCCTTTGGTCACCGCTTTGTTCAATTCTCAGAAAGTTTATGTACTTGAGCTCCTGATCAGGTCCGTATCTGGGGACATGGTTAACTGGACACAAAAGAAGATCAGAGAACAGATTCGCTCCCTGCCTGGGGTGTGGGGACACAGCAGCAGGGAAAGGCTGTGAATCCAGGCTGTGTCCTAGGTCCATCCAGCGGTGGGTTCCATCTGCACAGTGAGACGTGCAGTTTTCCCCTTGACCTGTTAAGATGTAAATTAGCCGCACCCCCTCCCACCCCCGTGCCTGCGCCTTGGGTCTCAGGAGCCCAGGTGAGTGGCTGGGGTCCAGGCTCCTGGGGTCCCATGGGGGCACTGCCCACCAGTGCGCACAGAGCAGTGGAAGGCCTGCCTGGCCTTGGGATCAGGTATCGACTGTGGGATGGCCCAAGTCTTCTAGATCCGGCCCTGGCCACCCCTTGGGCCTGATCTCCTGCCCCCCGGGCACACATCCTGGGCCAGGACAGCTCTCCAGCCTCCCAGCATCACTGAGAAGGCCCTTCCCTTTTCCTGGACATACTTATTCTATTCATTGCCTAGTCAGCTCCTCCTGATCCTCCTTCAAGGCTCTGTTGAGCTGTCACCTCCTCCAGGAAGCCATCTCTGACCCAGCCCAAGTCAGGTGATGCTCTTTCTCTGTGTCTCGTTGGCCCTGTCCAACACCTAGCAGAGCACTGGAAAGGCTGAACCCTAGGCCTGGACAGCCTGGGTTTCAATCTTGACCCTGCCGCACACCAGTGGAAGGCCTTGGTGACAATTTATGGAACTCCTCTGTGCCTCTACTCCTCTCTGTCCCTCTGCATAAAAGGGGATGAGAACATTGCCCATCTCACAGGTGGTTATGAGCATGAAGTGAGGGAGCACAGTTACGTTCTTAGAGCAGGTTCTTGGTACACAGTAAGTCCTCAATAAAGGCCGTGGAGGATGAATACTATGGCCCGTATTGCACCGCATGGCGACTGCACTCCTGTGTCTTCCCGATCCTCTGAAACTTCCCAGGGGATGGGAAGCCCAGCAACAGCCAAAGGCGGAGTGAGAGGAACGTAAAAGCCAAAGAAAGTCCATGGGCCCTTGGGAAGAAACTGAAGGACGAGGAGGATGTGAGCAGGTGGAGAGGAAGGAGGGAGGCTCCAGGAAGCAGCTGGAGCAGGGTGATGGTGCACAGAGCAGGAGAGGAGAAGCAGATGGTCAGCAAACACAGGAAATGTCCAGTCTCCCAAAAATCAGAAAAACACAACTGAACAATGGAAAACTAACTTTCAGCCATCAGGTTGCAAAGTTTTAAAGTTGGTAACATCAAGGGCAGGGGGGTGATCTACAGAAGCATGAACTCAGGGCCCACTGGAGGGAGGGAGCTGGCAGCAGCGTTCTGGAGAGTAACCAGCCAGGGTCAGTTAAATGTACAACACACACCTAACCCACCCCCCAGAAATTCTCCTCCTCCATGAGCCTCCTGATGACAGCGAGAAACAGGAAACAATGTAAATGTTCATGCAGCAGAGGATGCCTGAATAAGCAGGGTGCACGGGGCAGAGCCAGGAATCTATGCTACAATTAAGAGCGTGAGACAGATGTGGAAGCTCTCGGGACAGATATTGAGTGAATAAAAGTAGTTTATAGCGTGAGTCTTACAGTACTGTTACTGGAAGGAAGGGAGCGTGAGTTGTCCAGGTCCTTGCCGTTTTGAACAAAGAATTGAACGAAACACACAAAGTAACAAAGAAATTAAACACAGGAAGGAAGCAGGAAAGCAGGGATTTATTAAAGCCAGAAAGCACTCCACAGGGTGGGAGTGGGCCCGAGCAATGGGCTCAAGGGCCTGGTTACAAAGTTTTCTGGGTTTTAAGTACTCCTTTTGAGGACCCTATAGGCTAACCCTTACCTGGATGAAGGATTTGGTCGTGGCTAACTAAAGGCTGGGGCAAACTGGTGCCCTATGCTGAGGAAGGGATGGCTCGTGCTTGGCCCTGGCCAATCCAGGGCACTCTCCCTTTCCATCTGAGACGTGGTGGAAGGGGAGGGCTATAGGAGAGGAGCCTTTGATCCTTTGCCACTTGGGTGTGGGGAGAATGGTTTGTGTGGGGGGGTGGTAGCTTTAGGAAGGTCGCATTAATTGGCCTTAGGTTCCTTGCCCCCAGATCCAGCTGTTCTCTCTTTAGGGAGTCAGCATGAATTGACCCCAGGTTCCCTGCCCCCAGACCTTGGTGGTTTCCCTTGATTCACCTTTAGGAATTCAGCATGAGTTGGCTTTAAGTTCTCTGCCTCCAGACCCTATTCTCCTGCCTCAGTATGATAAACCAAACATCACACATACACACACACACTCACACACACACTCGCACACACATACACTACAGTGCTGTGTCGTTCGTGATCATGCACACGTGACTGTGAAGCATAAGAAGCCTGCAAGGACATGCATGATGACACTGGCTACCACTGGGTGGGACAGAACTGGGGGTGACCGTCAAAGGGGCCTTTAGTGCTATTTGTAACTTTTAAATTTCATTGCTTGTGTCAATGAACAGTAGCAAAACAACAGCTGGGCTCTGGCAGGTGGATTTCTAAGAAAGAGGTAACAAACAAATCCCACTGCTAGGAACTTTCTGTCTGTAGAAACAAGCAAGCCTACAGTCACTACAGGATGCTCTTGTTGTGCCCCACCTCCCCTCCTGGTTGCACACCTCCAGGGCTGGGGTTCTCACCACCTCACAGAGCTGCTGACTCTAATACTACAATACTGCTCTAATATTGTAGTTTCAAACATGAAAACAGCAGCCTTTAAAACTCTTAAACTCGTCCCATCACAACTTGCTAAGGGTTACGGATTCCAGCTTTTGAGATCCAGGTGAGATGCAGGGACTCTCTACCCATGCCCTTGCCTGATTCACCAGTGTCCAAGGGTCCATGGCATGGCAGGACCCAAGGACCACAGCCAAGGTGCCACCCATGAAGGTGTGGGGTGGCTGTGCCTCATCATGCTTCTTGGGAGGTGACAGAGGATGCAGGAGAGACTTAGAGCTGAATTCCACACATTCATCAGAGTGACTTCCAGGCCAAGATCCCCCGGCTGAAGGAAGGCAGAGGCAAAGCAAACAGCATCCTTGGCCTGGCTGAGGTCTGAGGGCATCAGGACAGAGACGGAGACAAAGGACCTGGTGGCACCACATTTGCAGGTGTCAACCTCAGAACTGCAGAGCACCCACATGACAATTTCTGGTCATGGCTAGGGACTTTCTAGCACTAAAGCATTGGTGACTGTCAGCCAGGGGCCCGGGCCCTTCTCAGCTCCTTCTCATGTGCCCCTCCCTCTTCAAGCCACCAAGAACATTCAGAGTCCTTCTCATGCTTTACACCTCTTGGCTTTTACAGGGCTCTGTGATCAGGTGGGGCACATCCAGACCACCTCCCTGTGTCATATAAAGGGAAGGACATTATTCTGGGGAGAGTCATGGAGATTATCCTTAGAATTCTATCTGTCACATTCACCCTCTTGGCTTCCTGTCCCTCCAGAATTCTTACTGGAAAGTACATTAGAGATGGAGATTTCCCCATCGTAACACAAAACCAGGAGCTCAGAGTAGACTCTTAGATGAAAGAAAAGGAGGTATAGGGGTTCCATGGGTCAGGGCTGCCCTTGGCTTGGAAAAGAGCTAACACGCATCAGGAGCATGAAATTTGAGGACTGAGAGTAATTTGCAGGGCCTTCTTGGGAGTGACTTATTCCAAAAAGACCCCAGGATGTCTGAGTTGAGCAGAATGTGTGGAAGGGTCTCCTAGGAGCACCATTTTGAGCTCAGTGTGGGCCTCACTTGATAGTGAGAGCAGACTCATGTGCTTTTACTGGGTCTCAATTCTGGGCCACTCAAGATGTCAGGCAGCTGGCCCAGGGCTCTGCAGGTGGGTCTGGCTGCGATGCTCACTTCCCAGTGCTGCTGACCTGAGGCGACCACCATTGTGTCACTTCAGCTCCTATTGGCACAGTCACGGCAGTGATGACCTCCTTACTTTGACCTTCCACACCTAGTCCTTGGTGGGAAATAAACCTTCATGCAGACACCAAAGCCCTTCAGGGAAGAGGTGCAAGTGCTCGAATGTCACCTCCCTGACTACTGTATATATACTGCACCATTCACCCAACATTCCCAATCCTCCTTCCCTGCTTTATTTCTCTCCACAGTAATATCCCCTTCAAATATGGTACATATGTTACCTTCTATTTCAGTTAACTGCCAGACCCAATGACAATGTAAGTTCCATGAGAGCAGGGACTGTTGCCTGTTTCATTCACTGTGGAAACCCCAGCACCTACAATATTAACTGGAGCTGAACAGGTCCCTGAACACAAGTTCATTATTGGATTAATATATGGAAGGAGGCTGAAAGAAACCAGAGATGACACAAATAAGTGGAAAAATATTCCATGATCATGAATCGGAAGCATCAATATCATTAAAGTGGCCATATTGCCCAAAGCACTTTACAGATTCAATGCTATTCCCATCAAACTACTCTTCACAGATTTAGAAAAAACTATTTTGAAATTCATATGGAACTAAAAAGGACCCTGAATAGCCAAAGCAGTCCTAAGCAAGAACAAAAAAGCTGGAGGCATCATACTACTGGAATTCAAACTATACTATAACTCTACAGAAACCACAACAGCATGTTGCTAGTATAAAACCCAGACACATAGATCTTTGGAATAGAATAGAGAACTGAGATAAAGCTGCATACCTACAGTTATCTGATCTTCAACAAAAACAAGCAATGGGGAAAGGACTTCCTATTCAGAAATTGATACTGAGATAACTGGTTAGCCATATGCACAAGAATGAAACTAGACACCTACCTTTCACCACATAAAAAAACTAACTGAAGATGGATTAAAGATTTAAACGTAAGACCTTTGGGAGGCCGAAGCGAGCAGATCACGAGGTCAGGAGATTGAAACCATCCTGGCTAACATAGTGAAACCCCGTCTCTACTAAAAACAAAAAAAATTAGCCAGGCATGGTGGCGGGCGCCTGTAGTCCCAGCTACTCAGGAGGCTGAGGCAAGAGAATGGCGTGAACCCAGGAGCCGGAGCTTGCAGTGAGCTGAGATCGCGCCACTGCACTCCAGCTTGGGGGACAGAGTGAGACTCCATCTCAAAAAAAATAAAAAATAAAAAATAAAAATGCAAGACCTCAAACTATTAAAATTATAGAAGAAAACCTAGGAAATACCCTTCTCGACATTGGCCTTGGCAAAGAATTTTTGGTTAAGTCCCCAAAAGCAATTGCAATAACAACCAAAAGAGGTGGAATCTAATTAAACTAAAGAGCTTCTGCACAGCAAAGAAAACTATCAACAGAGTAAATAGACAACTTACAGAATGGGAGAAATATTCACAAACGATGTATCTAATATCCAGAATCTATAGCAAAAACTTAAATCAACAAGCAAAAAACAAATAACCCCATTAAAAAATGGGCAAAGGACATGAATAGACATTTTTCAAAAGAAGACATACAAGTGGCCAACAAACGTATGAAAAAATGCTGATCATCACTCATCACCAGAGAAATGCACATCAAAACCACAATCAGATGCCTTCTCACATTAGTCAGAATGGCTACTAAAAAGTCAAACAAATAACAGATGCTGATGAGACTGTAGAGAAAAGGGAGCACTTATACACTGTTGGTGGAAATGTAAATTAGTTTAGCCAGTGTAGAAAGCAGTTTGGAGATTTCCCAAAGATCTTCAAACAGAGCTACCATTTGACCCAGCAATCTCATTGGATATGTACCCAAAAGAAAACAAATAATTGTACCAAAAAGACATGTGCACTCCATATGTTCATTCCAATACTAGTCACAATAGCAAAGACATGGAATGAACCTAAATACCCATCAATGATAGACTGGATAAAGAAAATACGGTACATATACATGATGAAATACTACACAGCCATAAAAAAAGAAGGAAACCATGTCCTTGGCAGCAAGACAGATGCAGCTGGAGACCATTATCTTAAGCAAACTAAGGCAGGAACAAAAAACCCAATACTGTATGTTCTCACTTATAAATGGGAGCTAAACATAGAGACACAGAGACACAAGACGGGAACAACAGACACTGGGGACTCTGAAAGGGGTGAGGCAGGGTCGGGGACAAGGCCTGAAACGCTAACCATCGTATACTATGCTCACTACTTGAGTGATGGGATCAACTGTACCCCAAACCTCAGCATCACACAATATCGCAGTCTAACAAACCTGCACATGTACCCCCTCAATCTAAAAATACATACATATGTACACACACACGGAGAGCGACAGGGATTGAACATAACCTATCATGCTGTACTTTGGTGAGGTAAAAAGAAAGTCATTTTAAGTAAAATGCACATGGCTACTGGTTTTCAAAAAGACTATGAACCATCTGACTTTCACCACTTTTTTTTGGCTTCCTAACTCAGAGAGAACGAGCCTAAGAGGCATCATAAACAAACAGGTCTAGACACCATATTTTGTGAAGAGTAAATAAACCAGACACATATTTATATTTCTAATTTTACAGAGATTTAACAATGAATAAAAATTACTCCAGGCAAAATGAGTTTTGGGTTTCATCAAATGTAAAATATTTTGAAAGCTAATCCAAAATATTCACACACACACACACACACACACACACACACACACACACAATCACGCCAGCAGGAAATACTATTCTTATGATCAAGATTGGAAACATCTTATTTTCTATCTCTTCCCCGCAATCTCATTATGACTAGGTTACATCATAAAAGGGCACTAATGAACACGTGAATTGCCTTTGCATATCCACTCTGGCAGCTGCCTCGGTCCATTTCTGTCAGGTGGGGGACAGCACAGGTGGCATCAGTGGGGTCATTCTTGAATGAATGCTCTTTTTAACTGTTTTCTTCAATTTCCTGTTACCATTCCTATTTCCTTTATGCTAAACCTCCTGCAGGCAGCCGCCTCCCTCTAGCTTTTTATTCTTTCCAGTATTCTTGGCAGCATGGCTGACGGGCTGGGGAGGCTGTAACCAAGGGGCCTTCCTTCATGGTATGGTCCAGCCTCGGAACGGGGCGGAGGCAGAATGGACAGGTAGCAGGAAGAACAAACAGGGGTCTGAGGTGAGTTTATACTTTGGGAGCCCCTATTACTGGTCAGTAACACGACAGGTTTTCTTTTCTTTTCTTCTTTTCAGACAGGGTCTCCCTCTGTCACCCAGGCTGGAGTGGAGTGGTGCTATCACAGCTCACTGCAGACTTAAACTCCTGGGCTCAAGCAATCCTCCTGCCTCAGTGCTGGGATTCTTTTTCTTTTTTTGACATAAAATGAAAAGAAGGTAATGGCAGTGGCAGATACAAGATATATATATAATCTTGGTAGATTCTGGTTTTAAGACATGTGACTGCTGATATGATGGAGACTCCCAGCCCTGCTAATTTACTATCTGGGCTAGGTCTTGGCTGAGGCTGGGTTTTCCCTGCCAGCTTCTTTCTTTCTCTGTCCCCACCTCCCCAAAAGGTTTGAGGCTGGGAAGCGAGTGTTGTGGTGCCAGAATCTTCGAAAAGTTTAGCAAAATATTTTAAGAATGCAGTAGGAGTTGGTGATTTTAAAGAGGGTTTCTATTTAGTGTGAAAGATACAACAATAAAGCTTCTGCAGGAAAACATACGACAGTATCTTCATGATCTTGGAATAAACAATGTCTTACACAGAATACAAAAAGCATTAACCGTTAGAGAAAAGATTGATGAATTAGACTTAAGAACTTTGTTCATCAAAAGAAGAACATTTAAGGCACACTGGATGAAGGTATTTGCCACACAATTAATGACAAGGGACTTATATCAAGAATACATAAAGAACTCTTAAAAGCAATAAGGAAGATAATGACGATCTGATTTTTTTTTTTTTTTTTTTTTTTTTTTTTTTTTTTTTTTTGTGAGACAGAGTCTCTCTCTGTTGCCCAGGCTGGAGTGCAGTGGCACAATCTCGGCTCACTGCAACCTCCACCTCCCAGGTTCAAGCGATTCTCCTGCCTCAGCCTCCCAAGTAGGTGGGATCACAGGCGCCCACCACCACACCTGGCTAATTTTTGTATTTTTAGTAGAGACAGGGGTTCATCATGTTGGCCAGCCTGGTCTCGAACTCCTGACCTCAGGCTATCCGCCCACCTCGGCTTCCCAAAATGCTGGGATTATAGGTATGAACCACTGCTTCCAGCTGACAATCTGATTTTATAAATGGGCAAAAGTTCATGTTCTGCTTACAGAGCCAATAAATCTCACCCCCCAAACAAGGATGATGGTTTCTAGCTTCATCCATGTCCCTGCAAAGGACATGAACTCATCCTTTTTTATGGCTGCATAGTATTCCATGGTGTATATGTACCACATTTTCTTTATCCAGTCTATCATTGATGGGCATTTGGGTTAGTTCTATGTCTTTGCTGTTGTAAATAGTGCTGTAATAAACATATGTGTACATGTGTCTTTATAGTAGAATGATTTACATTCCTTTGGGTATATACCCAGTAATGAGATTGCTGGGTCAAATGGTGTTTCTGGTTCTAGAACCTTGAGGAATCACCACACTGTCTTCCACAATGGTTGAACTAATTTACACTCCCACCAACAGTGTAAAAGCGTTCCTATTTCTCCACAGGCTCATCAGCATCTATTGTTTCTTGACTTTTTAATAATTGTCATTCTGACTGGTGTGAGATGGTATCTCACTGTGGTTCTGATGTGCATTTCTCTAATGATCAGTGATGTTGAGCTTTTTCTCATATATTTTTTGACCACATAAATGTCTTCTTTTGAGAAGTGTCTGTTCATATCCTCTGCCCACTTTTTGACGGCATTGTTTTGTCTTGTAAATTTGTTTAAGTTCCTTGTAGAGTCTGGAAATTAGACCTTTGTCAGATGAATGGACTGCAAAAATTTTCTCCCATTCTGTAGGTTGCCTGTTCACTCTGATGGTAGTTTCTTTTGCCGTGCAGAAGCTCTTTAGTTTAATTGGATCCCATTTGTCAATTTTGGCTTTTGTGGAAATTGCTTTTGGTGTTTTAGTCATGAAGTCTTTGCCCATGCCTATGTCCTGAATGGTATTGCCTAGGTTTTCTTCTAGGGTTTTTGTGGTTTGGGGTTTTACATTTAAATCTTTAATCCATCTTGAGTTAATTTTTTTATAAGGTGTAAGGAAGGGGTCCAGTTTCAGTTTTCTGCATATGGCTAGCCAGTTTTCCCAGCACCATTTATTACAGAGGGAATCCTTTCCCCATTGCTTGTTTTTGCCAAGTTTGTTGAAGATCAGATGGTTGTAGATGTGTCTTGTTATTTCTGAGGTCTCTGTTCTGTTCCATTCGTCTATACCTCTGTTTTGGTACCAGTATCATGCTGTTTTGGCTACTGTAGCCTCGTAGTATAGTTTGAAGTCAGGTAGCATGATGCCTCTGGCTTTGTTGTTTTTGCTTAGGACTGTCTTGGCTATACAGGCTCTTTTTTGGTTCCATATGAAATTTAAAGTAGTTTTTTTCTAATACCGTGAAGAATGGCAATGGTAGTTTGATGGGCATAGCACTGAATCCATAAATTACTTTGAATTTATGACCTAAGTATGACCAGTTTCACGATATTGATTCTTCCTATCTATGAGGATGGAATGTTTTTCCATTTGCTTGTGTCTTCTCTTATTTCCTCGAGCAGTGGTTTGTAGTTCTCGTTGAGGAGGTCCTTCAAGTCCCTTGTAAGTTGTATTCCTGGGTATTTTATTCTCTTTGTAGCAATTGTGAATGGGAGTCCATTCATGATTTGGCTGTCCGCTTGTCTATTACTGGTGTACAGGAATGCCTGTGATTGCTACACATTGATTTTGTATCCTGAGACTTTGCTGAAGTTGCTTATCAGCTTAGGGAGTTTTGGGGCTGAGATGATGGGGTTTTCTAAATACAGAATCATGTCATCTGCAAACAGAGACAATCTGACTTCCTCTCTTGCTATTTGAATACCCTTTATTTCTTTGTTTTGCCTGATTGCCCTGGCCAGTACTTCCAATGCTATGTTAAATAGGAGTAGGGAGAGAGGGGATCCTTGCCAGACTTATCTTTAAAGAAAGTATTTACAAAACACCTATCTGAAGAAGAACTTGCATGCAAAATATACCAAGAACTTGCAAAATTCGAAAGTAAGAAAATAAACTACATTTAACAAATGGACAAATATATGTAGCAATACCTCCCAATAGTAAATATTCTGATGGAAAATCAGCATATAAAGACATGGTGAACACTAGGGAATTAGGAGAAAAAAGTAATGCACTGTACGCTACGGAAAGCAAATTCAAACAGCAATGAGATAGACAGCCTATACATCGATTAGGACAGTTCTATAAACAACAAACAAGCAAAAGCCAGCACTACCAATCCTTGGCGAGGATACAGAACAGGAACTCTCCTTCATTACTGGGGAGACTGCATAATGGCATAGCCACTTCACAAGATAGCACGGCATGTTATTGCAAAGGAAACTGCAGCATCACATAGTGTGCAGCAACCGTGCCCCTACACATCTACCCAACTGGTGTGAAAACACATCCACACACAAACCAATAAGAAAATACACACAGCAGCTTTATTCACAATGACGAAAACCTGGAAGGAATCAAATCATCCTTCAGTGAACACACAACCAAACTGTGTCACTTGTAACCCAAGGCAGGAACAGGTGATGGAGACACATGAGACCTTTAGGGTGCAGCAGAGGAAATGGGGACAGACACATGAGAAGGCAGCACTGCAGCCACAAGGATTTCAGATACAAAAGGAAGACACTGACCACAGGCACATGGTATGGCAGCACTTGAGGACAGATATGCCTGCAGGCACAGGGCAGCTGGGGAATGAAGACACTTGAGGATGGATATGGACCTCTAGGTGATGAGTGAAGACCCAGGTATCCTGACATGGGCCACATGGACAAGGAATGGATACAAATGAGGGAAGACATGGGCTACATGCAGAGGGACCAAAGACAAATGAAGACTGGCATGGGAGGCAGGCGCAGGGGAAGGAGACAATCTAGGCAAGATCTGTACTGCAGGCTGAGAGGACGGCAAAACCTGACAACACACAAGGGCAGACATGGAGAGAACCTGCAGATCAGGCACTGGGATGGAGATGCACAAAGCATGGCATGTGTGCAGGGACACAGGGATGAAGACATTGGGAGACAGACAGTGCTGCAGGCACAGGGGTTGGAAACAGCTGAGTGCATACAGGAGATGCTTAGATCAGAGCTTAGTGGAAACATACACCCTAAGTGAGGATGTCAGAAAAGACAGACTGAAAATCAATCATCTCAGCTCCCTTCTCAGGGATCAAAGCTAAGGAACAATCAAACTGGAAGTATACCGAATAAAGGCAATAAAAAACATAACAGCAGACATCAATAAATAAAAAATAAAGCACAACAAAAACAAATCAACAAATAACATCAATAAACCATTAGTCAATGTGATTAGGAAAAAGAGAAGTTAACACAAACCATCAATATCAGAAATCAACACAGACACATTCTTCACTGAGCCTGTGGACCTTAACAAGAACTTAAGAGGACTTTGTGAAATATGAGGGTCTAAAAATTCAACAGAGAACAAAATGCACCACATTTAAAAACCAACTTACCCAAACTGACCCAAACATAACATGAAATAGAAAAACTCCTAGTCTACTAAACAAATTGAATAAATTCTTGGAAAAAAAAATCAAACCAACAAACAAAAATGTTCCAGAAGTAAAACTCCCAGCTCATAATTATGGAATAGTCCATACAAAGAAAAACACTAAAATGAAAATAAAGATAATATTTAAAAAATTTTTTGTGTAGCTGGCATTACATTGAGGACACAATTGGACCAGGACACATTATGGAACACAAATGAATAAAATTATGTCACCTCTTTCATAAACAGTGTGTATCTCCTTTTTAATAAACAGAGCTGGGGCCGGGCGCGGTGGCTCACGCCTGTAATCCCAACACTTTGGGAGGCTGAAGTGGGTGGATCACAAGGTCAGGAGATCGAGATCATATTGGCTAACACGTGAAACCTCATCTCTACTAAAAATACAAAAAAAAAAAATTACCCGGGCATGGTGGTGGCCGCCTGTAGTCCCAGCTACTTGGGAGGCTGAGGCAGGAGAATGGCGTGAACCCGGGAGGCGGAGCTTGCAGTGAGCCAAGATCTCACCACTGCACTCCAGCCTGGGCAACAGAGCAAGAGTCCATCTCAAAAAAAAAAATAAAAATAAATAAATAAATAAATAAACAGAGCTACAAATATTCTAAGCAAAATATTATATGAATGAAGCCACCTATGAAAACATACTAGATCAATACTAAATGGAATATACACCAAAATGCAAGGTCCTTACCATTCAAAATAAATCATGTAAGTCATCCCATTAGCAGAAAAATACAGGAGAAAATAGTAAGATCATTCAGCTGAAAAGTTTTTTAAAGCATTTAATAAAATTTAAAACTGAGCCACAAACACACACAAAAAAACTTGAGTAAAACATAAAAAGAGGATGGGCCAGGCACAGTGGCTCACACCTGTAATCCCAGCACTTTGGGAGGCCGAGGCGGGCAGATCATCTGAGGTTGGGAGTTAGAGACCAGCCTGACCAACATGGAGAAACCGGGTCTCTACTAAAAATACAAAATTAGCTAGGCGTTGTGGCACATGCCTGTAATCCCAGCTACTCGGGAGGCTGAGGCAGGAGAACTGCTTGAACCCGGGAGGCAGAGGTTGCGGTGAGCCGAGGTTGTGCCATTGCACTCCAGCCTGGGTAACAAGAGCAAAACTCTGTCTCAAAAAAATTAAAAATAATAAAAAAAAGAAGGCAACTTCCAGCCGGGCATGGTGGCTCATGCCTGTAATCCCAGCATTTTGGGAGGAGAGGCAGGGGGATCACCTGAGGTCACGAATTCAAGACCAGCCTGGCCAACATGGTGAGTCCCCGTCTCTACTAAAAATACAAAAATTAGCCAGGCATGGTGGTGGGTGCCTGTAATCCCAGCTACTCGGGAAGCTGAGGCAGGAGAATAGCTTGAACCTGGGAGGTGGAAGTTGCAGTGAGCTAAGATCGAGCCATTGTACTCCAGCCTGGGCGACAAGAGCGAGATTCCATCTCAAAGAAAAAAAAAAAAAAGCAACTTCCTTAATTTGATGAAATCTGATAAAGTCTAATACTAGCCAATAACATATAACATAATTAACAGAGAATTATGGGAAGCTTTTTCCACCAGTGCAGGACAAGATAAAGATGCCTGCTATCACTCTTTAATCAGCATTGTAGTGGAGAAACAATACAGTAAGAAACAGAAAGGTATTAGGATTAATTTTTAAACCAAAAAATTTGTCATATGTGTATATGACACTATTACATGCCTAGACAATCCCTGAAAACCCCAAAACTGTTACAATTAATAACTTACTGGATACATTATTGTTATCAACCAGATTACTATATACTAGTATGAAACCAGTAGAAAATAATGATCAAACTAGAGAACAAGTATCTATGACAAAAATGAGCCAATAAAGGATCAATTTGCAGATTTAAGATAAATCCTTCAAATCAATATTAAAAAAAGGACCCTACAAAAACACGCACAAAATGAACAAAGCATATGAAGAAAAGTAAGGCATAGAAGCCGATAAACGTTTGCTAAACTCTACCTCACACAAAACCCGCCACTGCAAGTTCCAGGTGACAGGATCCCTGCAGAAACACTGCAGGGCAGGATCCCAGGAGGCAGGACCACCAGGGAAGTGATGGAGCCCCTGCAGTGGGGAGGTCTCAGGCCCAAGAGGGCCAGGTGGCTCCAGACCTCCTGCTCCAGCTTCCCCTTACTCCCCACATCAGGCACAGCCCCACGTGAGTGCCCCGATGCAGGGAGGATTCTGACTGTCCATGTCTTCTCTGCCACTGTGCAGCCTGCTGAATGGCAGCCTCCTTGCCCATTACGTCGTTCCAGGCTTCCCTTTCATGGGTCACCTTCTCCCTCCCAACACAATGCCAGAATCCACCCCAGGAGGATAGGGACCGGGAACCAAACTATGGCACCATGAATGGAGACCCTGCAGGCAGACATGGGTGTAGGCACAGAGTGGAAACATGCTAGGCCTGGCCGACGGGTGACAAGCACAGAGGATGGGGACATTCAAGGGCAGACATGGGCTGCAGTCACAGGAGAGAAGACCTGGGCTACAGTCACAGGGGATCCAGACAAAAAGGGAGCTCACTGGCTACAGCTGCATGGCAGAGAGGCACACCAGGGACAGACATAGGTACAGGTGCAGGACAGAGGAGTAGGTGAAGGTTGGCGTGGGCAGGGGGCACAGAGATAAAGACACCCGAAGGTAGATGTGGCTGTAGGCTGAAGGGTGGAGTCACAAGAGTCCTAATGTGGACTGCATGGACAAGGGCTGGAGACACAGGAAGACAGGCATGGGAAGCAGGCACACTCAATGACAGGCCTCTGCTGCAGTAACAACAGACGGAGGTACTCCACGAAAGAGACTGGCTGCAGGTACAAACACTGGGGATAGGAGTTTTGGGCATAGTCTCCTGGGAGAAATGATCCAGAAAAAGGACAGAAATGGGCTGAAGGCACAGGGGAAGGAGACACACAAGTGCAGACATGGCCCAAAAAGCATGGATGAAAACACTGACTGTGGACATGGATTAGGGGGACAGAGAATGTAGCAAACATAAGCTGGCATGGGCAGAAGCTCAGGGGACCGACAGACAAAAACATCAGAATGGGCTGCAAACACAGGGATTGAGGCACTGGAGGACTGCTACTGCCTGAAGGCTAAGGAGATGGCAACATTCAAGGCAAGCAATGTGCTGCAAGCACACAGGATGGAGACTCACACAGCTGGCACGGGCTGCAGGAGCAAGAAATGGAGACTTCTGACAGGGGGCATAAAGTGCAGGCAGAGGACAGACCAGGTGACAATACACAAGGGCAGACGTGGGCTTCAGTCATTACGGGATGGTGATACTGGTGAGAAGATACAGGCTTCAGGCACAAGGATGGAGACACACAAGGCCTGACATGGCTGTAGGCGATACAGGGTGGAGACACTGGGAGGTCAACGCGGCTGCAGACACAGGGTTTGGAAACACCTGACAGAAAATGTGGGCTGCCAGATAAATCCCTGCTTAGAGAGAAATTTACGCCTCAAAGGAAATTGTTAGAATAGAGAACAAGATTGACAATCAATCACATAAACTCCCTTCTCAAGAATTAAAAACGATCAAAATGAAAGAATGCAGCGTTAAAGTAATAAAGAGCAGACATCAATGAAATAGGAAAAAAATGCAACAGAAACAAATCCAGGATAAAAGTTGGTTTACAGGGTCGGGCGCGGTAGCTCATGCCTGTAATCCCAGCACTTTGAGAGGCCGAGGTGGGCGGATCACGAGGTCAGGAGATCAAGACCATCCTGGCTAACACAGTGAAACCCCGTCTCTACTAAAAAATACAAAAAATTAGCCGGGCAGGGTTGCGGGCGCCTGTAGTCCCAGCTACTCGGGAGGCTGAGGCAGGAGAATGGCCTGAACCTGGGAGGCGGAGCTTGCGGTGAGCCGAGATTGCACCACTGCATTCCAGCATGGGTGACAGAGTGAGACTCCGTCTCAAAAAAAAAAAAACGTTGGTTTATAAATATTAATACACTTAAGAAACCACTAGTGAAACTAACTAAGGCAAAGAGAAAAGACACAAAAAACCAGTATCGGGAATCAAAAGAGAAGCCTGCTCTACAGAGCAGTATATTAAGACACTAGGAGGGTTCTGTGAAATACTTAGGACTACAAGTTTGACAACAGAAATTCAAATAACATCACATTGAAAAATAAACTTCCTAGGCCGGACATGGGGGCTCACGCCTGTAATCCCAGCACTTTGGGAGGTCGAGGAAGGTGGATCACCTGAGGCCAGGAGTTCGAGACCAGCCTGGCCAACATGCTGAAAACCCGTCTCTACTGAAAAATACAGCTGGGCACTGTGGCTCACACCTGTAATCCCAGCACTTTGGGAAGCTGAGGCAGGTGGATCACGAGGTCAGGAGTTCGAGACCAGCCTGGCCAACATAGTGAAACCCCCTGTCTACTAGAAACACAAAAATTAGCCGGGCGTGGTGGCACGCACCTGTAATTCCAGCTACTCAGGAGGCTGAGGCTGGAGAATTGCTTGATTCCAGGAGGCGGAAGTTGCAGTGAGCTGAGATCGCGCCACCGCACTCTAGCCTGGGAGACAGAGCGAGACTCTGTCCCCCAAGAAATAAAAATAAAAATAAAAATAAACTTACTAAAATGGACACAGAAATAACATAAAACAAGAAAACTCCTACATATACCAAAGGATTTGAATTATTAGAAGTCAAACCAGCCAACAAAAATACTGTTCCACATGGAAAATTCCATACCTAAAGAAATATTCCAAATATTTAAGGCAGAAAACACCTAAATTTCTCAGACTCTTCCAAAGAGAAGAAATACAGGAAATATTTTTCAGTTTGTTTTGTGAAGCCAGCATTACGTTGACACCACAATCTGAAGACGACATTAGAAAAAAAAATATAGGCCCTCTCTTTCATTAACAGAAATACAAATATTCTAAAAAAAAAAATCATATGAATTAAACCACATATGGAAATGTAACACATGGTTACCAAGTGGGATATACTAAAAAATGCAGGATTGGTTAACATCCAAAAATAGTTCATGTAAAATATCCTATTTTCAGAAAAATAGGAGAAAAACATATGATTTACAGTTTATGTTAAAAAAGCATTTATTCAAATTCAACAATTAGTCATAAATAACTCAGCGTATGTAAAAGAAGGCAGCTTCCTTAATCTGATTAAGTTTGTCTAAAATGAAATTATAGCAAACTACATAAGGAATACAGGATCACTGAAACCTTTTCCCTGGAATCAGAACCAGACACACCGTGTTCAGGAGGTGTGATCGGGACAATAAAAGAAGAAAATAAAGAAAAATAAAGGTGTAAGAACCAACGTTTAAGCAATATAGCTGTTACTATATGTGGCTGACACTAAGTACATAAGTATTTAAGTACGTAAGTATTTAAATACATAAGTACATAACTACAGGTACATAAGTACATGAAAAACCCACCACAATCCAAAAATGATGGCTATGAATATGTGAATTAAGCCAGGTAACACGATACAAAATCAATCTATAAAATCAATTAGATTCTTATTGATTTTAGCAAGAAAGAAATGTGAAATAAAATTAAGGTACAACGACCAGACTAAAACAAGAAACAACTATCTGCACTAGAAATGACCCCATAAAGGATTAATTTATAGAATACCTTTTTAAATTCTTCAAATCAACGTAAGAACACAAATAACCCAACAGAAAAACCAGCACTGAAAATGAAGACAAAGACGCAAAGGCCAATAAATATTCACAAACCGTGGCTTCACTAACTTATTTCCAGTTCCAGATGACGGGAGGCCCTCAGGGACCCAGAAGGCAGGACCACAGGGAGGTGACAGCGCCAGCAGCAGGAGGGCGGGCCGAGAAGCCCGAACCCTGGCGCTCCTGGCCCCTGCACACGCTTCCCTCCCTCCACCCCGTTCCTCTCTCTCTCTCTGTGCCTTGGGCCCCGTGGGATGCGCTCACATCCAGACTCACCAGGCCCGAGACGTTGGGAGAATGGAGAAGTGCTTGCTAACCGAAAGTCCTCCAGGAACACGTGAAGGACACTTCCTCTGCACCTGGGAACACCCTTCCCTGCTGCTGGCCTCAAGGCAGGCGCGCCGCACACGCTTCCGGTCCATGACGACCACAGCGCAGAGCAGCACGCGAGCCCAACCTCCACGAAGAGAAAATGGCAGAATGGGCCTTCGCCTCCCTTTTACAGTGGCTGTACTCAACCGCTGTATCTTGGAAGCTTGGTTCTGATTGGGTGAGAAGGAACTTTTTTTGACAACTCTTATTGGATAATAGTCTCCTGCTCTGACTGGATAATCTTAACTAATCAGAGTTGGAGACTTATCCAATCTGTGTTGTAGTACAGAGTCTGCTCTCATCCTATCAGAAAGAGGCTTCCAGGATATGTCATTTGAATACAGACATTATAAAAGGGAGGCAAAGATCTGCACCTGCCGTGGAGGTTGGGCTCATGTGCTCCTCTGCATTGGAGTTAGCTACGGAGCATGTGCAGAACACTTGCCTCGTAGGCCAGCCGTACAGAAGGATGTCCCAGGTGCAGGCGAAGTTTTGTTCATGTGTTCCTGGAGGAATTTTCCCGTGGCAAGCGCTTCTCCATCCTCCAGCATCTCAGGCCTGGTGAGTCTGGATGTGACCGCTTTCTATGGGGGCCCCAGGCACAGAAAGATGCAAAGGAGGGTGGATGGAAGGGGAACGTGGGCAGGGCCCAGAGAGCATCAGGTTGCCTGTTTCACCAGGCACCCCTGCTCCGGTGCAAGGCAGAGGCCGACCAGGCCCCCACCCAGCGCCCCTCCTGGGCTCTGGCCCTGGCACCTAGACCCATCCCGCCATTCTCCGCAGCTCCACTGCCCGCAGGCAGGAGCTGCCGGCGTGGAACCTGCGGGCTGCAGTGAGCAGTGGAGGCAGTAGCCGCTGCTCCCTGGATTCCCGGGATGTTTTTCTTTGGCTTTTTTCTTTTTCTATTTTATTTTAGATTCAGAAGGTACATGTGCTTGTTTGTTATATGTATATCACATGCACAATGGGGGGGTTGAACTTCTAGCATACCCATCACCCAAAAATATTGGAGGTTGTACCCAGTAGGTACGTTTTCAACTCTTCCCCCCAACTTTTTGAGTCCCCAGAGTATATTCTCTCCATCTTCATGTCCATGTGTACCCATTGTTCCCACTTGATACACGAGAATATGCAATATTTGGCTGTTTCTGCATTAATTCACGTAGGATAATGACCTTCAGCTGCATCTGTGTTACTGCAAAGGACATGATTTTGTTCTTTTTTATGACTGCCTAGTACTTTGTGGTGTATATGCACCACATTTTCTTTATTTAATGAACCGTTGGTGGATACTTACCTTGGTTCCATGACCTTGCTATTGTAAGTTATGCTGCGATAAACATGGGAGTGCAGTGCCTTTTTATATAATGATTTCTTTCCCTTTGGGTAGATACCCAGTAGTGGGATTGCTGGGTGGAAAGGTAGTTGTACTTTTAGTTCTTTGAGATACCTCCCTACTTTTTCCATAGAAGTTGAACTAATTGACATTCCCACCAACAATGTATGAGCATTCCCGTGTCTGGAAGAGTTTTCCCAGGTTTTCTCCCAGGATCTTTATAGTTTTAGGTCTTACATTTAGGCCTTTAATCCATCTTGAGTTAATTTTTGTACAGGTGAGTGAGAGGGGTCCAGTTTCGTTCTTATGCATATGGTCAGCCACTATTCCCAGAACCACTTAGTGAATAGGGTGTCCTTTCCACGTTAAGTGTTTTGAAGAGCCATTGGCTGATTTTTTTCCTAGCATTATTTCTTGAGCAAAATCCTTCAGTAGAATGTTGATGGAAGTGGTCAAAGTGATTACTCATGTATTGTTCCCAATCTTATGGAGTAAACATTCTTTACCCACTAACTTAGTTTAGGATGTTTATTGTAGGTTTTCTTAGATGCCCTTGACCAGATTGTGGAAGTACTCTTCAATTTCTAGTTTGGTTAGGGTTTTAATCATATGATGGATTTAGCCAAATGCTTTTTTTCCTGTGTCAATCAGATTATCACATCCAAGTCTGGTGGTCAAACCTGTAGACGTGTATAGTCTTATTACACACTGGATAATGGGTCATTCTTATCTCTGCTTTGCCCATGCAGTGCACCAGCCTTCCTGTGCCCGTTGATGGACTGAGAGGAAGATGAGCCCTTAGGATGCCTGCCATGCTCACTGTTAAGGTAGGACTCATCCTTCTCCCATGAGCACCAGTGTTTCTCCTGCCCGTCTCTCAGTGACCATTTCCTATCATTGGCCTGGACGTTCTGGCACTTCAGTTCCCTAACTGAAGGTCTCACCCCACCAAGTTCTTTCCACGGAAGTAGGTCATGCCTACTGAGAACCTTTACAGCTCCCCAGACTCCTCCAGGTGGTCAGTACCTCATAATATCACCCAAGGAAGGCACAGAGGGGATCTGCCCAGTTAATAGAGCTTGTGTTCTGAAACCCACCATCTCACCTTTTAACTCACCAATGGCCCTTTCTCAAGGCCAGGGAAAGGAATGAAGGCTCATTGCTAAAAACCGCAACCTCAACAAGGCTGTACTTCCTTTTAGAGTCCCCTTACCCAGCATTGTCATTGTCTTGGAAGAAGTTCAGAATGCTTCTCCCTCTTGGTTTTGTTACTGACCTGGCAAACATGTTCTATTGTGTCTATTGTGAAGAAGATCAGGTGCAGTTCACCTTCAGATTTGAAGGCTGACAGTACACCGTTAGGAGGCATCTGATGGACTACCTCAACAATCCTCTGCTGGCTCAAGGTTGCATTGACTAGATCTAGCTACCCTCTGACTGCCACCTGATGTCCACTTGTGGCACTATGTGGATAATGTCCTTCTGCCCGATAACAAAGAGGGAGAGGTTCAATGGGCCCTCATATTGACAACTAACCACACAACTCAATGGGGATGAGCCATCGTCCCACATGATACAACAGCCTGCCATTTCCATCAAATTGTGGGGCTATATTTACTTATTTTTTTGGATGTAAAATGTTAGTTTTATAAGAAGAATGGAATTTAAACTGGCATTGTTTAAATGTGGAGTATCCAAATTCAACAGTCTGTACTCATTGATTTCTTCCAAAAACAAAAATTTAAGGGGCAGGCCTGAACAAGTCACTAATTACTTGAAGCTATATGGTTTGCAAATGTTTTGCTCTTATTTCAGTACAGTTTCATATAATGGGATGGGATTTTTCCAAAACTGATACACTATAAATCTCAGTGGACATGCTAGTATCCTTTCAATAAATTTGCATTTCAATAATAAGGACAATATCCAAGTATTATATACAGAAGGCTAAGAAACAGAAGAAATTGCCAGACTATATTATTCAAAACATCAAGAAACTGACGTCTGACTAATGTATTCAATCCTTGTTCTGGAGATCAACATTGTGAATGCATGAATTTCTAAGGGAAAATTTTAAAATTATAATTTACTCATATTATAAATTTTGATGTTGAGAAAATTAGTTTTTGGAATAAATCTTTTATTTTTGTCAAACAATAGAAGAAAAATTTCCAGCATACTAAATAGCATATGACATTATTTATGGCAAAACAAAATGATTCTAATTGATGTTTCCTTTTAAAAATCTAAAGAGTACTCATCCCTTGATCTTTCTGAATTGCCAAATATACTCCCTTAAATTAATAAAATTGAAAATGTAATTATATCAGGAAAGACAAATTATATTCTTATATTCTTTTCAACATCGTTAAGCTATTGTTACTTTTTAAAAATTTTAGTAGGTTTTTGGGGAACAGGTGGTGTTTGGTTACATGAATAAGTTCTTTAGTGGTGATTTCTGAGATTTTGGTGCACCCATCGCCTGAAGAGTCTATACTGTACCCAACGTGTAGTAGTCTCTTATCCCTCACCCTGCTCCCATCCTTTCCCCACCGAGTCCAAATTGTGAGGCTATATTTAGAGTAAGGAAGGCAGACAAAATCTACAACCAGTCAGCCTCAGGCTCGTCACCCTCAGGGTTTCCCATCTCCACCAAGAAGACCCAGGGCATCGCTGGTATTTTTGGCTTCTGGAGAAAACATATGCCAAACCTCCAGTAAGTTCAATTTTTCAGGTCACCTATGAGACATCCACCTTCACTCAGGCCCTTCTCCAGAAGAAGCTTTAAGGGTTGACCAGCAGGCAGTCCAGGAGGCTCTTCTATTGGTCCTCTGGAGGAAGGATTTGCAGATGTAGGCTTTAGGTTTCAAGAACATTGCTTTTTGACACATAGAGGCTTTAGATTACCCAATCAAGGTCTCTTCTTCCAGTGGGCTTTTGGCATAAATCCTGTGTTTAATGTGTTTGACTCTCTTGGGACAGCTGGCTGCAGCTTACCTAGCCCTCTCTGAGATGGACACTGACAGGATCCAAGCCCATCACGTTAAAAATAGATCCCCATTGTGCCTTGGATTTGGGATCCTCATCTTTGCAAACTGGGCACCACCACCGACCATTTCTTGCCAAGTAGAAATGGTAGTCACGGAACTGAGCCAAGCCCGAACGCTTAGGAGTTTCAGTGCCTCATGAGGATTTCAGTCTCTGCTCCTCCAGTGTGCCTGAGGAAGATCTCCAATAAACAGCTACCACTCAGCCTTTGGTTAGTTGGGGCCCTTCCACCAGCTGGGGGGCCATCACATTGTTGCAGCAGGGGTATGCCTGCTTCACTGATGGGGCATGCAGAGGTGCCATCTGGGTAGCTACTAGCCGTCCTTCTGCTTCAGACACCCCCTTCCAGCTGCAGAGGAAGGGTCATTCAGCTCAGTGGGCAGAAACTACAGCCATTGTCCTGATTCTACCATCCAAGGCCATCCTGAAATCCACATCTTCACCAATTCTGGGGCCTTTGCTGATGGCTGTGGGTGGCATCACACTGGATGACCATGATCAGGCACTGGGGTGGGGTTGCTTCCCTTTGGGGGTACATTGCTGATACTTAATAATTGTGCCACTTGTTCACCATGTGTCAGCTCACAGCAGTCACCAAGATGCTGCCTCTCAATATAACCAAAAGGCAGACTGCCTTACCCACATCTCTACCCTTATAGCTGAGACTGTGGTACTTGGACCGGCTGGACCTCCTGGGCACACCTGACTTTGGGACATCTAAGCTAGGCCTGACTGTTAACTTGGATTTACATATGGGGCTTCCTTGTCCCATCCAGCTCATTTGCTTGGGCCGTCCAAGACTGGCTGCTCTGCTGATGAGACATCACTCTTTTTTCTCCCTTAGTCACATTTGGAGAGGTGACTACCCACATGCCAAGTGGCAAGTCGATTTTATTGGCCTACTCCAGCAAGGAGCAGGCCTCACCAGCTATGCTCACTATTGTTGACACTAACTCTAGCCTGCTCCTTGCTTTTCTGTTGATGTTGACAGCCCAGAAGGTCTTCTTCCTACCTCAGTCCTGACCCCTCTGTGGAACCCCCATGTCATTCAGTCCAACCAAGGTACCCATTCTACAATTGAGGTCACCCAACAGTGGGCACTGGGGAATGGCATTCACCTGGGCATTTCACCTTCCATACCAGAAGACTGCAGTGGGCTAATGGAGAGAATGTGTGGGCTGTTGGAAAAACATCCCTTCTTTGTAAACACATTGGCCACTTGACTCCTTCTTGGCACTAATGTCTGCCCCTGGTGCTGGCCCATATTAACAGCTGCCCACTGCTGCCACTACTCATCTCCACACCCAGGAGGCAAACCCGCCTTTCAGTCTTTCTGCATGGTTCTTTAGGCCAACCTGCCACCCCATTGTGGGTTAACTGGACTTTGATGCTACCACAGCCCTTGTCCTGGCCCTAGGAAAGGAATCCTTGAATCATGTTTTCCACTTACCTGTCTTCTCAGGGATGCTATCCATACCTCAGGGCCACCCACCATGGGCATTGGCATCTCAGGGTCTCCTCACCTCTCCCTGTCCAGTTACTGTTATAGGGATGGGTGTGCCACCAACCACCCTGTATTTGATCCCACTTTGAGACATGGCAGCCACCACCACCTCGCTGTCCCACTGGGGGTTCTGGAACCCGACTGCAGAATCAACCCTGCATGAGAGTGAGCTGACAGCTGGCAGACTAGAAAAATGTCCTGGCAGATGCCCTGGGAAGCACATCACCCCCTTTAGGTTTCTAGCGATAAGGTAACTTGGGCTGAATCACATTTCTGGCCTACAGACAGACATACCCCATCCTGGTTATTGCCACTGCTGCTTTTGCTTTATGTTAGTGCTTCTCATTCAGGGCCTCATCTCTATATCCTGGGCAAACCTCCTGAGGATGACTGCCATGCAATGCTCTGGACTGGGAGCCTCCCTGTTGATGTCCTCTACTGTATGGCCTGCTTACTACTAACTCCACGTTGTCTGCCACAAACCTCAGACCTGAAACTGCCCCTCCAGTGCCAATAAGCACCCCCGGGGTCATTTGTACCAAAAATACACCTGATAGTGAGGACAGGACCCTGCTCATACTGTTAAAATGCCATTTGATTAGCATCTCCAGTGTTGGAAGGAGTGCCCTGACTTCTGTTCCTACCACTGCTACTACTACTACTGTCAGCAAGCCTGTGAGCTGTGCTTCCACTTACAGCCCCAACTAGGAACTCTTGAATGGTGCCTCAGGCAGAGGCCATCCACTGGACCCAGTTCACTTCCTGGGGACCCAACTTCTTATGCTGCTTCTGGACTGGGCTGACTCAGGGTCCCATTGTCATTACACTGACTGATTCTGACTGTGCTGCCTACAAGAGTCACTCCAGATTTGACCCCCTTTTCTCACTTTGATTTTTCACCATGCAGTGCCTCCACTGCTAGATTGCCAGAATTCCAACAATTAGTTGCAACATCGGCCTCATGACACCTTCTCTCTGGCACTCGCATCTTTCCTCATGAGAAGTGGAAGCTGGGACTTCACTGCTAATTGACTCCTATCCCGTGGACTCTGCCATCTTGCTATGTGACAATGCTGCTGACTAATATCACTGCCTGATTGACCACAGGCAGCCTTCTGTGTCACAGGCCACTTTCGCTTGTAAGAAGTCTGCTTTTTTCTAACACATAGCAAGCTTCCCTTCTGGATCAGCTTCCATAAACACCTCCTCACCTTTTTTTCTTAGCTTTTCTTTGGACCCCTCTATTGCTGTGACAACTTTACAGGCTAGCGCTTTCGTGACACTCATCTAGTCCTTGAGCCCACTCAGATCTTTCCAATCTTCCAGGAACTACCTCATGCCCATGAAGCTTCTATGCCTTGTACCCCCTGGAGACTAGTTCATGCCTTTCCAGATCACATACTGATTTTTCCACCTGCTGGAAGACTCTCTCATTGTAACCATCCCTGTCGTGCACCCAGGATGGCCACACACTGACCCACCAACCATGACTACATTCCTATCCAGCAAGACCTTTACTGATGTATTTAAAACTTTAGACAAATTAAATTTCACAGATTTTAATTGAGTAGAGAATTATTCACAAATCAGGCAGCCTTCAGGACCAGAAGAGGTCAGTGCTCTGCTCCAAAGCTTGTGCAGGAGGGAGCATTTATAGACGGAAAATATAAGTGAGGTCCACAAACAGCTAGACCAGTTATGGCTTTGCATTTGCATTTATTAGGCATGATTTGATATGTTGGCAGCCTATGATTGGCTGAATCTCAGCTGCTTTTGTTGGTTGGGACTCAGCTATTTGTTACAAAAATACACTCTTAAGTTAGGCTTCAGGTTTCTTTCCATGCTAAGTTATGTTGCAGCTCCATACGTAGAGACTCAAGGTATGGAGGCAGCCTCAGGCCCCATTGAGTTTAACTCTTAGGCCACCCTTATCACTGTTTCTACAGCCTGTGCCTCCTAGAAACACTTGGCATCTCAGTTGTGCTTCGCAGCCATTCAGGATGGAAAGGATCCAAAACTTAGGGTTGATTGGGCCACCTCCAGGATCAAGCTTTTGTGCCTATGACATCACCTCCAGCACACACAGTGTGTTTAGACCTTACTGCTTAGTTCTGAGTCCTCTTGGTCCTGTCCCATTCTAGCCTGCCATTGCTCACAATGCAGCAACTCCAAGCCTACTACCACCCCGACCTTTCAACTCCTTTTACATCCCCATGGAACCATTTTTCCAAGCCTCAGTGTGCCGTGGCTTTTGCTGTCCCAGGTTTCCCAAAGTCCCTCACATAATTGTGTCTTCTGCAGGCCTATTCACCAATTACTCGGCACTCAGGTCATGGACAGTTTTTATCACAGGGTCATTTCAGACACCACCCAGTAGCCGGCCTTTTAGCTCACCAGTCATGCCTTTGCTGACATCCTGCCACCTTACGGTCAGACCCTGGTTATGACTCATTCGCTGCTCTTCCCTCACCATTGGTGAGTCTGCCTCAAGTCTGCAGCTGCACCTCACTCGCAGTATCTCCTCTAATAGGTCAGCCACCAATGGACCTACTATGCCCTCTCTGCTGATGGTGCAGTTCAGTTCCCAGCAACCGTTTCAAGGATGCCACTGATTTCTGTCTTACCATCACAATATGCCCCCCTATGAGAGACCCTCACACTATTTCTAATTTTAATTTATCTTGTGTTGTCTTCTTTGACCCATACTTTACTTACAAGCATATGTTTCAAATCTCCATGTATCTTGGGATTTTCCAGATCTTTCTGTTAACTGATTTCTAGTTTGATTCCACTGGGTATGAAAACATAGAACATATGTTTTGTGATTTCTAATTTTTTTGCATTGTTCAATGTATATTTTATGGCCTAGAATGTGGTGTATCCTGGTAAACCTTCCCTTATTCTGTTGCTGGGTGGAAGTATTCTATAGACATCTATTATATTCAGTTGATTAACCATGCTGGGGGAGTTCAACTAGGATAGTCCTGATTTTTCTGTCTGCCATGTCTGCCTATTACTGATCGAAGGTATTAAAATCTTCAACTAAAATACTGGATGTATCTAGTTCTCTTTGCAGTTCTATCAGTTTTTGCCTTGTGTTTTGATGCTCTGTCATTGGGCATATACATTGAGGCATATATGTGTACATTGATATCCGTGATTGAAAAATTGACCCTTTTAAAATTAACAAATGTTCCTGTTTATCCCTGATGAATTCCCTTGTTCTAAAGTCCCCTCTGTCTCAAAACAAGCTTTTATTTTTATTAGTCTTAGTATAGTGTATCTTTCTGTATACCTTGACTTTTAAACTATATGTGTATTTATATTTAAAGAGTGTTTCTTGAAGATGCCATACAGTTGCATTTTGTTCTTTGATTCACTCTGCATCTGTCTTTTAAGAGATGAATTTAGACCATTGATTAGTTATTGGCATAATTGGATTAATAATAAACCATATTTGTTAACCGTGTTCTATTCATGCACCTGTTCTTTGTTTCTATTTTTCCTTCTGTTACTTATCTGCCTTTTACAAAATGAGTTTATGGAAGGATTGACTTACAAAAAGCAGTAAATATTTAATATGTAAGTTGGATAGTTTTAGAGATAAGTATGTATCTGTAAAACCATCAACACAGTCTATTCTGTAAACATATCCAATAACTCCAAAATTTTCCCTGGTGCTCTTATTTATTATTATTTTATGTGATAAAAACACAACATAAAATACACCCTCTAGGCAAGTTTGTTTTTGTTTTTTTTTTTGAGACAGAGTCTTGCTCTGTCACCAGCCTAGAGTGCAGTGGTGCGATCTTGGCTCACTGCAGCCTCCGCCTCCTCGGTTCAAATGATTCTCCTGCCTCTGCCTCCTGAGTAGCTGGGACTACAGGCATGCGCCACCACGCCCAGCTAATTTTTTGTATCTTTAGTAGAGATGGGGTTTCACCATGTTGGCGAGGATGATCTCAATCTCTTGACCTCATGATCTGCCTGCCTCAGCCTCCCAAAGTGCTGGGATTACAGGCGTGAGCCACCGCACCCAGTTGCAAGTTTTTTAAGTATAAAGTACTGTAAAATTTACTGTAGGACCTATGTTGTATAATAGGTATCTAGAACTTATTCTTCTTGCACGAATAAAATTTTGCACCATTTTTTCTTTTTCTTTTTACAGCTTTATTGAGGTATAGTTGACAAACCTTGTGTGTATTTAAAGTATACAACTTTATTTTTGCTTTATTTATTTTTGCTCTAATCTTTTTATTTATTTCCTTCTACTAAGTCTAAGGTGAGTGTTGTTGACAGCATATCATTGGACCTTCGTTTTCTATCTTTTTGGACAATCTGTTGATGCATTTGATCTATTTGCATGCAAAGTAATTATTTATACTTAAGACTTACTATTGCCACTTGGTTAATGATGTTCTGTTCAGCAATTTTTTTCCCTCACTTCCTGCTTTCTATCTTCCTTTGTGATTTGATTTTTTGTTTTTAGTGATATATATAGAATGATTTCTCTTTCTTTTTTGTATCTAGTGAAAGGTTTTTTTTTTTTTTTTTTTTTTTTGAGGCAAAGTCTCGCTCTGTCACCCAGGCTGAAGTGGAGTGGTACAATCTCGGCTCACTGCAACATCTGCCTTGTGGGTTCAAGCAATTCTCTGCCTCAGCCTCCTGAGTAGCTGGGATTACAGGTGCCCGCCACCACGCCCAGTTAATTTTTGTATTTTTAGTAGAGACAGGGTTTAACCATCTTGGCCAGGCTGGTCTTGAACTCCTGACCTCGTGATCCACCTGCCTTGGCCTCCCAACGTGCTGGGACTACAGGCATGAGCCACCACGCCTGGCCGAAAGTTTTTCTTTATGGTTACCATGAGGCTTGCATAAAAGTTCTTACACTTCATAGTCATCAGTTTTCAGTGGATAACCACTTAACTTTAATCACATACAAACACTGTATACTTGGTCAGATGCGGAAGCATCCTCACACTGTCCCTATGACTCTCTGCTCTGTCCTGATGGGGGGTCTGGCCTGGTGGGCTGGGCAAGACATGATGACACTGAGACCACTCCCCACATGACCCAGATGAAAGTCAGGAGTGTGGTGAGCATTTCTCTGCCTGGCCTTCCCCAGCTGTTGCCTCCTGTGCACAGCTGGACCCCGGGGTGGCCAAGAAGGACCAGGCACCACCCAGTGGGAGGTGGGCCTGGTAGAAATGGGGTACAGGCACAGATCTCCCCCACCAGGGAACCCCCCCTTGCCTGATGGCCACCCTGTCCCTAGGGCACCTCATGAAGCTTTCCTGGAGCACCGTCTGGGAGTTTCAGGAGCAACTCTCTCAGAGACGGGTCCTGGAGGACAACACCGTCCTCAGGAACCTTCAAACCTCCATGAAGGAACTCACAGGGAAACACTGGGGCCTGCCACCCCGAGGTGGGCTCCAGCATAAGGTCCCCTTCCGAGTCACCCTTTGGGGCAGTCAATGGTGGGGAGTGCCCTGGCCCCACCAGCCCTCCTACCTGGCCTTCCTCCTGCACCTCTTCTTCCTCCTCTTCCTCCTCTACTCTAAGAAAGTCAAATGGGTCTGCCGCTCCTCAGGGCAGGCGCTGAGCGCGTGTGTGTGTGTGCTGGACATGCTGTGTGGACAGGCAGGGGTCATGGGCAGGAACCCCCAACACCCCTCCCCCACTTTCCACATTGTCCCCCTCTCCTCCTTGAAGGGCCCTGAGGGACACTGGGGCAGTCAGACCCAGCTATGGAAGCCTCCACCCCCACCTTCAAGTAGCCTCAGAGAGCAGCAGGAACCCCTCATTCTTGAGTGCCCCTCCAAGGGTGTCAAGACAACAAGCCAGGGAGACAAGAGAATCAGTGTCCCTGACCCAGAGAGGATTTGGGCAGAGGGGACGGGGAAAGCCCTGACCCAGAGCCAGAAGCAAGAGTTCAGCAGGGTGTGGGATTGCTGCAGCCCTGGCATGGGGTGGATGGCCTGGAGGACAGAGGGGAACCCATGCCCATTCACTTCTCACCTGCTGTGGAGACAGGCCCCCATGCGAGGTGCTGGGTGACAGTGAAGGTTTCTTCCACCTGAGTCCTGAATTGGGGCTGCCGAACAGCCCTGAGGTGAGGGCAGGAGGCAGGAAGCCCTGAGCCAGCCTGAACCCAGGGGGCCATTCTAGGAGTGACCTGAGGTTCCCTGAAAGCTCCCCCACCCCAAGCTGCACACAGCCCTCACCCTGGGATCAGCAGCCTGCAAGGCTTCTCGGGCATCCTCAGTGTCAGGCCAGGGGGCCACACAGGGACCCCGAGGACTCCAGAGGCCCAGGTCTGTGGGGCCCGCCCTGAAGGGACCCTATGGGCTCGGTGAAGATGTTTCTTTTTTTCAGCCAAGATGCAGTGAGAGTCCTCGAGGGTGACCCCTGGCATTGGGCCCCTCTGTGAGGGGGACAGACTGGCCCTCCCCACCCCACCAGCTCAGCTCCAGGAGCTCATGCCATCAGTCCCCCTGGGACAAAAGCCTTGTTCTCCCCCAGCCTGGCCTGACAGGGCTGTCCCGAAGGCCGAGGCTGAGGCCCAGCAGCACAAGGGGGCTTCCTGAGAACCCAGGGCAGCAAGCCACTCTTTGAGGGCCCCAGAAGCTCAAGATGAGGTCAGCCTGTCCCCCGGTGAGGTCAGGCTTTGTATTACATGGAAACACTTGTCCGGGAACTCTATGCCACAGCTCCACACAGACCTGCATGTCGGGGGTCCATGTTTCCTGTGCTGCCCTTTTGAACATGGCTCCTGGGACTCTGTCACTTCAACATCTTCCATGGACCGCCCTGGAACAAAACGACAGACCCTGCCCAGCAAGCCCACTGGGACCCCGACACCAGGCCCTGCCCGGGCTTATAACAGAGAAGTGGCAGGTCAAGAGACACCCCAGCAGCAAGGTGGCATCCGCCTGTGACTCCCCTTGGTAGAAGAACTTGGAGTGGAAGGAGCCCAGGCAGCACCCGCCCAGCTGCCTTGCAGCCCCAGATGGCTGCTGGACCTTAGTTTTTACTGCTATTTTATTTTTATTTTATATTTTTGGCTTGTGGGCCTTGAGAAATCCCATTCAATGGGGGGACTTGGTCCCATCAAGGCCTCTGGAGGGAAGGCTGAGCATGGAGTTCCCACAGCCCCAGCCAACCAGCAGCATGCCCTGGGGCCCGTGACCCCACCCGTGGGTCAGAGCCCCTCCTCCAGGGCCCAAGTCCCAAGCCCAGATGGACCTGGCTTCAACCTGAGTCCGAGGAGGAGAGGGGCACTGCAGGCCTCCAGGTGACCACGCAGGGGACCAGGGCACTGAAAGCCCTGATGCTATAAGGATTCACATCAGAGAACCTGGGCAAGCCAGGCCAGAGACGCTGAGCCCGTGCAGTGATGAGGATGTAGAGGGCTGGCTCAAGGGGGTCAATAGCTGTGAACACTGCTGCCTCTTCCCGGCCTCATTGTTGCAGTGCAGGCAGTCTGCACCCCGGAGCCTGGCCCAACAGCGCCCTGAGTGTCCTAGTCCACTATGCCAACATGGCACCCGGAGGCTTCGCGGCCCTGCCTGCCGCACGACCCCTCTCCCGGAAGCCTCGTCCTACAGCCTAGCCCCTGTCTCAGCCACAGCAGGCACCACTGCCAAGAGCCTTCCAGCTGGGCTTCCCAGAGGACAGAGGTGCCCTGCAGTCATTGCCTCAGCAGCTCTGACTGTGAAGATAGTTTCATCCACATTCCCATGTTCCCACCAAAGAGAATCCTTGCAGAGGATGCTTTTGATCCTGAGGTGGGGAAAACGGCACGCCGGGTTGATGGAGTCAGCTCCTTTCCCTGGCCACCATGCCTGCCGGATAGACCCACGGACAAAATGGCCATCAGACAGGAATGAGACACAAGAGTCTCAGCATCCTGCTCATGCCCTGACCAGGCTGACCAGGCCGACACCACTGCCGAGTGCCCCATCTGCCGATGAGAGACTTGGTGTCGATCCCTGGGCTGGCACTGTTTCCCACGAGGACCGGTTGGCCACCTGTGGGCAGGCTGCCCACACTGTGGAGAAGGCTGAGATCGGCCTTCACTGCAGGGAGCCCCTACCTGGACATAGACTCGCCAGCCCTGCCTGTTGCCATCACAGCAGACCACACGGCGTTGCTTCTGACCAAGGTACCCCATTCACAGTGAGGGGCATGCAGCAGTAGCCCCTGACCAGGGAACTAACTGTTCTCACTATGTCAGCCGCCACCTGGAAGCAACTGAGCTTACGATCGCTCAGTTATGCTGAAGCGATGGTTTGTCTTACAAGATAAATGTTATGCTTTCTACTGGAAACCAGTATACAGTGCTGACTCCCCAACAGCCAGAAGGTGTAGTTCTGAGAGTGGAGGTGTGAAAGTGGACGATGTTCAGTATTGCACCGAATGTCTCAGTCACAAAGTTATCCTGCGCCTGTCCTGGAGAAATGGAGCTTTGCTGGTTGGAAGGTCTTGGGACCCAGGCAGAGTGAAGCTTCCCCCAGAGGAACACAATAATGGTTCTATTTAATATGAAGAGACAGGACTAAGTCTGAAACCCTGGGGCATTCTCTGGTGTTCTCGGTGTTTTCATGCAAAGAAAGTCAAATAACAAAAGTTTGCCACAGAGGCATCTGAAAAAGGACGGGGCACAAGTATTCAGATCTCGGAGGCTTCAGAATCAAAGATGAGGCCAAGCAGGAGACTCCTGGCCCACTGAGGGCAGGGGAAGTATGTGGGGGCTGCTAGGAGAAGACGTCATACAGGTCCACCCCCACCTTGTGGTATGTCACAGAACTGTGCACTTGAATAGCTGTGCACATCTTCTCTCCACTGATTATATTATTTCTTTCCATTTGTGACTCTCCGATCACACAGAGAGCTTGCTACAAAATGCACATTGCTGTACCATAGCCTGGGGCTTGCAGTCCAAGGCTGGCAAGAATTCCTGCACGTCAAGGGCCTCAGGTGACTTTCGTGCACATCCAAGGACAGAGTCCTTGATGACACCTTCCTGCTCAAAAAAGAAGGAACAAGGGTCAACGAACAGCGAGCAAGTCATGGAAAGAGATGAAATGTGAGTGCGTGGCCTTCCTGACACCCAGACAAAACTTTGGGCACAGAGCCAGGCTGCAGCTGTGGCCACTGACTCGGACCAGGGACGCCCCCATGCAGGCCGGTGTCCCCTGGCTGCCCTTCTTCCTCCTGCCACCCTCCCTTCGGCTGCTTGTGTCAGGAAGGGAGAACCTGCCAGTTTTCAGAAGAAAATGTAGCTTTATTATGATATAGGAAAGACTGAAGTTATTAGGGGAGGAAGAGGAGTCCTGAAACAGCTCCTGAAAATGAGAGGGAAAAGGAAGGTGTAAATATGTTGTAATAAATTCTCCAACTACAGCACAGTCATGGGAATGTTTTTGTTACAATTTTTGTTTTCAAAGTTATAGTAAACAAAACAGTTTCCTGAATTGTCAAAAGAACAGCAGTTTGACACAAGGAAAAGCATACACACCAAGCCAGAATAAATCACACTTGGGTCTATATGTTGCAATGGTGCTGGTGCAGGAGGGAACATCCAGGGAAGTTCCAGTGCCTGCCAGGCAGCCCAGGTCCACCGAGGGCCCCGGGGCTAGAGGAAGGTCACGTACCACTCAGCTCAAAGTGCTCCCTTCAGGCATCTGAAGAGGGAAAGCCCATTTATCTTCTCCGAAATGCAGGCAAATTTTCATACACTGGTGTGAATCTGTTGGGGTCACCCAGGGGCCCCCTTAATGGCCAGATGCAGTTTATCACAAACTGGTTTCCTGAATTTCATATTGGATCGGGAGCTAAAAGGAGAGATTCCCAAACCCATCATGTAAATATTTGGTTCTAACAAAGTAAAATTACAAGAGCACATCAAACACAAGACTTAATGCCCAGGGTAGTGCCCAGGCTGCCCCCCTTGGGTGAGAAGTTCTTTAGCAGCAGGCACAGAGGTAATTGCTTAGAAAGGCAATGCCACAGTGAATAAGGGCGATTAACTTGGATACAAACATTTAGAAAGATGCCTGAAAAAAACTGATGTGGCTCCATCTCTCTTCTGGATTCTAATGTTCCCAGAGCAGCAGCCACCCCTAAATGCAAGTGGAGACAGGATGGAGCCCAGGGGGACATGGGGGAGGCAGGGCTTGGCCAAACCACAGGCAGCTGCCAGAAAGGCCCACACACCTGCCTTCCACACTCTGTGGTGGACACCCCAGGAAAGACGTAACTGCCAAACAGGTTCATCTTGCCTGCAGCCTAGACAGAGCCAATTTATCAAGACAGGGGAATTGCAATAGAGAAAGAGTAATTCATGCAGAGCCAGCTGTAGGAGAGACCAGAGTTATTACTCCAATCAGTCTCCATTTGCATGATCCATCAGCATTCAGGGATCAGAGTTTGGAAGGATAATTTGGTAGGTGGTGGGGGAGGCCAGTGAGTTGGGAGTGCTGATTGCTTGGGTTGGAGATGAAATCACAGGGAGTCGAAGCTGTCTTCTTGAGCTGAATCAGTTCCTGGATAGAAGCCACAAAATCAGATGAGCCAGTTTATCAGTCTGGGTGGTGCCAGTTGATCCATCAAGTGCTGAGTTGGCAAAATCTCTCAAGCACTGATCTTAAGCTTTTTAATAGGGATGTAATTACCAGGAGCAATTTGGGGAGGGTCAGAATCTTGTAGCCTCCAGCTGCATGACTCCTAAACCATAATTTCTAATCTTGTGGCTAATTTGTTAGTCTTACAAAGGCAGTTTAGTCCCCAGGCGAGGAGGTTTGTTTTGGGAAAGGGCTGTTATCATCTTTGTTTTAAAGTATAAACTATAAACTAATAAATGTGCTTTATCAATTGGGTGTGGTGGCTCACACCTGTAATCCTAGCACTTTGGGAGGCCAAGGTAGGCAGGTAGCTCGAGCCCAGGAGTTAGAGACCAGCCTGGGCTACATGGTGAGGCCCTGTCTCTACAAAAAAATACAAAAATTAGCCAGGCATGGTGGCGTGTGCCTGTAGTCCCAGCTACTCAGGAGGCTGAGCTGGGAGGATCTTGAGCTCAGGAGGTGGAGGTGGCAGCAAGCTGAGATCACGCCACTGCACTCCAGCCTGGGTGACAGAAAGAGACCCTGTATCCAAAAAAAAAAAAAAAAAGATCATGTTTCTCCTTCATTCTTGTAATGCAGTGGATTACACTGATTGATTAGGCAGCTCTGATTTTCCAGGATAAGCTGTAAATCTTCATTCTGGTGGGAAACTTTCCTTTTTTTGTTTTTGAGATGGGATCTCTCTGTGTCGCCCAGGCTGGAGTGCAGTAGCATGATCTCAGCTCACTGAAACCTCTGCCTCCCGGGTTCAGGCGATTCTTATGCCTCAGCCTCCCAGATAGCTGGGACTACAGGCACATGCCACCACACCCGCTCATTTTTGTATTTTTTTTTTAGAGAATAGAGGGTTTTGCCATGTTGCCCAGGCTAGTCTCAAACTCCTGAACTCAAGTGACCCACCCACCTCAGCCTCCCAGAGTGCTGGGATTACAGGTGTGAGCCACCATGCCTGGCCAGAAGTCTTACTTTTAAAAATGTAGGTACAGAACACACGATTTTGTGGAAATTCTGATTTGTGGGGAAAAAATTTAGGTACAGGCCAACCATTGTTGCTCATGCCTATAATCCCAACACTTTGGGAGAATGAAGCTGGAGATCATTTGAGGTCAGGAGTTTGAGATCAGTGAGGGCAACATAACATGACCCTGTCTCTACCAAAAAAAAATCAGCGGGACATGGTGATGCATGCCTGTAATCCCAGCTATTCTGAAGACTGAGGGGAAAGGATCACTTCAGCATAGGAGGACCAGGCTGCATTGAGCTGTTATCCTGCCACTGCACTCCAGCCTGAGCAACAGAGTGAGAATCCATCTCTTAAAAAAAAAACAAAGTTCATGTGCATTAAAAAGTGGCATGGGCTTGCATGGGCCAAATCAAATTCAGCTAAAAGCCAAATTGGCCCTGGCCCAACAGTGTGAAATCACTGATCAAGGAACTCAAAGGCCCTGCCTTCCTTTTTCTCAGGAATTCCACTTCTAGGAATCCTTCCAGAAGAAATAATCCAAAAAGTGGGCAAAATTTAACACATGCACTTGAGTATCACTTTTATTTTTATTTATCTATTTTTTGTGAGACAGTTTCACTCTTGTTGCAAAGGCTGGAGTGTGACCGCGGCTCACTGCGACGTACACCTCCCGAGTTCAAGTGATTCCCCTGCCTCAGCCTCCCGAGTAGCTGGGAGTACAGGTGCCCGCCACCACGCCCAGCTAATTTTTGTATTTTTAGTAGAGACAGGGTTTCACCATGTTGGCCAGGCTGGTCTGGAACTCCTGACCTCAAGTGATCCACCTGCCTCGGCCTCCCAAACTGCTGGGATTACAGGCATGAGCCACCACACCTGGCGAGTATCACTTTTAAACCCAAAGCTGGAAAGTCTCTGAATACTCAGCAATAGGGGAAACTTAAGAATGTCATGGTCAGCCCCATAAAATGAACATTTTGCAGCCATTTAGAATGGCTTACATGAAGACTATGAAGTGTCATCAATAAATATACGTGATATCATTTTAATGATGATTGTTCAATATCACCATAATTGTCTCCTACTATGAACATACACTTTTTTCTTGTGACAAAAAGAAGAGGGGTTCCCCATGACCTTCTCTCCTGGCTGGGGTAGTGTGGCTCAACAATAGGTCATCTCCCCACTGCCCACCTTTCCTCTATTTCCAAATTTGGAATGATGTCCTGATATAACATTTCTTGGCACTTCCCACATTTGATTCACATTTGAAGCACTTGACTCTCAGGAGCACATCTCCACACACCAATTTCCCTTTGGCTGGCTGCGTGCTGGTCCACAGCCATTTGCCCTGCTGGTCCCACATAGAAGTGCTTTGGGCAGAAATCCACCCCCTGTCCCACCCATCCCTGTCTTGAATCAAAACACTTGAGTCAAAACAGTCTTGAACATCGTTTCTCACATTGCTGGCTGGCAGGGAGGCACCTGTCTCCAAGAATTCAACACCATGGACAACGGGATTCACTGGGCTGCCATTCTGACCGTTGCAACCGCAACCCTTTCTCTAAGCAGCTGGGATCACAGCCTCTTCCATTCTTCCTTCTTGTATATCATGTCATGGAGCAGATGCTACACACAGAAACCCAACAGTTCTTTCCAGGCTTCAACCTGTAAAACCCGACTCCACTCTGAGTATTCCAGGCCCACACATCAATGACAGTGCCTTGAAAACAGAACAAAGTTCCCCTGTAGTGTCCACACCAGGTTGGGGGCTGTCACACCCCTACTAAATGCATGAACGGCACTAAGATTGGGACAGTACAGGGCGGTGGGGCACTGAAAAGGGGCCCCTAACCCAGCTCAGCCTCCCCGAGGAGTTGCCGCTCAGCTGCGTGCTGTGAGGTAAATGTAGAGAGAAAATGCTTCACAACCAGCAAGCCCGGTGCGGTGTGGTGCAGGCCCATCCAGCCGCCCACAGCGCCCTGCTGGGCTCAGAGGACAGGGGACGCTGCAAGGGGTGGGGCAGGGCTGCGTGGAGGGGGCCCTGTTTGAGCTGAGCCTCTGTGCTGAGTTCAGTAGTGACCTCCCTAAGAGTCATGTCCACCCAGCACCTGTGAAAGTGACCTGATTTGGAAATAGAGTCTTCGCAGATGTGATCAAGGGAAGATGAGGTCTTGCTGGATCAGGGAGGGCCCTAACCCGGCGACTGTTATCTTTATAAGGCAGGGGATATTGGACAGAGACACAGGAAGGAAGGCCACGTGAAGACGGAGGCAGAGGTTGCATCCAGAGCCCAGGAACACCGAGGGCTTCCGGCCACCAGCAGAAGCCAGGGAAGGGGCCAGGAGGGGCGGAACCTGCCAACCCCTCGATCCTGGACTCTGGCCTGACAGGATAAACTTCTGTTGTGTTAAACTCCATTTGTGACACTGTGTGATGGCTGCCACAGGACACCCCAGCAGCTTGAAGCAGGCCTTATCTAAAGGCCCCTCAGCACCTGTGGGTGGGCAGCCGCTCCTCCTGGCTGACAGCCGTCCTGGATGACAGCCACAGGTGATAGCCTTGGGTGACAACCCTCCTGGTTAACAGTCCTCCTGGGTGACTGCCCTTGCTGGGTGACAACCCTCCTGGGAGACAGCCCTCTTGGGTGACATGCCTCCTGTGTGACAGCCCTGGGTAACAGCCCCCCTGGCTGACAGCCCTGGGTGAAAGCCCTGCAGGATGACAGCCTTCCTGAGTAACAGCCCCCTAGCTGAGAGCCCTTCTGAGTAACAGCCCTCCTGGGTGACAGCCCTCCTGGGTGACAGCCCTCGATGCTCCAGAGTGGCTGCCTGGCATCCAGCAGAGAACCAGGTGCCAGCACCTCTTGATGGTCCCCAGCAGGTGGCGCCACTGGGCTCCTCTGCACCCCGGGTTCTGGATGGGGCTGGGAGGAGCCAGTTTAGGCGGGATGGAGCCCTGGACCACTTGCTCTGGACCAAAGTCAGGTGGTGAGCATGGGTGCTCACCCGGGTGAGCACCCGGCTTCTTTACCTTCCTGAGGCCTTGGTCGAGGGGCTGGCTGCCTGCCCTGTGCAGAGGACTTTGTCCCTGGGGTGGGTGGGTGCAATAAATGTCAGGGCTCTGATCCAGGAACAGAGGGGCACAGAGGGTAAAGGGTCCCTCACTCTCCCCTGGCAGCGGCCCCTTGTCACAATCTAGGAAAATGTCCAGAGACTGCCGGGTGGGAAGTTTTGCAAACCAGTACAGTGGGTCAAAACCAGTCCAGCCGCCCCACTGAACAGATTCTGCAGTAGGTCACACCTGCAATCCCAGCGCTTGGAGAGGCTGAGGCAGGAGGATGGCTTGAGCCCAGGAGTTCCAGGCTGCCTGCCCCTTGCACCCCAGCCTGAATGACAGAGCGAACCAAGACCCTGTTGCCTCTTTATTTAAAAAACAAACAAACAAAAAAACTTTTAAAAAGTAGGTTCTGGAGCCCGACTTTCTGGCCCAACTCCAGCTTTGCCACTGTCTCAGGCAGGGGCTCAGAGTCAGACTCCGGGACAAGGATTCCAGAGCAAGTGCTTGGCTTGGGAGATGCAGGAAGCCCCAGGGGAGGGCACGAGAGGGAGGGAAGGGAAGAAGCCAGTAAAGTATGTGTTATCAAGGCAGTTACCAGGGAAGCACCAGGCTCTGTGCTGTGGGGAGCCCTGGGAGACAGCGTGGAGCAGGCCCCAGAGGTTGCCCTGCTGAGGAGCAAGGGGTTGGAGTAGTTGTCCGCCACCCCCATAGCCACTGTTGGCTGAGACCCTCTCCTGGGGCAGGGACTCTCCAGGCCTCCAGCGGTGGAGCCTGCCCATCGTTGCAGCTGGGAGAAGCAGCCCAAGGATCCTGCTCGGGCGTCCCAGGCTTAGACGTGAAGAGGCGAGTCCTGCATGGGGAGGGTGGGTGACTGATGGATGGGACACCAGCTGTGTCCTCTGCGGTCACTGGGCAGCTGTGTGACCTCAGGCAGTTGCTCAGCCTCTCTGTGTCTTCTCATCCTCCTTTGGTAGGAGGCTGCCTAGGCCCAGTAAAGGTAGAGGGCCTAGAACTGCGCCTGACACAGCACTACGCATGCCAGGATCTCAGGAGCTCAAGAGGTAGTCCTGTCGCACCCCGTTTCACAGAGGAGGATGTGGAGGTCAGAGTGGCTAAGACAACTGCTCGATGCCACTGGGCACCAGAGGGCAGATGGGGCCTGGGGGACCCTGATCCCACACTCACAGGACCCCTGTCCAGTGCGCTCCTGTGGGTAGATAAAGGCAACGCTGCCTCCAGGACCACCTCCCTCTTGCCCCCGCACCAGCCAGGCATCCTCTGGGCAGGGACCATGGCACCATGACCCCCACCTGTGGCCGGGCCTTCTGGGTCCTCTCCAGGAGGTGTCTTGGCACCACGCTGTGGCATCAGCATCACACACAATGCTGAGATGAAAAGTCTTACGCAGGTGTCTTCGCACACCTGAGCAAACATTTCTACAGGAATAATTCCCCCCAGCAGGATTCTTGGATCAAAGGGAAGCACACATGATTATTCTAGAAGTTGACAGCCATTGTCCAACTGACGCCCTCACCCACAGGGCTCTTTCCCCACATCCTTGGCAATACCGGGTCCTTGTTTTTAAATCCGTGCCGACCCGATGGGCAGAGAGTGGCACCTTGTCATGCTGTCTCCTGCCTGTTTGATCCAGGATTTTGTGGAACGTGGGTTTTGCAGCTGCTGGCACTTCTTCTGCACATTCTCTCTTTGTATCCTTTTCCAGATTGCTATTTCTTTTTAACCTTTTCCAGATTGCTATTTCTTTGGGGCTTTTTTCTTAGTGATTTGTAGGGTGCTTTAAAATAAAATCCTCTGTGACATGGTCTGTAGGTGACAAATATTTCTTCTCAGCTAATTGTTTTACTTTCAGCCATGTTGGTGGGGACTTTGTGATTGTTTTGTTTCTTGTGATTGGTCTTTGGAAGTTGCTCATGTTAGTGTAATCAGATTTGTCATTCTTTTCCTTTGTCATTTCAGAGTTTGTGTCAGGAATTCTTCCCTCTTCAACCCGTTCCTCCGCCTCCCTCCGCAGACCAGCCGGTGTTCTCTCTAGATCTGCCTCTCCCTCCATGCCATGCTCTTGGGCCCTTCATGGTGAAGCCAGGTGGCGGTCCTCCTGCCCCTGCCCCTGAAGGAGAAAGCCCCAAGAACTGCTGTGTTCATGTCCCCTTCCTGGAGCCCCATCTTCACGTGCCCACCTACCTCCTTGACATGCCCGAGCCCCTATCACTTTCCTCTCGCAGCAGACTCAGGTGCAGAGCCCGAGGACTCTGGTCTGACACCGATGGCTTCTTAACTACAATCAGCACACCTGCTGCTCACGACCCCTGGCCAGACCAAGTCACAGCCAGGCCCAGCCCTGGATTCGAGATTGTTATTTCTGCGGAATGGATCATCCAGGCATCTCTGGCTTGTCTCTGGCCCCCCTGCAACCCCCCACCATGCCCCGGGGCTGCTGCTGCTGATGTCTCCTTCCTGCCTACAACGGACCCAGTTCCCCCATGTTCATCGCTGGGGCTGGGCCACCTGCTGCTCCCCCTGGCTCATCCACTGCCCGTTACCAGGCCACACACAGCTCATCAACCTACAGCCACACTTGTCACACGTCCTTGCAGACCACGAGTCCAGAGAAGCACGTGATGCAACCTCTCACACCTGACTCTTACAACCAGCAGGCCACTGGGAGGCTGCTCTCCTTGCCTCTGGGGCGGCAGCAGGGGAAGCAGGAGAATGAACAGCCTCCAAAACTTCTCCTCAGACGGAGCCGCCATGGAGGAACAAAGGGTCATCATCAACAAAGCCCATTTAGTCCAATCAGCCTCCTGCCCAGCAAACCAGGAGGCATGCTCTGCCCTTAGCCAGCATCCCAGGGGCCCGGCCCTGGCAGCCTCTTTGTTATTCCTGACTCCCGGGACCAGGACTCTCAGGGTGCCCATGCCAGGGAGGCCTGCATGGCCGGGAGCAGGTATTTCCTTCTGTGCCCTCTGCGGGCTCAGGAAGACCCCACCCTGCAGGTGGCAGGAAGGGGCTGTGTTGAGCAAGGGGCCCAGCAGCTGGAGTGGGCCTGGGTCTAACTCTTCACTCCTGTTTGCATTGGCAAAGCACCGCAGCTGACACGGGCTGCGGGAGCACCATGCTCAGGGGAGCCGGCGATGGCTGTTTCCCAGCTGCTTTGCAATTTGCTGAGTTCAACACATATGTATTGACTGCCCACCATGTTTTTTGTGCTCACTTGGAAATTCTGCTGAGCGCCTACTATGTGCTAGGCCCTCGTCTGTGTGCTGGGGATATGGCCTGGGGCAAAGGTGTCAGTTCAGCTCCCCTGGGAAGTAGACAACAGGTTGGAGTTAGAGATGCAAGAACTGTGTTAGGAGAAGGAGCTGTAAAGGAGAAAGGGGCGAGGGGCAGAGCAGTCAGGGAGAGCCTGGAGAGCACCAAGCACAATGCTTGTGAAGGAGAGGGGCCACTGGAGAGCTGGGTGGGTGAGCCTCAGCAGGCCCCAGGAGGTCTCTGGAGCAAAGATGGCCAGTAGTGGGGTCCCAGATTGGGCAGGATGATTTGAATATGGTGGAGGACCCTCAAGTAGCTGGAGGCTGTCAGCTGACTGCACTTCTTGCAGAGGCTTCTCTCTTGAAGGCCGACCTGAGAAGAGCACCTCCATGGTGGCCACGGGAGATTAAATGCAGCTGCCATCCTGTGGAGGGGATGGACAGCACACCAAGCAGCAACTGCACCCCCTTCTAGAACAGAGGCCCCAAATGACAGTGCTTCAAGGGAGGTGGGAGCTGGCTGTGCACGGTGGCTCATGCCTGTAATCCCAGAGCTATGGGAGGCCGAGATGGGAGGATCACTTGAGGCCAAGGCCTGCCTGGGCAACATAACGAGACCCCACCTCTACAAAAAATACCAAAAAAAAAAAAAAAAGTTCAGCTGGACATGGGGACATGGTGGCATGTGGCTATAGTTCCAGCTACTCAGGAAGCTGAGGTGGGAGGATTGCTAGAGCCCAGGCTAGGCTGCACTGAGCTATGAGACCCAGTCTAAAAAAAAAAAATTATTAAGCAGGAGGGCAAGCCCTTTTCCATCTTTTCTTAACCCTGCTGTTTAGGATGTGGACATGATGGCGCACTGTCTTGAGCTACATGGATGAGAGAAACACCCTAGGGATGGGAGAGAGGAGGGTGGATCCCTGAATGACTGCATGGAGCAAAGTTGCCACCGCAGCCCTGCCCTGCCCTGCCACCCCTAGACCGTGTCCTGGAGAAATGAACCTCTGTCTTGTTAAAGCCACTATTGTTAGACGTAGCTAAACTAGATCCTAAATACAAACATAGCATAGCATGTTCTTTTTTTTTTTTTTTTCTGAGGCAGAGTCTCACTCTTCGCCCAGGCTGGAGTGCAATGGCGCAATCTCGGCTTACTGCCACCTCCGCCTCCCGGGTTGAAGCAATTCTCCCACCTCAGCCTCCTGAGTAGCTGGGACTACAGGCGCCCACCACCATGTCCAGCTAATTTTTGTATTTTTAGTAGAGAAGGGGTTTCACCACGTTGGCCAGACTGCTCTCGAACTCCTGACCTCAAGTGATCCACCCGTCTCGGCCTCCCAAAGTGCTGGGATTACAGGCATGAGCCACCGCTCCTGGCCAAACATAGTGTGTTCTTTTTGTCCACATAAAACTTACCATCTTGACCATCGTGAAGTGCACAGTTCAGTGGCATTAAGCACATTCGCATTGTTGTGCAACCATTACCACCATCCATCCAAGAACTTTTTGTCTTCCTCAAATTGAAACTCTGTCTCCAATGAACAGTAACTCCCCATTCCCCTTCCCTTAGCTCATATAAGTGGAATCATATAGAGTTTGTCTTTTCATGGCTGGCTTTTTTCACAGAATATTACGTCCTCACTTTCTTCCATATTGTAGCACGTGCCAGAATTTCCTTCCTTTGTAAGACTGAATATTTCATTGTAAGCACAGACCACATTTTGTATATTGATGGCCATTTGGGTGGCTTCCACCTTTTGGTTGTTGTAAAGAATGCTGCTATAGTGAGCCGAGATCACGCCACTGCGCTCCAGCCTAGGCAACAGAGTGAGACTCCGTCTCAAAAAAAAAAAGAATGCTGCTAGAAACATGGGTGAACAAACATCTGTTGGAGACCCTGATCTCAATTATTTTTTGGGTATTTTTTGGTATATACCCAAAAGCGGAATTACTAGATTATATGGTAATTCTGCACAGTGACTTTTCCACTAGTGTTTAACATGGTGTCTTGACAGAATAGCTGTAAGATTACACTGAAAAAGCAGCAGGGGAAGTGCTGTGAAGGCGGCCCATGAGCTTGTAGGAAAGGCGGTCAGCAGCACACCTCCACTGTAATGGGTTTGTTTACCCGCTAGCCTACCAACAGCTGCAGGCCCCTTTCCTGGCCCTGCCCCACATTGCTCCCCACATTAGACCCAGCTTTGCTGCACCTCTGCCCTTCTGCCCCAGCTCCTGCTTGTTACAGGGAAGGGCTGGAGGGCTCTTTATCCAGGTTTGTCATCCAATATGAGCACTCAGTGCACACGGATGGCTTTACCTGGCACTCAGCCAGTGAACTCAGCATCTGCTCCGGCCCTTTAGCACTGAGCTAGGCTATCTACCTTCATAGGCCAATCACAGGTTGTCACAGGTAAATGACCACATGTGGTTTGTGCCTCACTTTCTGACTTTGGAACATAATCCCCTGGTAGGGGTGGGGGAGGGCCATTTTTCTGGAGCTTCCTCCTATTTTCAAGCTTTATCATGCAGAACAAAACCTTCTAAGCAGAAGCCTCAATGTCCTCTTTCTGTGGGTTGCATGTGTCCCCCAAAAGGCGTGTATTCAACACTTAATCCCCAGTGCAATGGTATTGGGAGCTGGGGCCTAATAGGAGGTGTTTAGGTTATGAGGTGCCCACCGTCACGCATGGGTTAATGCTGATTATAAAAGGCCTTGAGACTGTGAGTTTGGTCTCTTACCCTCCTGATTTCCACCATGGGATGAGGCAGCAAGAAGGCCCTCACCAAATGCTGGGCTCAGGCCGGCACCATGCCCTTGGGCTTCCCAGCCTCCAGAATTACGAGCCACATAAATGTCTGATTATTATAAATGACCCAGTCTCAGGTATTCTGTTATAGCAGCACGAAATGGACTCAGACATCTGTCTGCCAGCCCTGCCCTCCTGAGGGCTGGAATGCCGTTCGCCGCACTTCCCAGCCTCTCTACTTTGCCTCACACTGACTTCCCTCCCTGGAACCAGCAGTTCCTGCTTATTTGGGCATTTTCAGATCTTACTGATCTTTCAAGGGCACCTCCTCTGTGAACTTACCTGGGTCCTTCCCAGCTTGGAGGGATCTCACAGCACATGCTACGTTCTACCATCTCTTCTAAAGCACAGTTCCTGGGCCAGAGCCCCAGCATGGCCTGCAGGCTGCAGGAAATGTGAATTCCAAGGCCCCCCTAGACTTCCTGACTCAGAAATTGGTGGTGGAGCCAACAATCTGTGTCTTATTGGCTTAGATAGTTCTAGGTCTACCAGGCTGCCAGGAGGCCTCAATGGCCCGACAATCATGGGGCACGAAGGCAACGCCCGCGAGTCAGCAGCAGGGGGTCCCAGCTGGTCTCCCCAACAGTTCTTCTTCCCTCCTCTTCTTCTTAAAGTGTGGAAAAAGTTACAGCAAAGTACACAAATGTTGGTGTGCAAATCAATGCGTTTTAACAAATGTGTCCACCCCATCATCACACCCCAGATGAAGACGTGGAACATTTCCAGGACCCCAGAAAGCTCCCTGGTGCCTCCTTCCTGTCAATAACCCCATCCCCCACCCACCCCACCAAGAAACCACCACCAGGACTTCTGTCTCCATAGATGACTTTTGCCTGTTTTTGAACTCCATACTGTGCATGCTCTTTTGCGTCTGGATTCTTTTGTCTGACTTTATCTGCGAGATTCATCTAACTTGTTGCATGGAAGAGTCATTTGGTCTTTTCCTCTGCTATGCAATGCAGGAGAACATTTGTTTGATTTTAGTTTATAGAATGCAGTAAGTTTTCTTTTGGTGGACATCAGCACTTGTTTCTCTTGGGTGTCTGACCCTTTCCCATGCTTTCCAACTCTAGCTTCTAAGCTCTCTGAGAGTACAGAGTTTGCCTCTGTCTATCCTGGCCTGACACGCAGGCTCCTCCTGTCAGCATTTACTCAGTCCAAATTGCAACAGGGGCAGGTCCCTGCCAGCTGAGGGAGCTATTCTTCCAGCTCAGCAGGGGGTTGGCCAGTCTTGTCCTCTGGGACAAAGCCCAGCCAGAGTTCTGGGCACTGTGGTTCAGAAGGCCTGAGACACGTGGTTTTACCAGGGCTGGGTACCAAGAACCATGCTTGAGGCTGACGGCATTTCATTGGCAGCGTCTGTGGGGGGCTTGGGGACTCAGCCGTGGGAAGCCTGTTCTGCACACAGCCATGGCGCAAGAAATGCTTTTTCCTGCGACGGTTCAGTGAGAACCATGATGGCAGTGGTGCAGCATCCTCCCAGCTTGGTTTTTAAACATGGGAAGGGCTTCTAAAAAGTCACACAGCTGGTTAATGTTTGAACCAGGGTGGCACAGGTTTGTGCGAAGCAGTGAGTGGAGCTGTCTGAATGCCAGGAGGAGGGTCACCCTGGAGGCGGGTGACACAGGGGTCAGTGCAGGTCAGAGGCAGAGGCTGGGCCCAGATGCCATGCGAGCTCCAGGCCACTTTCCCAGAGAAGTGAGCGGCGGCCAGGCTGCCGGAGGCGGTGTGGCCTCTTCAGGCCCTCACTGGTCCTGATTTTGAGGGGTGACTCATGCCGGCTTGGACATCCACTTCTGGCTCAAGTTGCTCTGGGTTCCTCCACACAGACCAGAGGGATTCCTGCGTCACAGGAATCCAGGAAGGGGTGGGGGGAGTTGCAGGTTGAGAAGACAGAGGTGAGTGGCCCCCGGGCCCCTCCCCTGTTGAGTCACGGGAAGGGAATGGAAATAGTGTGTGCTGAAGCTGAGTCAGGGCCCAGCCTCACCTTCTCGGGACCTCATATGGGCTCTGAGGCGAGAGGCCCACCTGTCCCCCCCTCCTTGCTGCCTCCTCTCCCAAGCATGAGGAGGGCGAGCAGGAAGGATTTAGGTTAGCTCTCAAGAAGGACTTCCTGAATCGCGCCAGGCGACACTGAGAGGCATCTCTCAAAGGAAGTTGTGAAATCTTCCTTGGGATCAATTTGAGGTTTGGTCTGGGTCCAACCAGGTCTATCTTTATGGCTCTAGAATATTTTCAAGTGTTAGACATTCCTTCCTCGACATGACTCAGGGGGCATCCGATGTGTGCCAGGCCTGGTGGCAGGAGCAGGGCCAGCTGAGTGTGGGACATGCCCCACTCTGGGGGTCTTCTCTAGGTCAGCATTACAGCAGCCTTGGAGAAGACGGCTCCCACCCCTTCCGTCCTCCCCTCTCCTGGCTCCCTTGGGCAGCCTGCTCTGCCAGCCACACCACACTCCACTTTCGGATTCCGGAAGGAAACTATGGGTAATAAATAGGACAAAGGGTCAATTTCCTTCCTGTGCAAATCCCAGTAGCATTTGCAGAGTGCCAAGCATGGGAGGGCGCCCTCCTAAGTGCTTTACCTGCCTTCACTCCACCACAGCCCTGTGAGGAAGGTGCTCCCCTTTCACAGAGAAGGAAACTGAGGCTCAGTGAGGTGAGCAGCCTGGCTACAGTGGCACTGCCAGTGAGCAGCTGACCCAGCCTGTGACCTGGGCTGTGGCGCAGCAAACAGCCAGCAAGCACTGGGTGCTTTTCCTGTGCTGGGCCAGCACTTTGCAGGCATCGACTCAATTGAACCCTCACAACCACCACACATTGGTAAGAAAACCACCCTGACAGTCCTGGGAAAATGCACAGTCTTAGTGCTCTGAAGGAAACAAAAAAGGACACATCAGTCATCAAAGAAAACAGAGAGATCCATCTGGAGTGCCTTGAATTGGCAAATGGTTTAATTTTCCTGTATAGGGACGCTGGCCTTGCTGGGGCACCATGGAGCGGGGCCCCGTGCTGGTGGGTTGTTCACTGGGACCACCCTTCTGGAATGTGGGAAGGCGGCATGGCAGGACCCACCGAATGCCTTCAAAAGCCAGTGGTCCATGCCCCTGTCTCCTTCCTTAGAGTCTTCCAGAAAAGACTGGTCAGAGGTGCAGCACAGATGAACCTACAAAGCTTTTCATCAAAGCATCACTTACAATGGTGAAAAGGCAGAAGAATCACTGAATTCCACCAAGGTGGAGCAGCCGAGGAAATCGTGGGTAGAACACTAGGGAGTCACAAGAAACAACATATTTGAGGGGACATTTATAGCAGAGGAAAATGCTCATGATCTAATGCTACACAAAAAGGGCAGGATACAAAATAAGGTGTATTTGAAGAAAGAGGGTGGCATGGTTGTCCATCCACTGCTTTCAGGGACTGGACTAAGTGACCTGGATCAGAGGGAGGGCAAGAGATCTGCTTCCTGCCTGAGCCCTGTGAACAGTTGAAATCACTCGTGTGTCTGCAGGAATCATTCTTATATTTGCTATTCTGTGGTAACTTCAAACCTACACAAAATTTGCGAGAATAAAAAACACCCTGCCACATACTCTTCACCTACATTCACCCATTGTTAACATTTTGTCGTATTTATTTTCTCTCTCATTCTTTTTTTTTTTTTTGACAGAGTGTCATTCTCTTGCCCAGGCTGGAGTGCAGCGGTGCGATCTCAGCTCACAGCAACTTCCATCTCCTGGATGCAAATGATTCTCCTGCCTCAGCCTCCCAGGTAACTGGGACTGCAGGTGTGGACCACCATGCCTGGCTTATTTACTTGTATTTTAGTAGAGACAGGGTCTCACTGTGTTGGCCAGGTTGGTCTCAAACTCCTGATGTCAAATGACCTGCCCACCTCAGCCTCCCAAAGTGCTGGGATTACAGGTGTGAGCCACCACGCCCAGCCTGTTTTTCACATTTCTATTTCATGCTCCAGAATTCAGGAGCTCTAAGAGGAGGCTGCCTGGGCGACCTGCCTGTGGTAAGAGTGGACAGGCTGCCTCCCGGCTGCTCCGAGGATGGCCCTGGGTCTGAGGGAGGGCATTGCACTCTGGCGTGTTTGGGACTGGCCTTTGGAGATGTAAACATGGAGCCTCCCTCAGGAACCCAGGGCAGGCGCCCCTGGGAAGAGGAATGGCTCCTTCTTTCCTCCCTCAGTCCCTTTCCTGAATGCCTATGTCACTTCTGGGCACACAGGGGCTCAGCTTGCAGGGAGCCACTCTCCAGGTGAGGCTAAGGTTTGGGGGCTCTCTCTGTGCTCCATCTGCTCCAGCACACTCTCCTCAGTTGGGCCTCCTCTGTTCTCTGCTTTGCGCTCCCTGCAAGGAGTCCAATCCTCGAAGGTGGGAGAGTCCAGAGAAGAAAAGAGCCAAATGGAGGAAGAGGACCCTGGGAACCCTTGGGTGCCGCAGAGCTTGGGAGGTGACGCGTCTGGCCCAACTCTGCTCCTCTCTGCCGGTTCCCAAAGCCAGAAGTAGGAAGCTCCCTTATCCTGTCTTTTCAGAGGAAGTGTTGAGTCCAACAGGATGGGATTCAAATCCCAGCCTCACCACTGATTCTGGACAAGTTTATTCTCCTTTCTTAGCCTCTGTTTCCTCATCTGGAAAGTGGGGCTGTCTGAGAACTAAACCTGAGAAGGCACAGGAAGGGCTTCCCGTGGCTTCTGCAAAGAGCTCCATGAACACTCGCTCTCCTTCATCCGAGCAGCAATCCTCCCTGGGCCTCAGGTGCAGGGGGTAGCGGGGAACAAAACACCATCCTTGTGCTTTTACAGCTTACAATCCAGTGATTCTCATCATCAGTACATGTGGCCAAAGGCCCCTGGCTGACTTGTAGGCTGTGGGGTTGAATATGAGCCTCTGGGTGGTGTGGAAAATCCGGGAAACAGGTGGAAAGGGCAGCTATTCAAACCCTGCGAGGGTGCCAGGGCCATCAGGTTACACGTGGCAGCGCAGGTGAACTCAGGTCTTCTCACCTGGGGCTTGTCAGGTACTAGGGACAGAAGGCACCCAGATTCCTCTAAGGAGCCACAGGGCTGGCCAGGCCTTGAGAAGAACAGAGTGTCAAAGTTCAGGGGACCCTTTCTCTCATCCCTTCAGGAGCCGATGTCCCTGCAGGGCCCCCACAAAGCACAGCCGAGTTTCTCCCACTTTCTCTGCATCTCTTTCTGCCTTCAGCTTCCTTTGTGGTGGCCTTTGTTTTTCCTGCCCATCTTTGGTGGCTCTCAAATGTCATCCCTGCTCCACAGAGAAAAGGGTGCCAAGTAGCCAACCATCCAGCATGAGGGTCCCCTTCAGCAGCTCGCTCAGGCCAGGGTCCTCCCAGGATGCTGGTCCTGTGAACGGATGGAGGCTTCTGCCTCCTGGTCACCGTGGCCCCGGTGGGGAGGGGCGGTCAAGGAGCACAGGTGGGATTTGTGCAAAAGATCTGGCCCATGGCTCCTTTCTCGGTAGGGGCTGTGGGCTTCCAACCTTCCCAAGATTCCCCATGCAGAGGCAGGGCCTAAGCCACGGACCCCTTGGTCATCCAGGCCCCTCCAAGGCCCTGGGCCCGCCAAGACCTCTAGCCTTGAAGCACATGGTCCCCAGCTTATGTAAAACTTGGCATGAGTGAGAAACTCAGCCTCAGTGGGTGAAGACTGCTGCCTCTTTCCGGCCTTTCCTCCATCACACTTCGGGGAGGTGAGGGGGCTCAGGCTTGACCATCAGGGGGTGCTCAGGCACCTCCTTGCATAGGAAAGTTGTTTCTCACCACCCCAGCATGGGCTTGGCTTCCGGGAGCCCTTCCTCCTCCTAGGCTGACTCACCTGCTTGGCGCCAGGACATGGGAGATTCAGGGCCAGGGGCGGGGTCCTGCGGTTGTGGGCTGCACATAGATGGTGAAGGAGAATCAGAGTTGAAATGCATAGAGGCTCTCTAGGACACAGTGCAAATGTACCGGCAATCCACCCACCGATTCCAACACCTGACCAAGATCCCCGGATGCAGAGCAGGCAGGCTTTGCCCATAGCCATGGAGAAACCAAAACCAGTGGGAGGGTCCCTTCCCATGTCTGCAAACGTGCTGTTCCCAGGAGCTCTGTCTTTCTTGAATGCCCCATTTCTAGCTCTAGGATTTGCATCTGACAGTGGGATGTGTGTTTATGAAGGGAAGACTACAGAATAGAATCTTTTGGGAAAATAAATGAGAGTTCTTCCATGCTTGGCCTGCTTTAACAATGCAGATTTTCCTTGTACTTGGAGCTTACCTTCTCTAGGCTATTTTCAATATTTTCAGTGGATGTGAGTTTGTTCTTGGAGCCAGACTACGTGGCTTCAAAGTCGCTTGCCACTTCCTACCTGGGACCTAAGGCGAGCCGTGGAGCTCTAGGTCCCTCACCTGTGAAACGGGAAGAACCACGGTGCCCACGTTGCATCATACACTTGCATATGCAGGCACACCCTACCTGCAAAAAGCAAGGAGCAGGGTAAGGGGGAAGCTATCTGGGTCACATTCCCCAGAAGTAGATCCTGATTTGTATGGCAGTGACTGATGAAGGACAGGCACCCAAGGAGCGCAGTAAGGGAAAGGGGGTAGCAGACAGAGAGGGGAGAAGCCATGCAAGGCTGTGGCCCCAGGCAAAATCCTACAGAAGCAGGTCCCTCGGGGGACTGTGGAGTGGAGTCACATCTCCGTTTCCCAGCCTGAGCTAAGGATACACATGTCAGTCATTAGTGAAGGGCCATCCTGAGGCAGTGGGACACTTCCAGCTCTCTGCAGAAAGGACCAAGAGGCTCCAATAGCCTGATGACAGTCTTGCTGCAAAGAGTCATAGGTGTGGACAGTTGGAAACCAAGGCCATTCAGGCCAGAAAAGGGGCACATAGAAAGGTACGAGGGGTCACGCTTCTGTGACCTACAGGTGGAGAGTGGACAGTAGCCACACAAGACAAAGGTGAGCATTCTGAATTCAGAGACCAAAAATGGAGGCTTTCACGAATATGCATGCACCATGCTTTTTCATGGGATAGTCTATCTGGAAGATCATTCCAGGCTGCAGTATGTAAAGCTACCTCATTCTTCTTTTTCACAGTTGCAGAGTTCACTGAGTGGCTACGTTATTATGGAGCTCACCAACCTCTATTGATGGGTATTTAGATTGTTTCCAGTCTTGCTATTACAAGAGAAACACACCACAATAAATATCCTTGTACTAGGGCCATCAGCACATTTGCAAGTGTCCCTGTACATTTCTAGGAGTAAGTTTTCAGATCAAAAGGCATGTGCATTAAAAAAAATGTTGATAGTGGCCTTACCAGTTTATACTCCCACCAGTAATGCAGGAGAGAGCTTGTCTCCCACACCCATGGTGACACAGTGTTATCACAGTTTTGGATAATTGCCAATGTGATAAGTGAAAAATGGGCTTAAACTGTAGTTTCCATTTGCACTTCTCTGGTTATATATTAGGCTAAACATTGTTTATCAGCTCAAGGGCCATTTCTACTTCCTGCTCTGTGAACTATCTGTTCATGTCTATACTCGTGGACATTTTTTCTATTTCATATTTTCGATTGCAGTTTCATTTGTCTTATTGACTGTAGGAACTCTTTATATATTAAGGAAATTTGGATCTTGAGTAGAGTGACTTGAGGATGGAATCAGAGGGAATTCATTCATCCAAGGGCTTCCCATTAGTTCGGCTACCTAAATTTCATATCCAAACCAGTCCTTTCCAGGATGTGGTTTTTTTACTTCTTTTCTTCTTTTGGTTCTATGAGCTAACCTATAATCTCCCGGCACATTCCCTTCTTGCTTTGCCTTGGCTGGACTTAGCCAGAGTTGATTTTGGTGGCGTAAGGAGTCTTGATATATCCACTCTCCCTCACCAGGTTGAGTCTGAGGGTCTGAGTTGATATCATCCCCATCTTCCAGCTGAGATTCCCTGCTTTTCTCTGTGGGTCCCTCAACTTCCAGGTCCAGGCAACTAGTGACCCTTCCTAGCCAGCTCACTCAGGGATGTTTGCAGCCTCCTCTCCCCTGTCCTTGTGTCTAGGCCAGAGGTCCTGTTTTCTTCACTTGGAAGGTGATGTCGCTGATTGATTTAAGAGCTTGTTTGTGCTCTCAGCTCTGGGAGTGTAGGCAGTGGTCTCCCTTGATAATTGTGTCCCAGAGCTTCAAAGGTGAGGGCCAGCAGGGCCCTTGGGGATCTTGGGGACCAACCACCACAGTGGACAGAGGAGATGCAGTGCAGAGGGGGAGCTGTCGTCCCAGGTCACACACTGTGTTGGGGGACACATGTGGGTCCAGGACCCTTTCTGAAGGGTGCTCATTCATTCTTTTGGCAAGCACTCCTCAATGGCTGGATTCCCCAGCTTACAGGCAGGGCTGTGCCATAGTGAGCACCGACTCCACAGGCAAAGGCAACCATAACTGCCCTGCAGGCCAAGGGCAGAGGAGCCTGTTTGGGGAAGTGGGGAGGTGGCTCGGAGAGGGTGGCCTGGAAAGACTAGCTTGGGTTGGGGCAGGGCAAGTGCAAAGGCCCTGAGGCAGGTGAGAATGAGCATTTTGAGCATGGAGGCCACAGGGAGAGGGTCCCACGGGCAGGGGTGTCGATCAGAGAGACCGTCCTCCAACCAAGACCACGTAACCAAGACCTAGCAGAAACGGAAACAACGGGCAAAGAGCCTTCTAGGCAGGGGAAGTGGCCCAGGGAAGGCCGTGCAGTTGGAAGGAGCCACAGAGCTACAAGGAAGTATGGCTCCAGACTGGCTGGGACAGACAGAGTGAGCTGAAGCAGTCAGACAGGATGGGGTGGACACAGGTAGGATCCATCACAGGATGGAGGGGGTCAGACTTCCTCAGGCACCTCACTCAGCTGCGCTTGTCCATCTGGACAGATCCCCCCCTGGGTGTGGCCATCGGGAAGGAATCCTGCCCCATCACTGACAATGAGCTGCATTTTTTGGAGAGGCGGCCCCTGTCCCCAAAGCTGGTGCAAGCCCTGGGTGTAGCAGGTGCACTCAGGAGGCAGGGCTGCCGGCCCAGTGATGGGTGGAGCCACATGCCTGCCCAAGTCTGGGTCTACCCAGTGTGGCCCGGCTGAGGCCACCATACGCACGGTTTTCAGCTATGCCTCATTCACTTGCTGTGTGAATCTGGGCTGCAGGGCCCTCTTCTGTGTGCCACAGGCCAGTGCCTTGCAGTGCAATTGTACCTGAGGACCTAAGGTGGTCAGGGAAGCCCCAGGTGGGACTTGGCAGGGGAAGCAGGGCCTGTGGACGGATGGAGAGCTGTCATGCGGAAAGGCAGTGTGTCCCCAGGCCCTGGCCCAGCCTCCAACCCCCCCAAGTCCCCTCCAGGCCTCTCCAGACCAGGGCCACCACATACTGGCTGTGCCATTTGGGTGAGTGACCTCACCTCTCTAAGCCTCAAAGTCCTGATCCCCACTGGGAGGGTGCAGTGAGAGGGTGAGTCTGAGCCCACTAGGGCCTGGCAGGCTCTGTATGCATGGCAGCCACCTGCCCACACTCACCCCAGACATCTGCTCATTCCAGAAACCTCCTGGGAACATCCACCATGTGCCAGGCACAGTGTCAGACAGGAGGGGACAGAGAGAAACAAGATCAACAACCGCCCTGCCCTTGTGGAGCTGGCGTTCTAGTACAGGAGACAGACAAGGTGCTTCCGAGGAGGGAGCCGTGCTCATCAGGCAATCCGCAACGCCACTCAGGAGGAGACTTTGGAGCGAGATGGAGGAGCCACCTGGGGTCTTGGCAGAGGGAACTGCAGCTGCAAAGGTCCTGAGGGAGAATGAGTGCCCAGCTTTGGAGGAGCAGAGCCGGCCTCTTGGTACCCACCCTAGGGAGCAGGTTTTCCACCTTATTCTTAGGCCCCTAGGAGATCCCCTCCGCTGTGAATGCACGAGGATGGCATCGGCCCTTTTATAGAGGGGAAGTTCTTCCTAAGAGAAAACCAAAGTCCCTCCAGTTGCAACTGAAGCTGAGCCTTCTCTTTTAGTTGCCTCCACCCCCAGACCCAGAGCCAGCTGGTTCCTCCTGCCTCCTGCTCACAGCTCCAGGAAAGCATCCTGGTGGGGAAAGTCAGTGAAACACCAGGTGGCCTAAGGAATCTTCCCAGGACTCCAAGGTGACTAGACAGGGCTATCTTATCAGCCCTGGGATGCAGTCAGGGGGGAAAAGTTCTGAAAAGAAATTGGGCCCAGGGCACTGAGGGAAGCCTAGGTCCCTTCTGAGTGCTCTGCACAGAGATAGGAGGAGAGACAGTCAGGTGTTTTGTGAGGGAGGGGATAGGTGGGTGGTAGTAATGAGGGGTGTTCCAGTCAGTGCCCAGTAACCAAGAGGAGAAAGGGAGGAGAGGGGGGATCAACTTCAGGCACAGCTGGATCCAGAACCCTGAGGCTTCGGCTATGGCTGTTCCCCACCCCCGTATCACCCGGGTCTCAGTCTTTCCTCTCTGTGACACAATAGCCTCCTCCCTAGGGCTCCTTCCTTCCACTCTTGCCCCCACAAATCCATTCTTCATATATTGTTCAAACTATGCAACTCCCCTGCTTAACCCCTCTCCCCATGGCTTCCTGACGCCTTCCACGTAAAGCAGAAAACTGTTTACCCAGGCCCCAGAGGCCCCACCGCTGACCTCCCCAGCCCCACCTTGCTCTCCTCTCCCCTTGCTCCGTCTGTCTTTTCTGTCCTTTGAACACATCAAGCACATCCCCGTCTGGCCAACATTGCACCTGCTGTCCCCTCCTCCTGGTGTGTCACCATGTGGCCACCCCTTCTCAGCAGGACAACCCAGATGTCGCTGTCCTCGGCCATCCAGCCCCCAGCCCTCTGTGCACTCCCCACACCAGCCCTGTCCGGTAGTTCCTTCAGTGATGGAAATGCTCCCCGTTCGCTGTCAAACACAGCAGCCACCCCGTGCGGCTAACAAGCCCCTGAAATGTGGCTATTGCGATGGAAGAACTGAACTCTTAATTTTCTTCTTTTTATTTTTTTTGAAAAACAAAATTTCTTTCTGTAAACTGTTTGAGTGCAGAGATGTTCTTCGCAATCCCAATACAGTACAGATTTCTTTTCCAAAATGAAATGAGCAAGGAAAAAAAGAAAAAGAGCTATATAAAATTTTCTCATGAAGAACCAAGACAATCTCATCTTTCTTTAAAAACAAATCAGGCTGGGCACGGTGGTTCACGCCTGTAATCCCAGCACTTTGGGAGGCTGAGGTGGACGGATCACGAGGTCAGGAGTTTGAGGCTAGCCTGACCAACATGGAGAAACCCCGTCTCTACTAAAAATACAAAAATTAGCCAGACATGGTGGTGGGCACCTGTAATCCCAGCTGCTCAGGAGGCTGAGGCAGGAGAATGGCCTGAACCTGGGAGGCGGAGGTTCCGGTGAGCCGAGATAGTACCACTGCACTCCAGCCAGGGCAACAAGAGTGAAACTGTGCCTCAAAAAACAAAAACAAAAACAAAACAAAAAACAAACAAACAACAAAAAATGATCCTTTTGAATGTGTGGTGCAGGTGTAGGATTGAAGCCATGGGCTTTAGTGCTGCCATGAGCCCAGGGCTTTGCTCACCGCTAGCACCACAGGAGGAGTAGCCCTCTGGCCCAAGCCATCCTTACTGCTTGTACAGAAGCTTCCTGAACCTAAGTGATCCGTTCCCAGCTCTCCTTAAATTCCCAGTCCCCACCCTGGGCCTCTCTCCCTAACACCCTCATTGCTTTGGGAGCCCCTGAAGTGAACCCTGAAATAGTCCCTCTGTCAACTCTGGGCTCAGACCTTTGCCCTTCTCTGTGTCACTAGGACATTTCAGTCAAGAGGGTGGGAACGGGTGGTTTCAGACTCTGTCGCAAAGCCACTGCCAGGCGAGGTTGTTTTTTTTTTTTTTTCAGACAGAATCTTTCCCTGTCCCCAGGCTAGAGTGTAATGGCACAATCTCAGCTCAGTGCAACCTCCGCCTCCTGGGTTCTAGCCATTCTCCTGCCTCGGCCTCCTGAGTAGCTGGGATTACAGGCACCCGCCACCACATCCGGCTAATTTTTGTATTTTTAGTAGAGACGGGGTTTCACCATGTTGGTCAGGCTGGTCTCGAACTCCTGACCTCAGGTGATCCACCCGGCCAGGCAAGTTTTAAGGCAAATTTTATCCCTTATTCGGTCAGAGCCAGACCTAACCTTCTCACCACTGAGCAATCCTGCATTTGCCAGAGATGCAACTTAGGCAACTCTGGATGAAGGTGGGATGAGGGAGCCCGGGGCAGATTCCAGGAGGTCTGGGCCTGACTACAGGAATGGACTTGTGTGCTTATGAAGGCTGCAGTCACCAGGTGCTGCTCCTGGCCCAGCTGCCCCTCAGTGG